>NC_000003.12:114008604-114311634 GCF_000001405.40 Homo sapiens | reverse complement strand
TTTTGAAAAAACCTGAAATAAATAAATGTACAGCCTGCTTTGACCTCATGGTTTGTCTCGATCAGAGGATGGATATAGGAGAGTAGAGGAGAACCTTCAAGTTTCTTCCTGGTGATAGCCATTTCAAATGCATAACAACTGGCGAGCCATCCAATGTCCTATAAACACAGCTGTCTGTGTTTTCTCTATATGCAAGGCAATTACTAGAATTGGAATGTCCAATATACTAGCCACCAGTCACATGTTGCTATTTACATTTAAATTTGTTAATTACAATGAAATAAAATTTAAAATTCAGTTTCTTTGTCACATTAGCCAAATTTCAAGTGCTCAACAGCCACATGCAGCTAATGGCTACCATACTGGATGGGACAGACATAGAGCATTTCCATAATTGCAGAAAGTTCTTTGGATAGCATTGTCCTACACTACCTTATGCAAATAAATTACCTCAAACATTGAGTATATCGTTGTGACTTCCAGAAAGCTCAGGCTCTTGCCACACAAAAAGCTCCCCTGTACCTCTTGACAGGTGTGACTTGGAGTAAGTGTGGGAAACTACCAGTTACAGCTATGAAGCAGCACCTGAAAGAATCAGGAGACTAAACAAAACTCACACCCCACAAATGACAGCCACACTGCCCATTGCCCCCTCTCTGTGGGGTGAGGTGTGCCCACCAGAATGCTGTCATTGGTGGACCTCACACCCAGCCTCCCTGCCTGTCCAGCTCAGCACTGATGGAATCTGAATGAACCTGAGTGTATGACGACTCATTTCTGGGGCTCACAGTGGTGAGAAATGAAAAGGGGAAAAGGCAGGAAATAAAATTGCATAGTGAGGTCCTGTTCACTCATGAAGACCATCTATCTCAAAGCTCCATGACTCAAAGTTTCTCACGTTTCTTTAGTATAATTCTCAGGATTATAGATCAGACTTGTACGCCCAGGCTTAGAATGTGGTCAGGGAATCAGTAATGTATTCCTCCTTGAATGCTCATTCATAGATTTGTCTATTCGCTCCTCCTGTTAGGGAATCCACGAGGGGACCCAGAAAAGCCTGGCATCGCTTCCTGTCAGCACTGAGTGTTCCCCTTCCTCAATCTTCTCTGTGATGCTTCCCTACATATTTCCCAAAAGACATCATAAGCAGGAAAATCTTCCTCAAACACTATTTTGAAAGAAAAAGAAATGGAGACCAATAGACATAGATAGACACCCTCCCTGGGTATCAGTTTGGCTTGGGTTTAGCTACTAGAGCAGCACAGTCACATAGAAATATGAGAGCCACATATGCAATTTTAGACTTTCCAGTAGCCACGTTAAAAAGATAAAAAGAAGCATGAAACTAATGTTAATATTTTATTTCACCCAATACATCCAAAATATTATCATTTTTGACACACAATATACCAAAACTACTGAAATAGTATTCTTATTATTCATATTAAATCTCCAGAATCTAGTGTGATTTTATGCTTATACCAATTATAACAGCACATCTTGATTTAAACTAACCCCATCTTAAGTGGTTGATGGCCACATGTGGAAAGTGGCTACGTGGTGGATAGCGCATGTCTCCAGGAATCCAACTATGAAATGGTCTTCTCTGGTTCTCAGAGGAGAATCTAGTTCAGTGAGTTCTATTTAAAAAAATTTTTTTCAAATTGAATCCCATTTCAGTAACCTGACCCATTTCTAACATCTATAGGCCCTTTTGTATTTTATCACCATCCCAATAGTGTTTATAAATGTTTCCCAATTACCATAATTATGTTAAATAACACCCAACTCTCAGTCCAACCTCTGCCGAATATACACCTCCTCCAAATCAAAACACTACTCCCTTTTCGTCATTACATTTTAGTTCACTTCCAATTTGTGAATTGTGTTCTATTTCCAACAGATTTGCACTAATTTTGCAAGAAAAATGCTGTAAACTGCCACAGCAAACAACAACATTTTTACGTTCATCTAATCTTTCTTCCAAAGGACTTGGAGCTCTGGACAGATTTCAGTTCATTCTTCCTATGTAACCCATTTGGTAGAAAAGTGAAAAAATAATAATAATAAAAATCCTAGGAGAAATAGTTGAATTGTCTTGTTGCTAAAACAATTGTCAACCCCAGTCTAAGTCTTAGGAAGCAGGACAATGCTTTATTTTTAACCATGCGCAAGACACAACCTTGCTTCACATTCTCTTTCAGTTCCTTGGCCCATGAAAGAAAATCAGTCACCAGTAAATCCAACCTCCCCGCTCATTCCTCTGAGAGAGATGGTGGAAGGATAAAAGTCTTCTAAGATCCAGCCTGAATGCAATTAAACAGAAATAAGCGGTTCAGTTACCCCAACCCCAGCACAAAGTCGTCAGGGAGTGAATAAAAGGGTTCGAAGAAGTTAGTTTGAAGGTGTTTATTTTTTAAACCCTCTATCACTCCCAGCCCCCCTTTTTCCCCTAGGAAGAGTCCCTATTTTAAAAATCCACATTTTCTTTTTAGTGGGAAACGTTCTTTTTTCAAAGGCTCAAGAGTGTATTGATGCAGAAAAGGTAGATCAAGGCCCAAATGCTACGACTTGGCTCCCTGTGTGGGCATGTGCGTTTCCTGGGGCTTCCCCAGCACACACGGCCGGAAGAGGCTACAGGCCTGTATCAGGCTGTCTAATGGATGAGTATGTCACAGCAAAAGGAAACTTGAAATGCCTGCCCAGAGAATAAAATCTGAAGTTTGCTGACTCCCTTGGTGCCAGGGCCTTCTTTGTGGGACTTTCAGCTCCAAGAATTTCCTACAAGTTCCCTAGACAAAACTCCTGCTCCTCCCAGACTAGCCTCAACATCCCCTTGGTGCTCCCAGGCCACTTCATCACAGATAAGCCTATGCCAACTACCTCACCCCAAACTGTCGTCTCTTCCTGAAGGCCTGTGTATGTCTCCTTCTCTCCTTACTATAATACCTTTTCATGACAACATTGTCTCCCCATTTAACTGTAAGTTCTTGAGGGCAGATACCAAGATTTAGTCACTCTCAAATCTCCCCATAGAGGCTGCTACCAGGACTTACTTATAACCTGCCTTTGAATGAGTGAAAGTTACTGAAAATGACGTGAAAAAATGAGATGAGGATGGCTCTGCAGTCATGCCATCCTCATCATCAACCACAAAACCTTGTAGCCCAAAATGCTGGCCATTATGAGGAATGTGTCTCTCAGAGACATAGGATCTGCTCAAACTGCCAGATTTAAAACCAGGTCAAGATATTTTTTAATTTTGCATTTATGATCAAGATCCACGTTACTCACCCTAGGCCTGCCATAATGCAAAATGGAATAGAACGAAAAGGCCAAGGAAATGAAGATGGAGAAGAGGATGACATTTATTCACTCAACTGAACACACACACACATACACACACACACACACACGCAGCACTGATGGAGAGTACAGCTGCTTATATATTCATCTATAATAGCAAAGACAAAAGTGTATCTTCCAGAAGATGCCTCTGGTTGCTAACCAGTCTCTGTGAAGAAGCTGCAGTTACCCAGGCTTCTGTAACTCAGGACATTGAAGTAGTCATGCAGCTCGGCACAGTCCTCTCCCCGCTGCTCTCCACAGAGCCCAGCAGGTGCAGCTTCTGCCTGGACACAGCTTCCTGGGGGTGAGGGAGCACTGGGGCTCCATTCCTCCTGTCCAGCTGATTTTCTCCTGAGGTCACCTTCCACAGAATGGATTCTGAGGGCTTTCTTCTAAAAACAAACAAACTACAAAGTGAGTATGTGGGGATGTTATTCAACAGTTAATCCCCAATATGACATCTCTCTCTTCCTTTCTTACACACATGCACACCAGCAAACTTATGTTCTTACCAACACCAATTCCTTAGCCCTTAATTTCTCAACCGCGTTACAGCTAGATTTAAATGCTAACTAGTCCATGGAAACTGCACTTACTACATATACCACGTGCCACACACCTTGTTACTTCCTGTTCACTAAGCTTAGTGAGGCAGCTTTCCATTCTCTATTTTCTTGTACTGTTTACTGCACTTGACTCTGTCGACCTCTTACTTTCTGAAATGTTCTCTTTCTCTGGATCCTTTGGCATCACTCTCTCCTGATTTTCTTCTCCTCCTTTGAACCCCCACCTTCGTCTTCAGCCAGGCCTGCCCCTTTTCTCTTTGCACATCAGCTCCCCAAACCGTGGGGTTCCCCAGGGTTCTGCTCTCTGCTTTCTCTCACGCTAAACATGCTCTCTGAGTGATTTCATGAGCATCTACTTTCTTACATCTACAACCACCATCTGTCCTCTGAAGATGCCCAAATCTCTATCTAAACTAGCCCAGGCTTCTGCCCTGAGCTCCAGATGCAGGTGTCCACCTGTCCACTGGGCATCATCACCTGATGACCCACGGCAAGCTCAGACTCAAATTGTCTCAAACGACACCATCACATTCCTGCCCCAACAAACCACTCCTGCCCCTATATTCACTGCCCTGGTTTATGGCACCAGCTGAGCAGAAATCTGGAGGCTAATGTTCAACTCAATTTATCTGTAAAACTTCATCCAATTTTAATCCTAGGCAGTTCTGAAATCTACTCCCTCTTTTCCATCTCTATATCCATGTCTTCTCTCACACCTGGGCTTCATCCTCACTGTCTCTGGACTCCCTCTTACTTCTAGTCCAACTCCACATGGTCGCCAGCAGAGTGATTTTCAAAAACAAAAGTTGTGTCAGTCCATATTTCTGCCTAAAACTCTTCAATGGCTCCACTGTATATAGGAGGGTGCTTAACCTGAGATGCACAGCTGGATTTCAGGGGATTTGTAAATTGTATAGAAAATTTTGCCCAAGAAGAAAATCCATAATTTCACTACATTCCTCATAAGAAACTGTGATGATCCCCAAAACATCCCTTGTGATGATCCCAAAAACATCCCTTGTGATGGTCCCACTCACCTTTCCAGCTTACATGCTAGGAAAAATGCTAAGTGCCTTACATTAATTATTATTTGACTGAAGTTTTCTCATGACCTTATGAAGGCAATGCCATAATTATCGGCATTTTACAGATGAGAAAACTGAGGTTCATCAAAGTTAGGTGGTACAGCTACTCAAGTGGTTGAGTTGGGACCCAAACCTAGGACTGTCTGATTCCAAAGAACATGCTCCTAAATAACACAGTCTATGGGCTCTCAAGGTCTGTAGTGAATGCTGTTGTGCCTGTCATAGCTAATTTTAGGTATCATCTTAACTGGATTAAGGGAGCTGAGAGAGCTAGTAAAGCCCATTTTGGGTGTGTCTGTGAGGGTGTTTCCAAAGGAGATTGGCATGTCAGTCTGAGTGAAGTGAGTAGGTAAGATACACTCTAAATGTAGCCAAGCACCATCCACTCACCTGGAGGCCTGCCTTTCCCAAAACAGAAGAGAGGCAAAATTGTACTTTCTCTCTTTGGAGTTGGGACACACTCTTCTCATCCTGTCCTTGGACATCAGGACACCAGGCTCCCTGGCTTTCGGACTCCAGGACTTAAACCAGTGCTCCTGACCCTGGGTTTTCAGGCCCTTAGCCTTGGACTGAGAATTACACCAACAGCCTCAGTGGTTCTGAGGCTGTTGGACTTGAACTGAGCCATGCTACCAGCATCCCAAGGTCTCCAGCTTGCAGACAGCCTGTGGTGAGACTTCTCAGCCTTTACAATCACCTGAACAAATTCCCCTAACAAATCCCTCCTCATCTATCTATCTATCTATCTATCTATCTATCTATCTATCTATCCATCCATCCATCCACCCACCCATCCATCCATCCAACCATCCATCCATCCATCCATCCATCCATCCATCCATCCATCCATCCATCTATATCTCCTATTGGTTCTGTCCCTCCGGAGACCCATAACTAATGTACAGTTCCTGCTCAGATCTCTCTACCTGACCAGCACTCCCATTTTCCAGATGCTGGGAGTGTACGCTGTGAGCTCACAGCAGCCCCTTCTCTGGAGAATTGCTCTTGGGCCCTCGCTGGTGAGCAGCCAGAAGTAATGACTGACCTAGGTGGATTTCCAAAATGCCAGCTCCCTGCCTAAAGGTTCAACCGACTCTGTACAATTCTTGCTTCAGCCAAGTCTCCAGCTGAGACCATATCCATGCTGAGCTTTCTTCCCTTAGCCCTCCCTATACTGCTTCCTTCACTACTTTTCATCTGAGAGCTGTCCCAATAAGTCACTCTCACCAAAATTTGCATGTCAGGCTCTATTTCCGGGGACCTGATCTAAAACAGTTGCTGCTGGGAATAGTCCTAGAAGGCAGCCTGTAAGAACAGGATTGTGGAATGGGATCATTCACCTGCTAGATGGCAACACAAACCCCATGACTGGTGGTGAAATGAGATGGGACACAGATGGATGGAAACTATGAGCTGGTGCACTGACTCTAACATTTGAGGTGTATAGGGTAAATAGTTAGTGTTAGAACTCTGGAATTGGGTCAACAGTATAGGGTAATAGTTAATATTAGGACTCAAAATTGACTTTTGCTAAATTGCACCGATGGACTGAAGTGAGAAAATGACAGCCTCAGATCTATCAGCAACTCAAAGTGTGAGAGTTAAAGCTCCTCCTTGGCAGCATTTAAAAGACACTCGTCTATCCACAGCTGAAGACCAGGTACATAAGCTAATTGTAAGAGGGACAGGACTTTAAAGAAGGCTGATTCTAAGCCTAGGTAAATTTTCTATGCCAAAGCTAGCATCTTGATAGTAGAGGAGGAGTCTCCTGAAACTTGGAATGAGGATCTCTGGAAAGATGCATTTGAGAGCCAGGAACCACCTGCTTCTCTTATACCATCTGGAGCTGCAGAAGTGGCCCACTTCCCCTTGATGGAAAAGAATCCCTGCTGGGCCCTGCCTCTGCCTCCCCTACTGTCCATCAGGCCCGTAATTAGGATAAAATCTCAGCCCATGCTAATGGAGGAAGTGCTGGGTCTGCTAAGAGAATAGAAAGGTTATATACTACAGGACCTGGCTAACATCTACTGGCAGGGACTGGGAGAAGATGCCTAGGCATGAATTCTGAAGGTGATGGATTGTGGTAGGGGGTAGAACATAAGCCTGGATGAGGGATAATGCGTCAATATTGGAACGCTCAATATTTAACACCCTCACAAGGGCCCCAGGAGATGATTCTGATATACTGCTGTCAATAGAGATGACAACACTGCTTTGGCAAACTATGGAAAAGGGGAACAAAATGCTCAGAGAATAAACCTACTAAATCAGAAATGGCAAACTGAGTTTTGTGGGTCAAATATGGCCCACTGCTGGTTTTTTACAGCCCTTGAACTAAAGATGGCTTTTATATTTTAAGTGTTTTTTTAAAACAAAAATAGTTTTAAAAAGTAATATCTTCTGCACAGCAAAAGAAATAATCAGCAGAGTAAACAGCCCACAGATTGGGAGAAAATATTTGTAAATTATATATCCAACAAAGGACTAATATCCAGAATCTACAAGGAACTCAAACAAATCAGCTGAAAAAAAAATCCCATCAAAAAGTGGGCTAAGGACATAAAAAGACAATTCTCAGAAAAGGATATACAAATGGCCAACAAACATATGAAAAAATGCTCAACATCACTAATTATCAGGGAAACGCAAATCAAAACACAATACCACCTTACTCTTGTAAGAATGGCCTTAATCAAAAAATAAAAAAATAACCCATGTTGGCATGGATGTGGTGAAAGGGGAACACTTTTACACTGCTTGTGGGAATGTAAACTAGTATGACTATGGAAAACAGTGTGGAGATTCCTTAAGGAACTAAAAGTAGAACTATGATTTAATCCAGTAATCCCACTACTGGGTATCTATCCAGAGGAAAAGAAGTCATTATACAAAAAGCAGCACAATTTGCAATTGCAAAAATATGGAACCAGCCCAAATGCCCATCAATCAATGAGTGGATAAAGAAATTGTAATGTGTCTGTGTGTGTGTGTGTGTGTGTGTGTGTATATATATACATATATATGTATATATATATATACATATATATGTATATATATATATACATATATATGTATATATATATACATATATATGTGTATATATATACATATATATGTGTATATATATATACATATATATATACACACCATGGAATACTACTCAGCCATAAAAAGGAACAAAATAATGGCATTTGCAGCAGCCTGGATGGAATTGGAAACCACTACTATAAGTGAAGTAACTCAGGAATGAAAAACCAAACATTGTATGTTCTCACTCAGAAGTGGGAGCTAAGCTATGAGGACGCAAAGGCGTTAAGAATGATACAAGGGACTAATGGACTTTGGGGACTCAGGGAAAAGAGTGGGAGAGGGCTGAGGGATAAAGGACTACACACTGGGTACAGTGTACACTGTTCGGGTGATGGGTGCACCAAAATCTCAGAAATCACCACTAAAGGACTTATTCCCCAAAAACCTATTGAAATAAAAAATATATAAAAAATTAAAACATAAAAATTTATAGAAAGAAAAACGAATATTTTATTACACATAAAAATTATATGAAATTAACATTTTAGTGTTTATAAATAAAGGTTTGTTGGAACAGAGTCATAGTCATTCATTTGTATATAATCTATAGCACTTTCACACTACAATGGCAGAGTTGAATTGTTGCAACAGAGACCATATGACCTACAAACCCAAAAAGATATACTATCTGCCTCTTTACAGAGAAATTTTGCCAATCCCTGTACTGAATAATTTCCAAAATCCAATAGCTGATTATATTGACTTTTCTAGGGAAGATCCAGAGAACATCCCTTAAGATAATAGCAACAATAAAGGGGAAAAAGGAAAAAGAAAAAGAATATCCCTTTTACTAAGCTGGAAAAGAATGTGCTAGGGGAGCTCCAGCATCATTGAGAAGTTTGGTGGCATCTCTCCTCTATAGGCTAGGGCTAAAATAGGAGATGCTTTTACAGAACTGGATTCCTAGTAGCAATGAGGATGAGGAGATCCCAAAATAGTACAGAACAGATAGCAGCACTTAAAGAAACAAAATGGATGTAATTACTTCAATGGGAGCCAAGAAAGCCTGATCCATGGGAATATTAAAATGGTTAATAGAGCACAGTGTGCCCAGGAGAGATACAGCTGGGCAGCCAAGAAGGGTATTGCTTACATACATAATCAAAAGAGGTCAAGACTACAAGAGAGAAGGCTGAAGCCAGCCAACCCTGTGGAAAGTCAAGATCCTTTGTCCAGTGTTCATGTCTATGAGCACTACTTGAATGGATACCAGCCATTTGCCTCTTGGCTCTGCTCTCTAACCTTCTCCACCCTATTCTGTGCCCTATGAAGACTGTACTAAATGTACTACATCAATGAGTCCCCTTATCCTCCATCCTAAGTTTGAGGTCAGCCAATGCAAAGCAACAGTAGGGGAATGGAGAGAGGAATGAGATGAGGGTATGTAGTTCCCTTTGTTCTTTCTGCAGGGTGGCCTTGGACTGGTTGTGACCCTCCAGCAAAGACTACAGCACTTCTGAAGGAGACCCCTCCACATAACTCTCTCCTTCCAGGCTCCAATAATTAGCCCCTCCCCTACCCTTTGAAGAACTAGGAATGGTTACAGCACCTTGCTACTCCTCCTTGTGGTGTCCTTACATCCTACTAGACTTCTGGAAATCCTATTATTAAACTGTCTTCAAACAACCCAGTTTGAGTACTACATGTTCCCTGCTGGAACCCTGAATAATGCAACTATAAAATGCTTTGAGCAAGGAGAGAGAGACAGAAGACTGACAACTATATCCAAAGCACAGGAAAGATGCAGAGAGGACCCACACTACACAGGAAGCAGTGGAAATGTCAGAGAGGGCTGGGGAATCAAACACTGTAGAAAGGGAGCAACAGGACTCAATAGGTCTCTTCACCTTTTTCTCTTTCTCTACCCTCCAGATGACCAAAGTTAGTCCAGGTGCCCAGAATGAAAATTAACCAGTCTTGAATCCTTAACAGGAAAAGTTGTTCAGCTCCTTCTAAAGAGCCTTTGATTCTTTTATTCCAGACCATCAGGACACTGCTAACAGCAGAGAACCTGTTCACCAACCACCATAGCAGCTCCCTTCCCAGCTAAGAGATCAACTTTCATCTTCTTCACCTCCCCCCTCTATTCAATCATTTCTCTTGTCCTCACCTTCCCATAGAGGGTTCATTTCCTCATTATGTCTATTGTGATAGCCAACACATAAATGAAAATATTATAGATCATTGACTTTCCCAATAGCACCAGCCATGTCTCAGCCACTGCAGTTCAACCAGGCTGCAGAACTGAGTTGTTAATTGAATGGAATTAGAGTTGGAGGAAAAGTGGGTTAGGATCTCAGGTGGAGGGTCTGGGGTAAAGGTAGAAATTACAAACTTGTGTTTCCCAAAATATTTATGTGGTGACTTGAATTAAGGTGACCTGGGCTGAGCTGACTTAAAGGGCCCAAGAGATCAGACAAAACAAGGAGTGGAAATTCTTTCACTCCTCCCAATCAATACCAGTAGCTGATGACATAAATTTCACTGATATAATTCTTTGTTATTTATAAAGATTTTACATGAAATATGCCACTTGTTCATCACAACTCTATGATATAGAGTAAGCCGAATTATAATACAGCTATGGTTTTAATGTGTCCCCCAAAAGGCCATGTGTTGGAAACTTAATTACCATTGTAATAGTATTAAGTGGTAATGCTTTTAAGAGGTGATTAGGCCATGAAGATCTGCCCTCATGAAGGGATTAATGCCATTATCTCAGGAGTGGGTTAGGTATCATGGGAGTAAGTTCCTAATTAAAAGGATGAATTTGGCCTCATTTCTCTCTCTCTCTCACATGCATGCACTCATCACATGATGCCTTCTGCCGTGGGATGAACCTCGCCAAATACACCATGCTCCTGGACTTCCCAGCCTCCAGAACCATGAGCCAAATAAACTTCTTTTCTTTATAAATTTCCCAATAATTGTATTCTGTTACAGCGGCAGAAAATAGACTAAGACAAATCCCCATTTTATATATAAGGAAATGAAGACCTTGAAAGATTAAGTAACTTTCCTAAAAGCATACACTCAGTGCCAAAACTAGAAACTAGATCTTTCAATTCCCCATTCATTACTCTTTCAGCCACATAAGCTCTTAAGCTAAACAGAGGATTTACAACCTGCTGATCTTGCCATGCCCACTTTACCACCAATTTTTTTTTTTTTTTAGAGATAGAGTCTTGCTCTGTTGCCCACGCTGGAGTGCAGTCATAGCTCACTGCAGCCTTGAACTCCTAGAGTCAAGTGATCCTCCCGCCACAGTCTCCCGAGTGGGTGGAATTATGTCTATTGTGATAGCCAACACATAAATGAAAATATTACAGATCATTGACTTTCCCAATAGCACCAGCCATATCTGTGGCTTCTGAGGTGTGAGCCACAGCTCCTGGCCTAACCCTACATTTTTGGAGTGTTTATTTCTCATTCTACAGACATGCTGGGTAACCTAGCACTACCAGAGAGTTGTAATAATCAAAAGAGCTAATGTGCAGAAAGCTCTAGCATATATAGATGCCCACGATGCATCAAAATCATAGTAGATAAATTAAACTCTCAGAGCAGTGGCTTAAGGGATAAGCAGAAACCAGGAGTTACAAATGACAGCAAGATGGGTAGGAAACAGGTCCAGCTGTCCAGGGGGTCCCTCCCTATGAGAGGGACAACGGAAGAGCATAAATAACTGCACTAATAGGCAGAACAAATGCCAGGAAAAAGGCACAAAGAGCACTCGGGAAGATCACATCTGGGTCTCTCTCTGGGTGGAAAGAGAACCTGAAAGGACCCGGGTGCCAGACGTGGGGGTGCCCATGACTGCGGTGTGCAGCCGGAGCCATTACCTTTCTAGTCAACGCGACCACCACGATGACTGCTGTGCAGATGACCACCAGCGTCGCGGCCATGGCTCCAAGCAATGGAATCTGGAACCTGGCACCGTGCTCAGCCACTAGAGGGAGGACAAAACAGAGATGAGTGGCAGAAGCCAGAAGTGAAGCTGATTTCCCCAGGGCAGCCTGAGCTTCACGGCAGAGAGGGGAGGATTGGCCAAGCCCTTTGTGTAACCATGGGACTGGAGCCTTTAAGCCCAACACTTTGAACAGCAGAGTATCCATCTGGCCCATCATGAAATCAATGACTGATATTTTCAGCAGTGGTGTACCTTGTATATTTGATACCAGAGCAGGTCATTTTAACATTCGTTTCTTCTATTTGACAAAATCATTTTTGGTAATCATGAAATGAAACAAATAGTAGTTCCAGAAAAAAACTCAGAAAGTGAATATTTTCTTTTATTGAACTTCAAATATGAAATCATATCAATAAAAATATTTAATTCAAAATTAAAATAAAGTTAACATTAAATTACAAAAATGAAAAAAAGTATGTAACCTTTTCCCTTAAGCCTATAACACTTATTTCCAGCTAGGCTGTGAAACCCTGGAGGGCATGAGGCTCTGGACTCTTATCCTTTGCTGTTTTCTCAGCATCTGACACATAGCGAATGCTCAGTAAATATAAATATTTGTGGCATAAGTGAAATCATGAACTAGTGCATTTCATTAAGAGATAACATGTAAGTGGAAGCAAGAAGATGCAGGAGGGGAGTTTTGAAGAGATGAGTAAGATCTGACCCAAGAAGAATGTGAGAAAAAGAACACCATCACCCCCATGCATGCTGCGCTGTAGGTAGGTTTCCAGTCTGCCCCAGCAGCTCAGGTAGGGCTCAGGTATCCAGGGGAGTCTTCAAAGGATGCAGCAGAAGCCTCACATCTCATCCCTCTACCTAAGGGTCTGGGTTGCTAAAAGGTGGCTTAGGAATCCAATCCATAAGACAAGGGTGGTGCCTGCACAATTCAAATTCCCCAGAACATGTTCCTCCTGCCTTGAGGGACTCAGTCACAGTTGGCCAGGACGGCTTCTGGTTAGCCATAGCCATACAGTTAGCTCTGGAGTAAAGAGGACAGATGGAAAGCACAGGGGTCATAGAGAACACACTGCAGCAGGTAAGAGGGGCTGCAGAGGGCTATCCATAAAACCAGGAAAGGATATATGATCAGTTTGGGGACAGAGCCAGATTGGAGGCAGGGTTAGGCCTGGGTTCTCTTACACCTTGGGGACAGATGAAGATAGATGGAGTGAAAAGCATGTTGAGGTTTAGGGAAGATTATGATAATGAGTTTGGTTAGGTTTAAGGATAAGTTCGAGATACAATTGGGACCAGAGTGGAACTTGGGATATTAGATGTATCAATTTCATTTGGAATTTTTGGTTTGAAATAAAAGCACCAATGTCTCCATTCACAGTTATGGTCATAGAACAAAGATATCAAGGTCTTTGAAACAGAAGCAGCCCTGAGTAAGCATGACATCACTACATGCAGGGTGGGGAAGGGGCAGACTCTGTATAAGGGTTACTTAAAACTTCTGCCTATTAACCAGGTTGACTTTGGGGTTAAGTACAATTTTAGCATTAAGGTTAGGAATAGCTTAAATATTACAGATAGTATTAGGATAGGGACTTGGACTAAGGTTTGAGATTAGGTTCAAAAAGAAGCCAGGGTTTGTGCTAATGCAAGTAATTAAGGAGAGTTTGCATTCCACATAAGCAACTGACCACTTGGGAAACAAGAGGGAAGAGCCGAGTGACCAATGGTGTTCCCTGGAGTCTGCAATGGCAAAAGGGTGGAAACATACAGGCTTTGTGGGGAGGCTGCACAGGGGTCCAATAGAACATCTTCTGATCTCTCTCCCCAGGGGTCCATGAGCCACAGAGAAGAAATTTGCACCTTCATTTCCCCAGGTTCAGGCTGGGAAATAGCCGTGCCACTGTGGTCTTGGGGAGGAGTGTGCATGTCAGGACCACCGATCTCCATGAATGGCCTGGCCTGGAGATTAGCAACCAGACATAGCTCCCATTTGGTCTTCAGTTGCTGGTACTACCACTCCACAGGGGCCTTCTGCCTGATGAACTCCCTCCCTGTTCCCGGTCCTGCCGTCTGGTGATGGGTCCTCTGGCATATGACACTGGGGTAAAGAGCCCAGAATGGTCAAGGCCATCACTTGGTTACTTTGCCAGAATCTAGGTCCCCTGCCCTGCTTATTGTCCCAGGCCTCCTCTAACCATGAACCAATAAATAGCATAAAAACTAGCCCTTATGAAGTTAAGCTTATTACCTATCTAGCACTGTTGTAAGACCTTACTTGTATCAGCTCATGAAATTATTTGCCACATTTTATCGACAAGAAAACTGAGAAAAAAAGTACATAATTTACCCAGACTTCGTGGGGTCAACTGCAATAGTCAACCCCAGACAGTGCAATTCCAGAGCCTCAACTCTTAACCAGTCTTTGTTTGGCCTATGTGAAATCAGTTAAGAAGTAACACTTTGGGAGGCTGAGGCGGGCAGATCACTGGAGGTCGGGAGTTTGAGACCAGCCTGACCAACGTGAAGAAACCCTGTCTCTACTAAAAATACAAAATTAGCCGGGCATGGTGGTGGGTGCCTGTAATCCCAGATACTCAGGAGGCTGAGGCAGGAGAGAATCGCTTGAACTCAGGAGGCGGAAGTTGCAGTGAGCTGAGATTGCGCCATTGCACTCCAGCCTGGGCAACAAGAGCGAAACTCCGTCTCAAAAAAAAAAAAAAAAAAAAAGAAGTAACATTTGAAAGGAAACTTTAAGGTAACCTTTTATCTTCTCAGTTTACACATATTTTGCAACCATATAACTTAATCTTCAACATAACTGACAGCAGTAAATAGGAGTTCTGAGGATGCAGTTTAGTAGAACAAAAACATCTGTGTTAAAATCAGCTCTACCACTCTGAGCAACTCCAAGCTCCAGCTTCTGCCTGCATCAAACAAATGGGAATCATACTAATAGTTAACACTTATACAGCACTTACCATGTTCCAGGCATTGTTCTAAGACCATTTTCTTGTAGTAGGGAATTTAATCCTACATTAGCATCGCATAAGGTCTTATATTCATCCTCCTTTCACAGATGAGAAAACTGATACACAGAGAAGCTAAGAAATCCTGTCTGAGGGCAACAGCAGAGCCAGGATTTGCACCCAGACTGTCTGGTGTCAGAGTCTGAGCTTTTAACCATGGTGCTATACTGTCTCTCAGATAAGATAAGAATCCTTTTCTAACCTCTGGGAATTGGTTTAAATGTACAGGTGGATAACAAATATGAGGGCATTTGGGAAACTTGGAAGTACCACACAAATGTAAATTACTGTACAATTAAACTTAGCACAGGCTATGTTTTTAACCAGCTCTACTCTTTATACACTTAGGGGTTAATTCTAATTTGCACAATTATACTAAACCAATAAATGGGAACTTTTGCATATGACCTCATCAACTGGTCTTCCTAGGAAATATAGGTAAGATGTGCTTCTTACATAAGAACAGTGGTTCTCAGTATTGGCTGCCCATTAGAATCACCTGGAAATGCTTTTAGACCTTACCCTTGTTTAGCTCTGCTATTAGGGATTCTGATTGAATTGGTCTGGGTGAGGCCTCGGCATCAGTATGATTTAAAATCTCCTCAGGTGATTCAAATGTGATCCCGAATTGAGAAGCCCTGCTGTGCAGTGTTTCAGGATTGCATTTTCTATGCTAGAGGGAGAGGTTTATCCACCAACTTGCTCCAGCAGGAATACCTGAGCTTTCTAGGACCTCCAGGAAGATTCTCCCAGTGTACGTCCCATCAGGGTAGGTGTGATAGATGCAGAAGTACTCCCCTGTATCGTTCACGGTCAGCGACTGGAGGGTGAGGCCCAGGCCGGGACCTGGGGCCACTCGATCCTTGAAGGATGGGGAGATGTGCCACCCCAAGTCAGCATTACAAATGGCCAGAAGCTGGTCCTGCTGCTCCCAGTTGACCTGGGTCACTTGTGCCGTGGTGGAGGAGAGGTGACATTGTAAGATGATAGAGCCACCTTTCTCTGCAGAAATGTTCCCCGTTGTTTCTATTGTGCCTGTCATCATTCCTAGGGAAGAGGACGAAGCACATGTGAGTCCTGGGTCAGCAGCTGGCCTTCAACCTTCCTAGAAAAATTCTAAGGGCCTTTGAGGCCCCAACTGGATTTTGGAATGATAGTTTCTCCAGTCCATCCTGTTGCTCCTCCATAGAGGCTGTAATTATTTCCTGTTTCTTCCATTTCAAGAGACGCTCCTCTCCATGCCTGTTATTCAAGGCTCCCAGTCCCCCATTCAGGTTGTCTTTCCAGTCTTCTCACCCTTCTCCACACATCTCTACTCCAGCCCAGCCCAGCCCATCTCCTCCCCACCCACTGCCCTATGCTTCCAGAGCTGACTTCTGCCCCTCTTTACACCTCGCCCACAGGGAGGCTTGTCAAGGCTGCACTCCCTCCCCGCCTCCTAGAAGACCTCAGCCCATCTCAACCTCCCTTTTCCTTTCACATTCACTGCCTGTATTGTATAATTAGCACCTTACTAAATGCCTGGCTTATGACTACACAACTTAGCACGTTGCCCCCTCGCATATTCTGCTATGTAGCTTCATGGCCAGCTTGTTATTTTCGTAGGCCTATTTTGTCTACCCACTTAGAATATAAGCCCTTGTCAGCTGATACCACCTCTTCTGTTTTTATTTTGTTTTGTTTTTATGTTTCTTCCTGCGGCCTAGTTCTATGCTGGATGCATTATCCTTTGAAATAAAACCTTGCTGTTTGGTTGATTGTCATTTGCAGTGCCTGAAAAAACCTTCAGGAAAGCCAAGAAATCCAATAGCAAAGGAAGCTTAGCAGGAAACCCTGCTTCTCCCAGGCATAACCACCCTCTCAGCACTTAACCTCTCCCCAGCAACCCTGGGCACATCTCCATCCTCAGATAGTTCAGAAGGCAACATAAAAACTAATTTATACCACAGTTTTTAAATATTTGTGTTCCCCTCCCTCAGAAATATTTGACTCTGATTTTTAATATAGAAGAAATAAATTTAACAAAAAATCAGTCTCTAGTGGTAGAACCTCTGGAATCTGTGAAAAAGACATTTTCAATTCACAGAGAACTTATAATGTTTTCCTGGAAAGTTCCTGAAAGGCAACAGAAAAGAAGCTGGAGCAGGAATGAGCTTCTAAAAGCAAACTGGCAATGCCTCCTGCCCAGCCCTTCTTCTTCTCCTGCTCCTTCTTGTGCTGGCCAGTCAGGCTCCTCCAACCCCGGAAGTCTGCAAAGTCCTTCATCTGCCACCAAAAACAGAACCCCACCTCATTCTCAGAGATTGTCCTTTCTTAAATAAGAGTACACAGGACTCTAAAAGTTGCAATTTCTTTCTCTCAAGCAGCTGTGGCATGCTCTTGGAGTCTTCCCTACACAAGCACCCAAGTCTCCAACCAAGCTTAGCCTTGTTTTTCCTCCCTGCTGCTCTGCTGGGTTTCAGGCCTTACCTGAGGCGAGGGGAGCCTGCCTCAGCCCCTGGGCCCAGATCAGGAGGAGACACCAGCGCATGCTTCTGCCCAGAGGGCCTACAGGAAGCAGATGTGGCCTCTTCTGCCACTGAAAGTAGCCGACTGCAGATAGGACGGTAAAACTGAGCCTCTGAGAAAAGACGGTCTCGGAAAAACCAAGTTTGGCAAAAACCATATTAAAAACACATAAAGTTGTCAACAAATACACAAACTGCATAGGGTGAGCCACAAGAAAGGCCATGAAGGAAACATTTAAAAATAAATGAAAATTGTGGTTAGAGGTACACTCGTCTTTGGATTATAGTCAATCTATTGTTTTTAAGTTCTGTCTTAATGTTTTTTCTAAAAATCAGCCTTTATTCAAAGAGCTCAAGGGCATCTGTGTAGTGCCCAAGATTCTGAAGAATCTGCTACTGATGAGGAACTGTTGGCTGAGCTCCTCTGGCATCCTCCTGATGAAGAATGTGCAATGATAAGAGAAGCTTATCATTGTAGGGACTTACAGGCCAGGGACTGCACTTGAAATCTAATGAACAGGTGAACAAGAAGTGTTTACTTGGGGGATGATACATGGATGGGACAAAGGTCTTGGACAAACACAGCAACTTTCCCTTGAAGGAGATCTTCTACTCGAATCTTATTTCTTTTGTCTTGTTTATCTGGACTGAGACTTTATTGAATTCTGGCTTGATTTCTCTGGTGCAGTAGGATCAGAGGAGATTAGAGGAGAGAGCTTTCCTGTGCACAATGACCTCATGAGAGCTGGAAATGCAAAGAAGGGTGAGCCCCTGGGAGCTGACCCAGGAGAGGGATTGGTTGACATTTGCCTGGAGCTCCCAGCCCATCACCAGGTCCTACTATGGACCCATCCTTCTTTCCTCCCTCCCTCCCTTCATTCATTTGAAAGTCCCTGGGTGCCTACAAAGCACCAACCTCAACACCAGGCTCTGAGGATATGAGAGTAAATAATCACAGCCCCTACCCTCAAATAGTTTACAAAGCTTGTTCCTTGGTGAACTCAGTCAGGAGAGGGGGTAGAAGATCCACATTCACCTGCCTCGCAGGCTCTCAACACAGTTGCCTTGGGGATGCTCCATGTTGTACATCCTGAAAATCTGCATCTGCACCCAGAAGCATCTGAAGCCTGGTGCCCCACCCCCTCCATTCCAGCCATGCACCTCTAGCATTTCACACCATCCAGGCTCCTACCCTCCTTCTCCCTTGCAAGGTCTTCTATCTCAGGCCAGTTTTCTCCCCTCTCTGGGTTCTGCCTATCCCCAACTCTATGACTTGTATACCCCTTATACCCCACCTCCAGACCCTTAGACAATATACGCCTTACCAGCTTCTCTCTGCCTACCCAAAGCAACCTGTCCTTCAAGGCTCACATCAAGAGATGCCTTGCCTTTCAATAGCTACAAAGCCTTCAGCTGAAGGAGAAATAATACCTAATGTGTGTCCAAGGGAAGGTGCCAAGGTTGAACTGGAGGGATGTTTCCCAAACTCACTAAGGCCGGGGAGCCAGGAGTGGCAGGGCCAAGAGCAGCTAGTGGGACTAGAGCACAGAAAGTGGTGGACACTAGGATTTGGGCTATAAAAATTTACAGCCTGTGTTTCCATAGTTGAGCTGGGTGGGAGCCAAAGAGGTGAGACCTCTCTTATATAATGAGATATCCAGAGAAACTTAGAGGTGGTTTTAAACAATTGTTAAATAATTTTTCTGTTTTTTGCTAAGTAACCAGTCCAAAGAGGAATATGGTCAAGTCCATTTTGATCAATGGTGCTCTAGAGGGGGATGATTAACAGACTGGGTCCAAAGTCATCCTGTTTGGTGACCTTGGAAAACTTTCTCAACCTCCTGAAGGCTCAGTTTCCCCATGTGCATATAGGAATAAGAGTACCTCTTTCATAGGGTTGTGAGGATTTAATTCTCTAGTGTTTGGTGAAGTGTTCAGCACAGTGCCTGGAAGATGGCAGGAGTTCAATACATCAACAGTAGTATTGATAACAATATTAATTAAGGAAGTGAAAGGAAAATTGGAGGACAATATCCCTATCTATATAATGTGCTTTGTCAAGAGTAAAATCCTAGTCTCCAGACTCCAAGGCCAGGGTTCCACCCAACCTCTTCATTCTGCCCTCCTTATCTGATAGAACAGGAGGATAGCAT
Source organism: Homo sapiens (assembly GCF_000001405.40). Classification (NCBI taxonomy): domain Eukaryota; kingdom Metazoa; phylum Chordata; class Mammalia; order Primates; family Hominidae; genus Homo; species Homo sapiens. The sequence continues at coordinate 114,291,931 of NC_000003.12, read as the reverse complement.
GTTTCTGCAGGAAAGTGACCACTTGCCAGCTAGACCCTGAGGCTGCCTTGGAGGAAAGCAAATGACAGAAGTCTCTCCCCAGGGAATCTACCCCAGACCCTCCAGAGCCTCCTGCACAGACTCCACGGGGAACCTGGCTGGTTCCCACCCACTCAACACCAGCCCCCAGCACTGAGCGGCTCAGCTGTGAGAAGCAGGCCTGCTCTGAGAGCTCCCCGGGCCACCCTGAGCTTTTAAGGCCAGTCAGCAGCCCTCGTGGCATAGCAGGGATCTGTGAGGTCCATCAGGTGCTGACTCACATTTCTATTTTAAAAATGCTAAAATCAGCCACTGTGCTTTATTCTGCCCTGACTTTTGGGGCTGTGAGTTGGACAAGTCTGGTCCGCCTTGATGCAGCTGGGTGAGTACAGGTGCTGAAAAAGAATGTCACGTTTGCCCGTGAAAGGGGAAGAAGTGCTGGCCTAGACTGTAAAACCCCCTTATCAGTTCACAGCTGGGCCTTCCCCTAGCCCGCCCTGCGCCCTGTGAAAGTCCCGGGCCAGCCGCACTTGAGTCCACAGCCTCCAACCACAAGCACGGTCCTGAAAACCTGTGGCCCGCAGCCCTCAGCCAAGCGGGGCTGGGAGTGGTGGTACCTTCCACAAGATCGGTGGCTTGTACACGGGAAACACAACCTAGGGTTCTCCCAGAGCACAGACCAATCTCCCAGCAGTGTCTTTGGGCTTCTGCTTCTCCAAAGTCTTCCCTCTGGCTCAGAAGTGGTAGGGGAGCTCCATGGCTGTCACAGCTGTCTGATGCCTCCTGTCTCTGCCTAGAATCAAGGGCAACATCCTGCGGCAGCAGCAGGGGGTCGTGCTCTCTCCTCCAAGCTCCCCACTCTCCATCCTGTAGAACAGCGCCTCCTGGTGGCAGGTTATATTATGGCGGGGGGCGAGAAGGCCCTGCCTCCTGCCTTAGATGTTAGGAGAGAAGGGCGAGGAAGCACGGGAGCCCTGACACAGGGGGGACAAGGGGACCTGGCCGCCCCAGGCACCAGGAAGGGCCCGCCCTGTGTCCCATCACCCCCAGCTGTCTCACAGCCTTAGCCAAGCTTCCTCACAGTGGGGCGGCCTGAGTGATGGAGTTCCAAAGCCACTTGTGGAGAGAGCTGCCTCAGAAAATCAGACTCCACGCGAAAGGACTGCCCGTGATCTGAGGCTTATTAACAAGCCATGGGACTTGGCTGACACTGGCAAATACAAATGAGGAGAACTTGGGAGTGGGACCGCTGACTTCTGTTTGTCAAAACTCCCTCCCGTGAGGTGGCTCTGAGGATCTATCTCCTCCATCCTCCAAGGCTGCCAAGAAGTTCAACCGACTATGGGAAATTTCTTTCTTCTTTCCAGCTGTGAAAATAGGACAGAGACCCCTAGGATAGGTTGGAATGCAAAGTCAGAAGAAAAATCTTTGGGAAGAGGCGGCTGATCCTCTCAGCTTAGGCCTCTCCTGCCGCCTCTCTTCACAACCCTCCTACACACCCACATTGCTTCCCTCCTTCTCCTCCTCTATTCTAGATGGGATTAAACTATCGTATAATTAGACAACTTAGGCAATGACACTTCTTAAAGGTAAGGCAGCCTTTATTCAGGACCATCACAATAGGTATAGAGACCAAGGCAATGGGATTTTGCAGTGGGGGAGAGATTGGGCTCAATTCTGAATACAGCATGGGCAATGGGAATTTATCACCAAGAAGCAGAGTGGGGGTCAGTGGATGGAAAAGTGCTAAGAGGGAACATCACGTGTAAGGAAGATTCTGGCTAAACTGACCTAATAGGATTCTTGCTAAAGACAGGCCAGGGTAGATCAGACATGAACTGAGAAATGGTGGAGGATGAGAAACCTGATAAGATATCAAGGGTGATCAGATACAGGGGGATAGGGGTTCTTGCAAAACTGATTTATCCTTGTTCTTGGCTAAAAAATGGATTTTACAAGGAAGTGCATGGATGGGCCTAGGAGAAGGTTCAGGACAAACTTTGCTGACAAAGTTTGGTCAAGCAAAGAATCATTGTTACTCTCAGTCCTTTATACTATCAATCCATCCCGGCCCCATCTTCCTTGGGAAAGGTAGCCTCTACCCCTGGACACTTCTTTCCTTCTTCCTCTTACCTAGAGCCCTCAGTCATCCAAGACAACTAGGACTGGGATAGAAGTACACGTGAACATATCATTCCAAGACTCCCTCAAGCATCAAGAGCTCCTCCTGTCCCCAGCAAAAAGAATGCCATACCTAGAAGATTTCACAAAGAGACTACAACAAACTTCTGAAGAGCAGATAATTTCAATGTTACTTAAAATATACAGACATAGAACATAAAGCCTTCTTCATTAGTTTTATGATATGAATTCAAAACTGATATTAAAGTGATTAAGATTGCACACAATTAAAGAACACCAGATTTGAATCTCACTTCCATATGTTGAGGAAAAAATTCTAAATATTGTTACGCAGAGTCCGATAATATATTAAACAAAATACATAATCACCAGGTAGGGTTTATTCCAGGGTAGCAAGAATGATTCAATATTGCAAAATCCACTAATAATAAATATAAGGTCTATATTTTTCAAAGCCTATAATCATTTCCTTTGATTCTGATAAGCAATCTGATGAAATCAATCCCCATGACCTATTTATTTATTTATTTATTTGATGGAGTTTCTCTCTTGTTGCCCAGGCTGGAATACAATGGCACAGTCTTGGCTCACTGCAACTCCCACCTCCCGGGTTCAAGCGATTCTCCTGCCTCAGCCTCCCAAGTACAGGCATGCACCACCACGCCCAGCTAATTTTTTGTGTTTAGTAGAGATGGGGTTTCACCATATTGGTCAGGCTGGTCTCAAACTCCACCCGCCTCAGCCTCCCAAAGTGCTGGGATTACAGGCTTAAACCACAGTGCCTGGCCTGACCAATTGTTTTTAAATTCAGTGAAAGAAGAATCTGTAAATTATTTTTTCACACAATGTAAAAAAATTATTTTTACATGTGTGTGTGTAAATTATTTGTACACACACACATGTAAAATTAGCCCCAAACTAGCATCTGTTTTGATGGAGAAATGCTAGAGGTATTCCTACTAAAGTCAGGAAAGGGTACCCATTATTACTGTGACTGGTTAACAACTTACTGGAAATATTAGCCAATTTAATTAAGTAAGAGAAGCATTTAGAGGTATAAGAATTATAAATAAGGAGACAAAACTATTTCTAGCTATAGATGATTATATATGTGTGGAAAACCCAAAGGAATCAATATGGAAAATATCATAAACAATAAAAGAATTCTGAAAATTAACAAGATATAAAATTCATACACATGAACAGTCTTTCTATATTCACAGCAATAATTAATCAGAAAGTGTTTTGAAAGACAGCCTCCATCTATAATCACAGCAAAAAAAAAAAAAAGTACAGAATACTTAGGAATAAGTTTAATAAGAAATGCACAAAAGCCAAAAGAAGAAAATTTGAGTCAGCTGTCCTTTATGTGTTTAAGTGAAATTCTACAAATACTAAAAGAAAATATGACATAAGTGAATTCCTTTAAAATCTGAAAGTAGAGAGTCTTTTAACTTCACTAAAAATCTGGAATCCATAGATAAAATTTTGTGATGAATTTGATTATATGAAGTTTTTTAAAAAGGCTTTTGCGTTCATATAACATTGTAAAAGTCAAAAGACAAGTGACAAACTAAAAAGATTATTTGGAACTTATTTCACAGCCAAATGATTAAGCTCTTTAACATAAATAGTTCCTAGAATTGAAGAAGAAAAAGACGAATTCCGAACATATCCAAAGACCTGAACTGAGAGTTCATAGAAAACGAAATACAAATATTCCTTAAACAAATGGAAAACTCCTCAACTTCAGTCATAGAGAGACGAGCATCAAGACTACACCATGCTACCTCCCCACCAAACAGGCAAAAATCAAAATTTTAACAATATATTCTATTGGTAAGGCCGCAGATAAACAAGTACCACCATATATTGTTGTTAGGAATGCAAAATGATACCACTCCCTTGGAGGAGAGTATGTCAATATCTATCAAGATCACAGCTGTGTTTATTATTTGGCCAGAAATCCCACTTCTAGAATTCTAAAGATATAACTGTACCAATGCAACATGATACATGCACAAAGTTATTCATGAGGCATATTTGTACTAGAAAAAAAAAAGGAAACAGCTCAAATGTTCACCAGTAGAGGAATGGTTCAATAAACTGTGGTACCTCCACATGATGGAGAATTAGGTATCCATAAAAATAATGAGGATGATCTCAATAAATTTGTATGAAATGATCCCTAGAAGATATTGTTAGGTGAAATAGCAAGATGCTGAAACGTGTATAGTATGCTACCTTTGTGGGAAAGAGTGAAGGAGTGTAAGACTATGACTACAAATTTACCTATATTTGTAATAAGAAAAACTGTAAGAATTAACCAGAAATTAATTCTAATAATTGGTTACATTTAGGTAAAAGGCAAGCAGGTGAGGAGAGAGATGACTGGGAAGGAAGAAAAACTTCTTAATTATAGCTTTTAACTTCTAAAACGTGATGCTTTTACATATTTTAAAAAAATACATATTGGTATGGTCTGAATGAGTTCCTCTAAACTTCATATGTTGAAATCTAATTCCCAATGTGCCAATATTAAGAGTTGTGGCCTTTGGGAAAATGATTTAGCAGTGAGCGTAGAGCCCTCATGAATAGAATTAGTGCCCTTATTAAAGAAACCTCAAGGATCTTCTTAGCCCCTTCCACCATGTGAAAACACAGCTAAAAGACACAATCCATGAGGAACCAGCCCACATCAGGCTCTGAATCTGCTGGTGGCTCCATCTTGGACTTGTCAACCTCCAGAACCATGAGCAATAGAATTCTGTTGTTTATAAATTACCCAATCTAAGATATTTTGTTATAGCAGTCAAAATGGACTGAGATATGTGTGTGTGTGTGTGTGTGTGTGTGTAGTATAAAAAAGGAAAAGCCATTCCTAAAATTAAAGGAAAAAAGAAATTAATCATATATAAAATTAATAACAATCATACAGAAAAAAATAATTATGTCAACTGAGTTTGAAACTTAGCACTGTGTATTTCTTTGATGGGCTATAATCTAGGATAAAAAATAAAAGTATATATAATCAATTCATTCAGTTGCATTGTTATTTTGAAATAATACAACAAATAAATAATTATATTGTTAGAAATCAAGATTTTCAGCTTGAAAGAAAATAGATATTTATAAATATAAACTCAAATAATTAAGTAAAACTCTCTGTAGTGTTAAATTTGAATTTGAACTATCATTACAAAGTCATGATTTTAAAGAATACATAGACAAGCATATCTCATTTTGTTGCTCTTCACTTTATTGCACTTTGTAGATACTGCGTTTTTTACAAATGGAAAGTTTGTGGCCACCCTGCATAGAGGAAGTTAATCAGCACCCTTTTTCCAACAGCGTGTGCTCACTTCATGTCTCTGTGTCAAATTTTGGTAATTTTCACAATATTTCAAACTTTCTCATTATTATTGTATCTGTTAAGGTTATCTGTAATTAGTGATCTTTGACATTACTATTCTGATTGTTTTGGGGTACCACAAACCAGGCCCATATAAGATAGCAAAATTAATAAAATTGTGTGTTCCAACTGCTTCACCAACTGGCCATTTCCCCATCTCTCTCCCTCTCCTCAAGCCTCCCTATTCCCTGAGGCACAACAATATTGAGATTAGGTCAATTAATAACCCTACAGTGGCCTCTAAATGTTCAAGTGAAAAGAAGGGCCACGCATCTCTCATGTTAAATCGAAAGTTAGATATGATTAAGCTTAGTGAAGAAGGCACACTGAAAGTTAAGATTAGCCGAAAGCCTGGCCTCTTGTACCAGTTAGCCAAGTTGTGAATGCAAAGGAAAATTTCTTGAAGGAAATTAAAAGTGTTATTTAGTGAATTAACATACAAATGATAACAAAGTGAAACAGTCTTATTGTTACTATGGAGAAAGTTTTAGTGGTCTGAATAGCTAGCTGATCAAACAAGCCACAACACTCCCTTAAGCCAAAGCCTAGTCTAGAGCAAGGTGCTTATTCTCTTCAATTCTATCAAGGCTGAGAGAGGTAGGAAACTTCAGAAGAAATGTTTGAAGCCAGCAGAGATTGGGTTCATGAGGCTTAAGGAAAAAAGCTGTCCCATAACATAAAAGTACAAGGTAAAACTGCAATGCTGATGTAGAAGCTGCAGCAAGTTATCCAGAAGATTTAGCTAAGACCATTGAAGGTGGGTACACAAAATAACAGATTTTCAATGTAGACACAATAGCCTTATGTTGGAAGAAGGTGCCCTCTAGGATTTTCAGAGCTAAAGAGAAGTCAACACTTGGCTTCAACTTCGAAGGACAGGCTGACTCTCTTATTAGGGGCTAATGGAGCTGATGACTTTAAGTGGAAGCTAATGTTCATTTAACATTCTGAAAATCCTAGGGCCCTTAAGAATTATGCTAAATCTACTCTGCCTGAGCTCTACAAATGGAAAACAAAGCCTGGATGACAGCACATCTGTTTACAACATGGTTTACTGAATATTTTAAACTCAGTGTTGAGATCTACTGCTCAGAAAAAGAGATTCCTTTCAAAATGTTATTGTTCATTGACAATGCACCTGGTCACTCAAAAGAACTAATAGAGACATACAAGGAAATTAATGTTGTTTTCATGCCCGCTAACACACCATCCATTCTGGAGCCCTAGATCAAGGAGCAATTTTCAAGTCTTATTATTTAGGAAATATATTTCATAAGGCTATAGCTACCGTAGATCGTGATTCCTCTCATAGACCTGGACAAAGTAAATTGAAAACCTTATGGAAAGGATTCATCATTTTTTTTAGACATAATGCTATTGCACACTTAATACATTATGGTATAGTGTAAACATAACTCTTATGTACACTAGGAAACCAAAAAATTGTATAACTCCCTTTATTGCCATTAGGAATGTTGCATGTTCCTAATGGCAATTGTATACAATAGGAAATTGCGTAACTCCCTTTATTGCCATTAGGAACATTCATGATTTATAAGAGGAGGCCAAAATATCAACATTAACAGGATTTTGGAAGAGGTTGATTTCAACACTCATGGATGACTTTAAGGAGTACAAGCCTTCAGTGGAGGAAGTAACTGAAGATATTGTAAAAATAAGAAGAGAACTAGAATTAGAAGTGGACTCCACAGGTGTGACTGATTTTTGGCAATCTCATGATCAAACTTGAATGGATGAGGAGTTGCTTCATATGAATGAGCTAGGAAAGTGGTTTCTTGAGATGACATCTACTCCTGGTGAAGATCCTGTGAACATTGTTGAAATGACAACAAAGATTTAGAACCTTACATAAACTTGATAAAGCAGCAGCAGGATTTGAGAGGATTGACTCCAATTTTGAAAGAAGTATTACTGTGGATAAAATGCTATCAAATAGCATCACATGCTACAGAGAAGTCTCTTGTGAAAGGAGAACTCAATTGATATGGCAAACTTCATTGCTATCTTATTTTAAGAAATTGTAATAGCCACCCAAACTTCAGCAACTACCACCCTGATCAGTTAGCAGCTATAAACATAGAGGCAAAGCCCTCCACCAGCAAAAAGAAACTACTCGCTGAAGGCTCAGATAATCATTAGTATTTTTTAGCAATGAGGTATTTTCAATTAAGGTATGTTTATTGTTTTCTAGAAATAATGCTATTGCACACTTAATACACTACAGTATAGTGTAAACATAACTTTTATGTACACTAGGAAACAAAAAAATTGTGTAACTCCCTTTATTGCAATATTCACTTTATTGCAGTGGTCTGGAACCACGCTTGCAATATCTCCAAGGTATGCCTGTATTGTCTGACTCTGCCCATTGAAAGAGCCAAAAAAAAAAGTAATATTCGAGTAGCAATGGGTATCCCTAGAGCTAGATTATGGTTTCTAAATATTCCACATTTAAGAAACCAAGTCTTCTTAGACAAATAACTCACCCCAAGTGTGGGGCAAAGAATATACAAAGCCAGCCTGGAATATCTCACTATTGTAGGAAATAGGAGAACTTGTAAAGATCAATGGGATTATGTTAAAAAGACAAATCATTTTGAAGGGATCACAACTGGCCAACCATTGGGCCAATTTGAGTATGAAAAAAATGGCAATAAGAATATATTAAAGGCCATAAATATCTAAATGACACAAAAAAATAGAAACTACAAACAAAACAAATTTCATGTGTCATCATTGGAAGCGATATTTTGCCAACTTTATTTTCTGAAAATTGGAAATTGAAGGTAAAAATAATTTATCCTGTCTTTCCAGTTGGAATTCTATTTAAGGGTAACTAAATAGCCCAGTTGATGAGGGAAAGTGCTTCTCTGCAGAATAATTTCAGATAATAAATGTAAAATAAATTTGTAAACCATAATGAAATAGTTGATTTAGTTAAGGATCATAAACCATTAGGTAAAACCTGATGGCAAAGCAGATGTTCCAAGGGCTAAAGCAGCCCCCACAGATTGCCTGCTGGTCACAAGAGGAAAAAATGGAATTGCTCAAGGGGAAATCAAGCTGTCACCACTTTATACCAGGGACCAATCTAAACACTCAAATGGGGACAACTAGACACACTATGCCATCAAATGGGACCCAAGAGGAAATATACAATATCATCTTTGAAACGTTCTTGCCTAAAATGTTTAACCAGAATCTAATCAGGCCTTTAGGCATAACTTCTAGTTTATAGAAAACTCAGTACAGCGGATAGATCCTGTTAAATTACCTTCCATTAAGCAAAAAAGAAAAATGCAAAATGTGGAGCAATCGCTTTAATAAGACAATTCATGAGAAAAAAGAAGGGAGAGGGATTATTCTATATTTATTTATTTATTTTTTTAAGTTTTCCTATGCAAATTTTGTTTTTTTCTTTTTATTTTTTTCTTTTTTTTTTTTAATTATACTTTAAGTTTTAGGGTACATGTGCACATTGTGCAGGTTAGTTACATACATATACATGTGCCATGCTGGTGTGCTGCACCCACTAACTCGTCATCTAGCATTAGGTATATCTCCCAATGCTATCCCTCCCCCCACCCCACAACAGTCCCCAGAGTGTGACGTTCCCCTTCCTGTGTCCATGTGATCTCATTGTTCAATTCCCACCTATGAGTGAGAATATGCGGTGTTTGGTTTTTTGTTCTTGCGATAGTTTACTGAGAATGATGATTTCCAATTTCATCCACGTCCCTACAAAGGACATGAACTCATCATTTTTTATGGCTGCATAGTATTCCATGGTGTATATGAGCCACATTTTCTTAATCCAGTCTATCATTGTTGGACATTTGGGTTGGTGCCAAGTCTTTGCTATTGTGAATAGTGCCGCAATAAACATACGTGTGCATGTGTCTTTATAGCAGCATGATTTATAGTCCTTTGGGTATATACCCAGTAATGGGATGGCTGGGTCAAATGGTATTTCTAGTTCTAGATCCCTGAGGAATCACCACACTGACTTCCACAATGGTTGAACTAGTTTACAGTCCCACCAACAGTGTAAAAGTGTTCCTATTTCTCCACATCCTCTCCAGCACCTGTTGTTTCCTGACTTTTTAATGATTGCCATTCTAACTGGTGTGAGATGATATCTCATTGTGGTTTTGATTTGCATTTCTCTGATGGCCAGTGATGGTGAGCATTTTTTCATGTGTTTTTTGGCTGCATAAATGTCTTCTTTTGAGAAGTGTCTGTTCATGTCCTTAGCCCACTTTTTGATGGGGTTGTTTGTTTTTTTCTTGTAAATTTGTTTGAGTTCATTGTAGATTCTGGATATTAGCCCTTTGTCAGATGAGTAGGTTGCGAAAATTTTCTCCCATTTTGTAGGTTGCCTGTTCACTCTGATGGTAGTTTCTTTTGCTGTGCAGAAGCTCTTTAGTTTAATTAGATCCCATTTGTCAATTTTGTCTTTTGTTGCCATTGCTTTTGGTGTTTTAGACATGAAGTCCTTGCCCATGCCTATGTCCTGAATGGTAATGCCTAGGTTTTCTTCTAGGGTTTTTATGGTTTTAGGTGTAACGTTTAAGTCTTTAATCCATCTTGAATTGATTTTTGTATAAGGTGTAAGGAAGGGATCCAGTTTCAGCTTTCTACATATGGCTAGCCAGCTTTCCCAGCACCATTTATTAAATAGGGAATCCTTTCCCCATTGCTTGTTTTTCTCAGGTTTGTCAAAGATCAGATAGTTGTAGATATGCAGTGTTATTTCTGAGGGCTCTGTTCTGTTCCATTGATCTGTATCTCTGTTTTGGTACCAGTACCATGCTGTTTTGGTTACTGTAGCCTTGTAGTATAGTTTGAAGTCAGGTAGTGTGATGCCTCCAGCTTTGTTCTTTTGGCTTAGGATTGACTTGGCGATGCGGGCTCTTTTTTGGTTCCATATGAACTTTAAAGTAGTTTTTTCCACTTCTGTGAAGAAAGGCATTGGTAGCTTGATGGGGATGGCATTGAATCTGTAAATTACCTTGGGCAGTATGGCCATTTTCATGATATTGATTCTTCCTACCCATGAGCATGGAATGTTCTTCCATTTGTTTGTATCCTCTTTTATTTCCTTGAGCAGCGGTTTGTAGTTCTCCTTGAAGAGGTCCTTCACATCCCTTGTAAGTTGGATTCCTAGGTATTTTATTCTCTTTGAAGCAATTGTGAATGGGAGTTCACTCATGATTTGGCTCTCTGTTTGTCTGTTGTTGGTGTATAGGAATGCTTGTGATTTTTGCACATTGATTTTGTATCCTGAGACTTTGCTGAAGTTGCTCATCAGTTTAAGGAGATTTTGGGCTGAGACAATGGGGTTTTCTAGATATAGAATCATGTCATCTGCAAACAGGGACAATTTGGCTTCCTCTTCTCCTAATTGAATATCCTTTATTTCCTTCTCCTGCCTAATTGCCCTGGCCAGAACTTCCAACACTATGTTGAATAGGAGTGGTGAGAGAGGGCATCCCTGTCTTGTGCCAGTTTTCAGAGGGAATGCTTCCAGTTTTTGCCCATTCAGTATGATATTGGCTGTGGGTTTGTCATAGATAGCTCTTATTATTTTGAAATATGTCCCATCAATACCTAATTTATTGAGAGTTTTTAGCATGAAGGGTTGTTGAATTTTGTCAAAGGCCTTTTCTGCATCTATTGAGATATTCATGTGGTTTTTGTCTTTGGTTCTGTTTATATGCTGGATTACATTTATTGATTTGCGTATATTGAACCAGCCTTGCATCCCAGGGATGAAGCCCACTTGATCATGGTGGATAAGCTTTTTGATGTGCTGCTGGATTCAGTTTGCCAGTATTTTATTGAGGATTTTTGCATCAATGTTCATCAAGGATATTGGTCTAAAATTCTCTTTTTTGGTTGTGTCTCTGCCCGGCTTTGGTATCAGAATGATGCTGGCCTCATAAAATGAGTTAGGGAGGATTCCCTCTTTTTCTATTGATTGGAATAGTTTCAGAAGGAATGGTACCAGTTCCTCCTTGTACCTCTGGTAGAATTCGGCTGTGAATCCATCTGGTCCTGGACTCTTTTTGGTTGGTAAGCTATTGATTATTGCCACAGTTTCAGATCCTGTTATTGGTCTATTCAGAGATTCAACTTCTTCCTGGTTTAGTCTTGGGAGAGTGTATGTGTCGAGGAATGTATCCATTTCTTCTAGATTTTCTAGTTTATTTGCGTAGAGGTGTTTGTAGTATTCTCTGATGGTAGTTTGTGTTTCTGTGGGATCGGTGGTGATATCCCCCTTATCATTTTTTATTGCGTCTATTTGATTCTTCTCTCTTTTTTTCTTTATTAGTCTTGCTAGCGGTCTATCAATTTTGTTGATCCTTTCAAAAAACCAGCTCCTGGATTCATTAATTTTTTGAAGGGTTTTTTCTGTCTCTATTTCCTTCAGTTCTGCTCTGATTTTAGTTATTTCTTGCCTTCTGCTAGCTTTTGAATGTGTTTGCTCTTGCTTTTCTAGTTCTTTTAATTGTGATGTTAGGGTGTCAAGTTTGGATCTTTCCTGCTTTCTCTTGTGAGCATTTAGTGCTATAAATTTCCCTCCACACACTGCTTTGAATGCGTCCCAGAGATTCTGGTATGTTGTGTCTTTGTTCTCTTTGGTTTCAAAGAACATCTTTATTTCTGCCTTCATTTCGTTATGTACCCAGTAGTCATTCAGGAGCAGGTTGTTCAGTTTCCATGTAGTTGAGCGGTTTTGAGTGAGATTCTTAATCCTGAGTTCTAGTTTGATTGCACTGTGGTCTGAGAGATAGTTTGTTATAATTTCTGTTCTTTTACATTTGCTGAGGAGAGCTTTACTTCCAAGTATGTGGTCAATTTTGGAATAGGTGTGGTGTGGTGCTGAAAAGAATGTATATTCTGTTGATTTGGGGTGGAGAGTTCTGTAGATGTCTATTAGGTCCGCTTGGTGCAGAGCTGAGTTCACTTCCTGGGTATCCTTGTTGACTTTCTGTCTCATTGATCTGTGTAATGTTGACAGTGGGGTGTTAAAGTCTCCCATTATTAATGTGTGGGAGTCTAAGTCTCTCTGTAGGTCACTCAGGACTTGCTTTATGAATCTGGGTGCTCCTGTATTGGGTGCATATATATTTAGGATAGTTAACTCTTCTTGTTGAATTGATCCCTTTACCATTATGTAATGGCCTTCTTTGTCTCTTTTGATCTTTGTTGGTTTAAAGTCTGTTTTATCAGAGACTAGGATTGCAACCCCTGCCTTTTTTTGTTTTCCATTTGCTTGGTAGATCTTCCTCCATCCCTTTATTTTGAGCCTATGTGTGTCTCTGCACGTGAGATGGGTTTCCTGAATACAGCACACTGATGGGTCTTGACTCTTTATCCAATTTGCCAGTCTGTGTCTTTTAATTGGAGCTTTTAGTCCATTTACATTTAAAGTTAATAGTGTTATGTGTGAATTTGATCCTGTCATCATGATGTTAGCTAGTTATTTTGCTCATTAGTTGATGCAGTTTCTTCCTAGTCTCGATGGTCTTTACATTTTGGAATGATTTTGCAGTGGCTGGTACCGGTTGTTCCTTCCCATGTTTAGCACTTCCTTCAGGCGCTCTTTTAGGGCAGGCCTGGTGGTGACAAAATCTCTCAGCATTTGCTTGTCTGTAAAGTATTTTATTTCTCCTTCACTTATGAAGCTTAGTTTGGCTGGATATGAAATTCTGGGTTGAAAATTCTTTTCTTTAAGAATGTTGAATATTGGTCCCCACTCTCTTCTGGCTTGTAGGGTTTCTGCCGAGAGATCCGCTGTTAGTCTGATGGGCTTCCCTTTGAGGGTAACCCGACCTTTCTCTCTGGCTACCCTTAACATTTTTTCCTTCATTTGAACTTTGGTGAATCTGACAATTATGTGTCTTGGAGTTGCTCTTCTCGAGGAGTATCTTTGTGGCGTTCTCTGTATTTCCTGAATCTGAATGTTGGCCTGCCTTGCTAGATTGGGGAAATTCTCCTGGATAATATCCTGCAGAGTGTTTTCCAACTTGGTTCCATTCTCCCCATCACTTTCAGGTACACCAATCAGACGTAGATTTGGTCTTTTCACATAGTCCCATATTTCTTGGAGGCTTTGTTCATTTCTTTTTATTCTTTTTTCTCTAAACTTTGCTTCTCGCTTCATTTCATTCATTTCATCTTCCATTGCTGATACCCTTTCTTCCAGTTGATCGCATCGGCTCCTGAGGCTTCTGCATTCTTCACGTAGTTCTCGAGCCTTGGTTTTCAGCTCCATCAGCTCCTTTAAGCACTTCTCTGTATTGGTTATTCTAGTTATACATTCTTCTAAATTTTTTTCAAAGTTTTCAACTTCTTTGCCTTTGGTTTGAATGTCCTCCCGTAGCTCAGAGTAATTTGATTGAAGACTTCTTCTCTCAGCTCGTCAAAGTCATTCTCCATCCAGCTTTGTTCTGTTGCTGGTGAGGAGCTGCGTTCCTTTGGAGGAGGAGAGGCGCTCTGATTTTTAGAGTTTCCAGTTTTTCTGTTCTGTTTTTTCCCCATCTTTGTGGTTTTATGTACTTTTGGTCTTTGATGATGGTGATGTACAGATGGGTTTTTGGTGTGGATGTCCTTTCTGTTTGTTAGTTTTCCTTCTAACAGACAGGACCCTCAGCTGCAGGTCTGTTGGAGTACCCTGCAGTGTGAGGTGTCAGTGTGCCCCTGCTGGAGGGTGCCTCCCAGTTAGGCTGCTCGGGGGTCAGGGGTCAGGGACCCACTTGAGGAGGCAGTCTGCCCGTTCTCAGATCTCCAGCTGCGTACTGGGAGAACACCTGCTCTCTTCAAAGCTGTCAGACAGGGACATTTAAGTCTGCAGAGGTTACTGCTGTCTTTTTGTTTGTCTGTGCCCTGCCCCCAGAAGTGGAGCCTACAGAGGCACGCAGGCCTCCTTGAGCTGTGGTGGGCTCCACCCAGCTTCCCAGCTGCTTTGTTTACCTAAGCAAGCCTGGGCAATGGCGGGCGCCCCTCCCCAAGCCTCGCTGCTGCCTTGCAGTTTGATCTCAGACTGCTGTGCTAGCAATCAGCGAGACTCTGTGGGGTAGGACCCTCCGAGCCAGGTGCGGGATATAATCTCGTGGTGCGCCGTTTTTTAAGCCCATCGGAAAAGCGCAGTATTCGGGTGGGAGTGACCCAATTTTCCAGGTGCCGTCCGTCACCCCTTTCTTTGACTAGGAAAGGGAACTCCCTGACCCCTTGCGCTTCCCGAGTGAGGCAATACCTCGCCCTGCTTCGGCTCGCGCACGATGCGCGCACCCACTGACCTGCGCCCACTGTCTAGCACTCCCTAGTGAGATGAACCCGGTACCTCAGATGGAAATGCAGAAATCACCCGTCTTCTGCGTCGCTCAGGCTGGGAGCTGTAGACCGGAGCTGTTCCTATTCAGCCATCTTGGCTCCTCCCCCTCCGGATTATTCTATATTTAAATAAATTTAGAAGACGTGACAGCCAAATGCAATTTATGGTTCTTGTTTGGCTCTTAGTTTGAACAAAGAGATTTGGTGGACAATTGTAAAAAAGCAACTAGAGATTCAGTATTAAATTATATTAGTAAACTACTGTTAGTTTTATTAAGTGTGTGTGTTATGGACTGAGTTTTATCTCTCCAAAATTCAAATGTTGAAATCTTAACTCCCAGTATGTCAGAATGTGACTATATTTCAAGATAGAGCCTCCAAGAAGGTGATTACAGTAAAATGAAGTCTTTAGGGTGAGTCCTAAACCACACTGACTAGAGTCTTTATAGTAGAGAAAACTTGGACACAGAGACACAAAGATGGAGAGGAAACCATATAAGGACAAAGCAAAAAGTTGATCCTCTGAAGCCAAAGAGAAAGGCCTCCTTGAAGAAACCAAACCTGCCAACACCTTGATCTTGAACTTCCAGTCTCCAGAGCTGTGAGAAAACAAATTTTTGTTGTTTAAGCCACCCAGTCTGTGGTATTTTGTTATGGCAACCCCTAGAAAACTAATACAGTGTGATAATAATATTGTGGTTATGTAGGACAATTTTTTTAGAGATTTCTACTGAAGTGTTTTGGTGTGAAATGTCTATAATTTTTAAACTCTTAAAAATGGAGAAAATATGGCAAAAAAGTTAATTGTTAAGTTTAGGTGATAGTAATATGGGTATAATTCTCTTTCTTCTACTTTTCAAAACTTGTAGTAAAAAGTCAAAATGAAAAGAAAGGAGGTGTTCAAGCGCAGCTGAAAGAGAAAGAGTACCAGGAGGAGGGGGCAGAGCAAGATGGCTGAACAGAAGCCTCCACCAGTGTCCTTCCTACAGGAACACCAAATTCAACAACTATCCACACAAACACCACTTTCATAGAACCAAAAATCAGATAAGCAGTCGAAGTACCTTTTTTTAACTTCATATTTCTGAAAGACGCACTGAAGAGGATAGGAAAGAAGTCTTGAATTGCCAATGGCACCCCTTCACCATCCCCCAACAGCCATCACATGATGCAGAGAGAATCTTGGTGCTTTGTGGAAGGAGTGCAGAGATTGTGAGACTTTGCATTGGAATTCAGTGCTGCCTGTCACAGTGGAAAGCAACACTGGGGAAAACTCAACTGGTGCCCACAGAGGGAGCATTTAGACCAGTTCTAGCCAGAGGGGAATCGTCCATCCGAATAGTTTGAAACTGAGTTCTGGCATGCCTCGCCATTGTGGGCAAAAGTCCTCTGGGGTCTTAAATAAACTTGAAAGGCAGTCTAGGCCACAAGTACTAAAATTCCTGAGCAGCTCTTTGTGCTGTGCTGGACTCAGAGTCAGTGGATTTGGGGGCACATGACCTAGTAAGATACCAGCTGAGGTGGCCAAGGGAGTGCTTGTGCCATTCCTCCCCCAACCCCAGGCAGCACGGCACACAGCTGCAGTAGAGACTTCTTCCCCTCTACATGAGGACAGGAGAGGGAAGAGTAAAGGAGACTTTGGCTTGCAACTTGGATGCCAACTCAACCACAGTAGGATAGGGCACTGTGCTTCCAGGCCCCAGCTTCTGGATGACATTTCTAGACACATCCTGTGCCAGAAGAGAACCAGCTGCCTTGAAGGGAAGGGCCCAGTCCTGACAAGATTCATCACCTGCTGAATAAAGAGCCCTTGGGCCCTGAATAATCAGTAGCAGTACCCAGGCAGTACTCACTGTGGGCCTTGGGTGAGACTCTGTGTCATGCTGGCTTCAGGTGTGACTCAGCAAATTTGCAGCTGTGGTGCCTATGGGAAGAGAATCTTTCTGCTTCAGAAAAGAAGAGGACAGAGTAAAAGGGACTTTGTCTTGCAGCTTAGGTACAAGCTCAGCCACAGTCGGTTAGAGCAACAAGCAGGCTCTTAGAGTCACCACTTCCAGGCCTTGCCTCTTGGAAAGCATTTCTAGACCAGGCTTGAGCCAGAAGGGAGCCCACTGCCCCGAAGGGAGAGTCTCAGGGCTGGCAACATTCACCACAAACTGACTGAAGGACCCTTGGGCCTTGAATGAACATCAGTGCTAGTACTTGCTGTGGGCCTAGGGCCATGGGGGCCATGGGAACAGACTCCTCTGCTTGCAGAAAGGGGAAGGAAGAGTGGGAAGGAATTTGGCTTGCAGCTTGGATGCCAGCTCAGCTGAAGTAGAATAGAGCGCTAGATGGATTCCTAAGGTTTCCAACTCCAGGCCCTAGATCCCAAATGGCATCTCTGAATCTGGGACCAGGAGAAACTTGCTGCTTTGAAAGGAAAAACACAAGCCTAGCTGGATTCACTAGCTGCTGACTGTAGAGCCTTGAGTGAACACACGCAGTAGCCAGACAGTAGTTAACATGGGCCTTGAGCAAGATGCAGTGCTGTGCTGGCTTCAGGTCTGACACAGAGCAGCACCAGTGGTGGTGTCCAGAGGGGCACTTGTGTCACCCCATCCCCAGCTCCAAGAAGCTCAGCACAGAGAGAGAGAGATTTCATTTGTCCAGGAGAAAGTAAGGGAAAAGAACAAGAGTCTCTGCCTGATAATCCAGATAATTCTTCTGGATCTTATCCAAGACCACCAAGGCAGTACCTCTGAGTCTGCAAGAGCCACAGCATTACTGGGCTTGGGGTGCCTCCTAATGCAGATACAGCTGCAGTGACCAAAATGTGGATCACAATACCCAAGTCCCTTTGAATACCTGGAAAGCCTTCCCAAGAAAGAAAGATGCAAACAAACCTAGACTGCAAAGACTACAATAAATATCTGACTTTCAATGCCCAGGCACTACTGAACATCCACAAGCATCAAGACCATCCAGGAAAATGACCTCACCAAATGAACTAAATAAGACACCAGTGACCAATTATGGAGAGGCAGAGATATGTCACAGAGAACTTAAAATAGCTGTTTTGAGGAAACTCAATGGAATTCAAGATAACACAGGGAAAGAATGCAGAATCCTATCAGATAAATTTAACAAAGAGATTGAAATAATTAAAAAGAATCAAACAGCAATTCCTAAGTTGAAAAATGCAATTGACATACTGAAGAATGCATCAGTCTCTTATGAACAGAATGAATCAAGCAGAAGAAAGAATTAGTGAGCTTGAAGACAGGCTACTTGAAAATACACAGAGGAGATGAAAGAAAAAAGAATAAAAAAGGATGAAGCATGCCTACAAGATCTAGAGAATAGCCTCAGAAGGGCAAATCTAAGAGTTATTGGCCTTAAAGAGTAGGTAGAGAGAGAGATAGGGATAGAAAGTTTATTCAAAGGGATAATAACAGAGAACTTCCCAAACCTAGAGAAAGATATCAATATTAAAGTACAAAAAGGTCCTAGAACACCAAGCAGATTTAACTCAAATGATATGGTTTGGCTGTGTCCCCACCCAAATCTCATCTTGAATTCCCACGTGTTGTAAGAGGAAACCAGTAAGAGGTAATTGAATCATGGGCATTGTCTTTCTTGTGCTGTTCTCATGATAGTGAATAGGTCTCACGAGATCTGATTTTTGTTTCGTTTTGTTTTGGTTTGGTTTGGTTTGGGTTTTTTTTGAGATGGAGTCTTGCTCTGTCATCCAGGCTCGAGTGCAGTGGCACGATCTTGGCTCACTGCGAACTCCACCTCCCAGGTTCACACCATTCTCCTGCCTCACCTCCTGAGTAGCTGGGACTACAGGTGCCTGCCACCATGCCTGGCTAATTTTTTGTATTTTTTAGTTGAGATGGGGTTTCACCGTGTTACCCAGGATGGTCTCGATCTCCTGACCTCGTAATCTGCCCATCCCAAGCAAAAGCTAAAAAATTGTGTTAACACTAGACCTGTTCTACAAGAAATGCTAAAGAGAGTTCTTCAATCTGAAAGAAAAGGATGTTAATGAGGAATAAGAAATCATCTGAAGATACAAAACTCACTGCTAATAGTAAATACACAGAAAAATACATAATATTATTACACTGTAATTGTGGTACATAAATTACTCATATCTTGAGTAGTAAAATGAAAAGTCAATCAAAAATAATAACTACAACTTTTTAAGACATAGTACAATAAGATATAAATAGAAACAATAAAAAATTAAAAAGTGATAGGATGAAGTTAAAGTGTAGAGGTTTTATTAGTTTTTTCTTGCTTGTTTGTTTATGCAATGTCATAAATAAACATAAACAAAGTGTTATCATCAGTTTAAAATAATAGGTTAGAGCAGTAAAAGTGAAAGCTCTCAGAAAAAAAATGGCAGATAGGAGGCAGGACTAACTTGCAGCTCCCACTCAGATGGACAGAACAGCATGTGAAAACACACTGTGAACTTTAGCTCCAAGAACCACTGCAGGAACATACCAGGAAAACCAAAAGAATTCATAGACCCTTTGAAAGAAGTGGCTTTCCACTGCAAACTCCATGAGACAGCCAAAAATCTGTCAGTTCCAAAAGTGTGAAGGGGGAAATCCTGCCTCTGAACACACATCCTCACTGGGGAACCTGAAAATCCAGATCATAGGAGAAGGATTTAACCTTACCTAGAGCTTAAACAAATTTAGAGAGCCAAGCGAAATATAAAAGTAGAAGTAGCAGCAGGAAGAGCCCTGTAGGCACTCCCAGTCCTCAGGGAAGCCATTTCTGATTTTATCTCATAGGGGTCCTTGGGGAGGGCAGCCAGTGGAATTGGGGAAGGATCACAGGGAAAAGAAGGCTTCCAAAGGAACTTTGTAATAATTTTGACCGAGCATGAATTTTCCTGGGCAAAAAAGTTGGAGCAAGAGGGTGAACAAGAAGTACAGATACAAGCACAGAAGCTGCAGCAGGCAGGGAAGGGCAAGACCTGAAAGCCCTGCTTGCTTTCTCAGTGGGGAGGCTTGTAGACTGAGGTAGGACCTCAACCCTATGCACCAGAAGCCTGGATATAAATTCAGCTCTGTTGGCTGTTGGGAGAGCTGGCAGGAGTCAGACTGACCTTGCTGGCTGCATGGGAGCTGGGTGAGGCCAGTTATATTAGTCTGTTTTCACACTGCTGATAAAGATATAACCAACACTGGGAAGAAAAAGAGGTTTAATTGGACTTACAGTTCCACATGGCTGGGGAGGCCTCAGCATCATGGTGGGAGGCAAAAGGCACTTCTTACATGGCGGCAGCAAGAGTAAAAAATGAAGAAGATGCAAAAGTGGAAACCCCTGATAAAACTGTCAGATCATGTGAGACTTATTCACTACCATGAGGACTGTATGGGGGAACTACTCCCATGATCCTAATTATCTCCCAATGGGTCCCTCCCATTACATGAGAGAATTATGGGAGTACAATTCAGGATGAGATATGGGTGGAGACACAGAGCCAAACCATATCACCTGTCACAGCTGGCTTTCCCTGATTTCCCTGGCAACGCGTATGAAGCAGCAGAGGCAGCCATAATCGCCATTGGATCATAGCTCCATTGGCCTGAGAACTTCTCCCCTATCCCCCACAGTGCCCACAGCAAGCCTGACCCAAGGAGAGCCTGAGCTCAGACATGTCTAATCCTGCCCCCACCTGATGGATTTTCTCTACCTGCCCTGGTAGCCAAAGACGAAAGACATAAGCTTATAGGAGCTCTATGGTCCAACCCATTGCCTGAGAAATATGAATACTTATCCAGGTGACCTTAGGGCAATCTTGTATACTACTACTATATTACTTGTATACTACTGCTAGTATACTACTGCAGTTGACGCTGTCTTGAAAATGCTGTTTCCTGGTTGGAGGTCAATCAACTTAAGCCATTACAGCAACTCATAACAGAACAACCCTGTCCCAAGGAAGGAGAAAACAGCAGCTAATTCCACTATTGTAATATCCTGACTAATCAGAGGTCTTGAGTCTGTCCACATGACAACTTCATTGCTGGTGTAATCAGCATTTTTTTTTTTTTTATTTTTATTTTTTTATTTTTTTTTTTTTTTGAGACGGAGTCTCGCTCTGTCGCCCAGGCTGGAGTGCGGTGGCGGGATCTCGGCTCACTGCAAGCTCCGCCTCCCGGGTTCACGCCATTCTCCTGCCTCAGCCTCCCAAGTAGCTGGGACTACAGGCGCCTGCCACTACGCCCGGCTAATTTTTTGTATTTTTAGTAGAGACGGGGTTTCACCGTTTTAGCCAGGATGGTCTCGATCTCCTGACCTCGTGATCCGCCCGCCTCGGCCTCCCAAAGTGCTGGGATTACAGGCGTGAGCCACCGCGCCCGGCCTGTAATCAGCATTTGAGAAAACAAGTGCACTAAACAAAACTATAGCCACGGACTCTCACAGAGTCCACTTCACTCACCAGCTACCTCCACCAAAGCAGGTACTGGTATCCATGGCTGAGAGACCTGAAGATGAATAACATCACAGGGCTCTTTACAGACACTCCCCAGTACCAACCTAGAACCTGGTAGCTCCACTGGATGGCTAGACCCAGAAAAGCAATAACAATCACTGCAGTAAAGCTCTCAGGAAGCCCTATCCCTGGGGCAAGGGGGAGAACAACACATCAAGGAATCACCCCATGGGAAAAAAGAATCTGAACAGCAGCGCTGGAGTCCCAGATCTTCCCTGTGATATAGTCTGCCCAACTGAGAAGAAACCAGAAAAAAACACTTTTGGTAATATGACAAAACAAGGTTCTATAACACCCCCAGAAGATCACACTAGCTAACCAGCAATGGAGCCAAACCACGAAAACATCTCTGAATTGCCAGAAAAAAAAAAAATTCAGAAGGTTGATTATTAAGCTACTCAAGAAGGCACCAAAGAAAGGTGAAAAGCAATTTCAAGAAATTTAAAAAATAATGCAGGATATGGATGAAAAAATCTCCAGATAAATAGATATGATCATAAAAAACAATCACAACTTCTGGAAAGGAAAGACACACTTAGAGAAATGCAAAATACACTGAAAAGTTTCAGCAATAGAAATGAGCAAGTAGAAGAAAGAACTTTGGAGCTTGAAAGTGAAGCTTTCAAGTTAACCCAATCTGACAAAGACCAAATAAATAAGTAAATAAGTAAGTAAATAATGCTTCCAAGAAGTTTGGGAGTATGTTAAATGACCAAACCTAAGAATAATTGCTGTTCCTGAGGAAGAAGATAAATCTAAAAGTTTGGAAAACTTATTTGAGGGAATAATCAAAGAAAACTTCCCTGGCCTTGCTAGAGATCTAGATATCCAAATACTAGAAGCTCAAAGAACACCTGGGAAAT
This sequence comes from Homo sapiens, assembly GCF_000001405.40. Lineage (NCBI taxonomy): Eukaryota > Metazoa > Chordata > Mammalia > Primates > Hominidae > Homo > Homo sapiens. The sequence goes on along the minus strand of NC_000003.12, from coordinate 114,269,634 downwards.
TCATTGCAAAAAGATAATCACCTAGGCAAAGAGCCATCAGGTTATCTAAAGTCAAGCCAAAGGAAAGAATCTTAAGAGCTGTAAGGCAAAAATGTCAGGTAACTTATAAAGGAAAACCTATCAGATTAACAGCAGATTTCTCAGTAGAAACCCTATAAGCTAGTAGGGATTGGGGTCCTATCTTTAGCATCCTTAAGCAAACTAATTATCAGCCAAGAATTTTGTATCCAGCAAAACTAAGCTCTATAAATGAAGGAAAGATAAAGTCTTTTGCAGACAAACAAATGCTGACAGAGTTCACCACTACTGTGCCAGCACTATAAGAATTGCTAAAAGGCATTCTAAATCTTGAAACAAAACCTCAAACTACACCAAAATAGAACCTCCTTAAAACATAAATGTTATAGGCCCTATAACCCAATAATACAATTTTAAAAACCTAAGGTATTCAGACAACTAGCATGATGAATAGCGTTAATATCTCACATGTCAATACTAACGTTGAATGTAAATGGCCTAAATGCTCCACTTAAAAGTTACAGAATTGCAGAATGGATAAGAATTCACCAACCAAGTATCTGCTGTCTTTAAGAGACTCACCTAACACATAAGGACTCACATAAACTTAAGGTAAAGGGGTGGAAAAAGATATTTCATGCAAATGGACACCAAACTGAGCAGGAGTGCCTATTCTTATATTAGACAAAACAGACTTTAAAGCAATAACAATTAAAAAAGACATTATTATCATATTATATATTATTATATTACATAATGATAAAAGGACTCGTCCGACAGGAAAATATCACAATCCTAAATATATATGCACCTAACGCTGGAGCTCCCAAATTTATATAACAATTACTACTAGAACTGAGAGATGAGATAGATGGCCCCACAATAATAGTGGAGGACTTCAGTATTCCATAGACAGCACTAGACAGGTCATCAAGATAGCAAGTCAACAAAGAAACAATGGACTTAAACTATACCCTAGAACAAATGGACTTAACAGATACTTACAGAACATTCTGTACAACAACTGCAGAATATACATTCTATGTATCAGCACATGGAACATTCTCCAAAATAGACCATATGATAGGCCACAAAACAAGTCTCAATGAATTTTTAAAAAATGAAATGATATTAAATACTCTCTCAGACCACAGTGGACTAAAATTGGAAATTGACGCCAAAAGGAACCCTCAAGACCATGCAAATACATGGAAATTAAATAAGCTCCTCCTGAATGATCTCTGGGTCAACAATGAAATCAAGATGAAAGCTAAAAAATTATTTGAACTGAATGATAATAGTGATGCATCCTATCAAAACCTCTGGGATACAGCAAAAGCAGTGCTAAGAGGAAAATTTATAGTATTAAATGCCCACATCAAAAAGTCTGAAAGAACACAAATAGACAACCTACAGTCACACCTCAAGGATCTAGAGAAACAAGAACAAACCAAACCCAAACCCAGCAGAAGAAAAGAAATAACTAAGATCAGAGCAGAACTAAATGAAATTGAAACAACAACAAAAATACAAAAGATAAATGAAACAAAAAGTTGATTCTTTGAAAAGATAAACAAAATTTATAGATCATTAGTGAGATTAACCAAGAAAAGAAGACAGAAGATCCAAATAAGCTCAATTAGAAATGAAATGGGAGACATTACAACTAATAGCACAGAAATCCAAAGATCATGGCCAGGCACAGTGGCTCATGCTTGTAATCCCAGCACTTTGGGAGGCTGAGGCGGGTGGATCAGGAGGTCAGAAGATCGAGACCATTGGGCTAACACGGTGAAACCCCGTCTCTACTAAAAAATACAAAAAAAAAATTAGCCAGGCGTGGTGGTGGGCACCTTTAGTCCTAGCTACTCGGGAGGCTGAGGCAGGATAATGGTGTGAATCTGGGAGGCGGAGCTTGCAGTGAGCTAAGATCATGCCACTGCACTCCAGCCTGGGCAACAGAGAGAGACTCCATCTCAAAAAAAAAAAAAAAAAAAAAAGAAATCCAAACATCATTCAAGGCTACCATGAACACCTTTATGTGTGCAAACTAGAAAACCTAGAGGAGATGGATAAATTGCTGGAAATATACAATCTTCTTAAATTAAACCAGGAAAAAAATAGAAACTCCAAACAGACTAATAATAATGAGCAGCGAGACTGAAATTGTAATTTAAAAATTCCCACCAAAAAAAGTCTAGGACTGGATGGATTCACAGCTGAATACTATCAGACTTTCAAAAAAGAATTGGTACCAATCCTACTGGAACTATTCCGAAAGATAAAGAGGGAATCCTCCCTAAATCATTCCATGATTTAATCATAGAATAGGGACATAACAAAAAAAGAAAACTACAGAAACATATCCCTGAAGAACACAGATGCAAAAATCCTCAACAAAATACTAGCTAACCAAATCCAACAGCATTATCAAAAAGAAAATCCACCATGATGAAGTTGATTCCATACAAGGGATGCAGGGATTGTTTAACATATGCAAGTCAATAAATGTGATACACCACATAAACAGAATTAAAAACAAAAATTATATGATCGTTTCAATTGATGCAGAAAAACCAATTGCCAAAATCCAGCATCCCTTTATGATTATCACCCTCAGCAAAATTGGCATAAAAGGGACATACCTTAAAATAATAAAAGCCGTCTATGACAAATGGAAAACCAACATTATACTGATCAGGGAAAAGTTGAAAGCATTCCCCCTGAGAACTGGAACAAGACAAGGATGCCCCCTTTCAGCACTTCTATTCAACATAGTACTGGAAGTCCTAACCAGAGCAATCAGATAAGACAAAGAAATAAAGGGCATCCAGATTGGTAAAGGGGAAGTCAAACTGTTGCTGTTTGTCAATGATGTAATCATATATCTAGAAAATCTTAAAGACTTATCCAAAAAGCTCCTAAATCTGATAAGTGAATTCAGTAAAGTTTCACAATATAAAATCAATGTACACAAATCAGTAGCACTGCTATACACCAACAGCAACCAAGCTAAGAATCAAACCAAGAACTCAACCCCTTTTACAATAGCTGCCAGAAAAAATTAAATACTTAGGAATATACCTAACCAAGGAGTTGAAAGACCTCTACAAGGAAAACTACAAAACATTGCTCAAAGAAATCATAGATGACACAAACAAATGGAAACACATCCCATGCTCATAAATGGGAGGAATAGATATTGTAAAAATGACCATACTGCCAAAAGCAATCTGCAAAATCAATGCAATTCTCATCAAAATACTACCATCATTCTTCAAAGAACTAGAAAAAAATTCTAAAATTTATACAGAACCAAAAAGGGGTCCACATAGCCAAAGCAAGACTAAGCAAAAAGAACAAATCTGGAGGCATCACGTTAACTGACTTCAAACTATACTACAAGGCTATAATCACCAAAATAGGGTGGTACTGTTATAAAAATAGGCACATAGACCAATGGAACAAAAAGAGAGAATCCAGAAATAAAGCCAAATGCTTACAGCAACTGATCTTCAACAAAGCAAACAAAAACATGAAGTGGGGAAAGAACATCCTATTCAGCAAATGGTGCCAGGATAATTGGTAAGGCACATGTAGAAGAATGAAACTGGATCCCTATCTCTCACCTTATACAAAAATCAATTCAAGATGGATCAAAGACTTAAATTTAAGACGGAAATTTATAAATTATAGAAGATAACATCAGAAAAACTCTTCTAGACATTGGTTTAGGCAAAGAGTTCATGACCAAGAACCCAAAAGCAAATGCAACAGAAACAAAGATAAATAATTGTGACTTAATTAAACTAAAAAGCTTCTGCACAGCAAAAGAAATAACCAGCAGAGCAAACAGACAACCACAGAGTGGGAGAAAATATTTGCAAATTATGCATCCAACAAAGGAAAAATATCCAGAGTCTACAAGGAGCTCAAACAAATCAGCAAGGAAAAAACAAATAATCCTATCAAAAAGGGAGCTAAGGACACAAATAGACAATTCTCAAAAGAAGATATACAAATGGCCAACAAACATGAAAGAAATGCTCCACATCACTAGTTAACAGGGAAATGCAAATCAAAACCACAATGTGATACCACCTTACTCCTGCAAGAATGGCCATAATTTTAAAAAATCAAAAGATAATCGATGTTGGCATGGATGTGGTGAAAAGGGAACACGTTTACACTGCTGGTGGGAATGTAAACTAGTACAACCACTATGGAAAATGATATGGAGATTCCTTAAAGAACTACAAGCAGATCTACCATTTGATCCAGCAATTCCACTCCTGGGTATCTACCCAGAGGAAAAGAAGTCATTATACGAAAAAGACACTTGCACACATATGTTTATAGTGGCATAATTCACAATTGCAAAAATATGGAACCAGCCCAAATGCCCCTCAGGTAATGAGTAGTAGATAATAAAATACTGCTCATCCATAAAAGGGAATAAAATAATGACATTTGCAGCAACCTGGATATGGAGTTGGAGATCATTATTCTAAGTGAAGTAACTCAGGAACTGAAAACCAAACATCATATGTTCCCACTTATAAGTAGGACCTAAGCTATGAGGACACAAAGGCATAAGAATGATACAATGAACTTTGGGGACTTGGGAGGAATCCAGGTGGGAGAGGGTAAGGGATAAAAGGCTACACATTGGGTGCAGTGTACACTGCTCGGGTGATGGGTGCACCAAAATCTCAGCAATCACCACTAAAGACCTCATCAATGTAACCAGACACCACCTGTTCCCCAAAATCTATTGAAATAAAAAAATAAAATGAGTTATAAGATATTATTTGCAAGCCTCATGATAACCTCAAATCAAAAAAATACAACAGATACACAAAAAATATAAAGGAAAAAATGAAAACATACAACTAGATAAAATCATTTTCACTAAGAGGAAGACAGGAAAGAAGGAAAAAAGGGAAGAGAAGACCACAAAACAAATAACAAAATGGCAGGAGTAAGTTCTTACTTATCAATAATAACATTGAATGTAAATGGACTAAACTCTCCAGTCAAAAGACAGAGTGGCTAAACAGATTTTTTTTAAAAAAGACCCAATAGGTCGGGCGCGGTGGCTCACACCTGTAATCCTAGCACTTTGGGAGGCCAAGACAGGCGAATCACGAGGTCAGGTGATCAAGACTATCCTGGCTAACATGGTAAAACCCCGTCTCTACTAAAAGTACAAAAAAATTAGCCAGGCATGGTGGCAGGCACCTGTAGTCCCATCTACATGGGAGGCTGAGGCAGGAGAATGGCATGAACCCGGGAGGCGGAGCTTGCAGTGAGCCGAGATCACACCACTGCACTCCAGCCTGGATGACACAGCAAAACTCCATCTCAAAAAAAAAAAAAAAAAAAAATTAAAAATTAAAAAGAATAAAAATAAAAAAAGACCCAACAATCTGTTGCCTACAAGAAATGCACTTCACCTATAAAGATACACATAGACTGAAAATAAAGGGATAGGAAGATATTCAATGTTAATGGAAACTAAAAAAAGAGCAGGAGTAGCTGTCCTTATATCAGACAAAATAGATTTCAAGACAAAAAACTATGAAAGGGGACAAAGAAAATCATTAAATAATAATAAAGGAGTCAATTCAGCAAGAAGATAACAATTGTAAATATATACGCACCTAACATCTGGAGCACCCAGATATATAAAGCAAATATTATTAGAGCTAAAAAGAGAGATAAACTCCAATAAAAAGAAAAAGAATAGCTAGCTGGGTGTGGTGGCTCACCCTTGTAATCCCAGCACTTTGGGAGGCCAAGGCAGGTGGGACTTTGAGGCCAAGGCAGGTGGGACAAAGACCTGAGGCCAGGACTTTGAGGCCAGACTGGCCAACATGGTGAAACCCCGTCTCTACTAAAAATACAAAAAATTAGCTGGGTGTGGTGGCACACGCCTGTAATCCCAGCTACTCAGCAGGCTGAGGCAAGAGAATCTCTTGAACCTAGGAGGCAGAGGTTGCAGTGAGCCAAGATTGAGCCATTGCACTCCAGTCTGGGCAACAAGAGCAAAACTCCATCTCAAAAAAAAAAAAAAAAAAAAAAGACTGGCTGGAGATTTCAACATTCCAATTTTAGAACTGGACAGATTATCCAGGCAGAAAATTAACAAATAAACAGATAACTTAATCTGAAGTGCAGACCAAATGGACCTAATAAATATCCACAGAACACTTCATCCAATGGCTGCAGAATACACATTCTTCTCCTCAGCACATGGATCATTCTCAAGGAAAGACCACATATTAGACCACAAAACAAGTCTTAAAAATTTCAAAACAATTTAAGTAATACCAAGCACCTTCTCTGACCACAGTGTAATAAAAATAGAAATCAATAACAAAAGAAATTTTGGAAACTATAAAAACACATGGAAATTAACAGTATGTTCTTGAATGACCAGTGGGTCAATGAAGAAATTAAGAAGAAAATTGGAAAATTTATTGAAACAAATGAAAATGGAAACACAACACACCAAAACCTGTTAGACATAGCGAAAGCAGTACTAAGAGCAAAGTTTATAGCAATAAGTGCCTACATTGAAAAAGCAGAAAAGCTTCAAAGTAAGCCAAACCCAAAATTAGTAGAAGAAAAGAAATAATAAAGATCAGGCTTCTCTGCCTATGGAGTAGCCATTCTTTTAGTCTTTTTTTGAGATGAAGTCTCCTTCTGTGGCCCAGGCTAGAGGTACAGTGGCACCATCTCTGCTCACTGCAACCTCCTCCTCCCAGGTTCAAGTGATTCTTCTGGCTTAGCCTCCCAATTAGCAGGATTACAGGTGTGTGCCACCATGCCCAGCTAATTTCTGTATTTTTAGTAGAGACAGGGTTTCACTACGTCAGCCAGGCTGGTCTCAAACTCCTGGCCTCAAGTGATCCACCTGCCTTGGACTCCCAAAGTGCTGGGATTACAGGTGTGAGCCACTGTGCCCAGCCCCTTAACTTTCTTCATAAAGTTGCTCTCACTTTACTCTGTGGGCTTGCCCTGAATTCTTTCTTACACAAGATCCAAGAACCTTCTCTTGGGGTCTGGATCAGGACCCCTTTCCAGTAATATCTTTTTGTCGAACCCCAAAGGGATGATACTGAGGAGACCTCTGACCCAAAGGAAATAGACTGCAGCACTTGTTGGCTGACTTTGAGTAAATGGGGTGCATTCACCCAGGTAAAGGATGGGATTGGATTTCTCTCCTAAGACAGAGAGGGTTAAAGGTCCTTAATAAAATGCAAGAACACTTGACTAAACTAGGGTTCAAGGACCAAATTAGGAAGGTTAGAGTCCTTCCTAAGATTTAGGGGGTTAGAAGCCTCTCTCAGTAAAGTCCCTCTCTGCTAAGAATGGCTTTGACACCACAGGATGTTAACTGTTATTCTCTTTGGATTAATCTGCCTTGTATTCTTTGCTGACAGCTATGGGTGACAGGATTAGGTATGTACAGCACTGAGGGACATGGGTAGCTTCTTCCTCCCTAAAGGGGGAAACTTGAGAGCTGATCAGACTGCCAGAAAAGATCCATTCACAACCGACAAGTGGCTGCCTGAACTTTGAATACAATGTCACTGCAATGGGTGGGTCTTTCTCTGGCCTCCCTGAGCTCTTCACCTTCCCCATCCTGCCTCAGGCAATGCTTTTCTCTCTCTCTCTCTCTCTCCCCCCTCCCTCCCTCTGTGCATGTGTGTGTGTGTATGTGTGTGCAAACTGGTTTTGGAAATGGTAAACATCACTATATTTTGCAAAGTTTTAATTAATGGGGACAAGAATTCATGAGGCTAGTCTTAAGTTGTAGCCGATTTGGTGTGCTTTGTGTGTCTTTCTGTGTTCTATAATGGGCAGGGGTACCTCAGGATAGAATGTGGGCTTAGGACCCCATAAGCCTGCTGTTCAAGATGGCCCAGCAAACTGTTCAGTTATAAACTTTGCTGCAGGTTCTCAAAAAAAAAACAAAAACAAAAAAAAAAACCTAGATAAAGTTTCCCTCTCATCTTATTTCATGTCGTTGGGAGCTTGACCTTGTAACCACCTGGCAGTACTTTCTCTTGGTCTCCACCATCCAATGGCAGCCTGGGCTCAGGGTTTAGTTCCTGACTTAGGGAATGAGTCCTTTATCTGTCTGTGTATTTATATGTGTTGTGTATGTGATATGAAAGAGTTTTGATTAATTGGTTTAAAAATGATAAGAGCTTAAATCAAATATTTTGTCAGAAAAGTAAAAAGTGTAATGCCTTTTAGTTCACATGACTTAAGTAATCTTTGGGAAATAAAACTAGTTTTTCATGCAAAGTGTGTAATAAAAATGAAATATGTTTTGGGTAAAATCCTATAAAAAGTCATAGGAGTGTGGACTTTTTTGCCTAGATTAAAGGGTTAAAGGATTGTTTTAAGTGAGATAGAGAAAATCTAAAGGTTTGAACAAGTTGTGGAAGGTTTATTTAAAAAATTAATTGTAAAAGAAATTATGTGTGTGAACATATTGGCTAAAGTTAAAGGGGTAATATGCAGTTTTTCTGTAAATTGAACATTGGAATAAAAGCACAATGGGTTTTTCTTAGAACACTGATCTGCTCTTTAACAAAAATTTGTAAAGGACTATAAAAGGTTCATAAGAATCTTACCTTATGGTCAAACTGATAAAGATTGGATAGATTTGTCTACAAAATTTTATTATGAATTGGGTTTAACAGTAATGATACACTAACATAAAGACGAAATTTGGCTTATTTGGTATAAAAATCATACAGAAAGCATTGTCAAATATAAAATGCTGTTTTGCTTTCTTTGGGCCATATTCATATAAATATGTTATTGGTATGTGTTCCAAAATTATGGGAAACTCCTATAATTCTGATATGACTTAGTGTATATTATTAATAATTATAATTGTTATGTAAAATTGTTGTATGCCACAGAAGGAACCAAAATTTCCTAGTCAATTGTGGCTTTAATAGTGGCTGTCCTAACTAAAACTTTTTGTCATCCACAGACAATTGTTGTCTTGTTGGAATCCTCTTTGAAAGGTGGCTTTTAATAAGCTATAGGACTTTGACAGGTGCTCTTGAATGCAGATTTCTGATAACTTTGGAGATTATGATGTTAGAATAGAGGAAAAACTTTCAAAACTCTCATAGAGAGCTGGAATGTTCATAAACATCAAGCAGAACAGGAGTTAACTGCATGGACTGAACTAATAGAAGACTGAAGTAATTTTTTTTAACTTTTTGCTTAAAATGTTGCTGATCCTTTGTTTTTCATAATCAAGGAAACATTTCAGCTATTTACAGCTTTTAACAGTTGAGTAAAGTATACTCTCATGGACAAAATTTGGAGGATTTTTTTTCTCTGTACCTGATTTCTCCAAGATTTGGAGACTATTTGTGAGTATTGCATAAGTGCAATAAGAATCTGTTTTGATTTTTAACAGGACACAATTGAAGAAACTGGTTATTTTACCAAGGCTTTGACTGGAATGATGTGCTTTCTTTTAAGGAATCAAACTTGACTTATAGAGCCAGTAAAAGCCCCTTGAGAAAACTGGCCTTATACCTTGTCTACACAGTCCCTGTACAGGGTTTCTGACCGTGGCAAGTAAAGAATGTCACTTTCTGACAGCCCAGGAGCCCCAAGTTATATTGGTACCTCAAGTGGACAGGAATTTACCCAACTCATATGTATTTGATGGCACAAACCCATGATTGGGCTCAGCTTTAAAAAAAAGTCTTATCTAAGATTCCTTTTATGGAGCAAAGTTCCATCAAAGCCAATTTAAAAGCCTATATAAATAATAAATAAATAAATAATAAAATAAAATACATAAAAAATAAATAAAATAAACAAATAAAATAAAAAATAATTATTCTTGAGGCACTTTATACAAATAATCAGGCCAAGTATAAGACTAAAACTTATTTTTACAAATAAATCGGTCCTATTATGATTTGTCTTTAGTACAAATGGGAAACTGGAGAGACAAAAAATATATATTTCAAACACACTTGTTATTTGATTCTAGTCTCATTAGTTGCTTTTAAGGTTTTTTTTTCTGCAATTTATACTAACCCTGCTTATTTCTATGCACCAACCAGTGATCTCTGGCTGCTGCTCAGAAGAAACAAGAGGAATGGGTAATGTAAAAACTCTGGATCAATATTCTAATTCTTGGCACATGTTGGAATCAGCTAGCAACCCCGTATCACCTTGGTTCCAACAGTTGCCTAGTTCATGGAAAACCTTCTTATTTAGTTTACTTGAAATAATTTTGCTTTATGGTTGTGGAATATATTGCTGTTTTACTCTTTGTGTAGGCATACAGAATAAGTTTACTCAACATTTTCTTAAATACTTATTAATCTTTCAGATATCACATTTTGTTGGAACTCAAGAGTTATGAATGGCCCTTGCCATATCAACACTTTCTGACTGAGCTATTCTGAACCCTGAATGCAAGATACCCAATAGTTAAGCAGGAATATCATCACCCCTAATTAGCCTGAAGAAGTTATAGAAGCTGCGTCTTCAACTACCTACAACCCTTAGGATTACAGTTCTCTTATATAAGGGAGGAGAGAAATGTAAGAGACATTTGAACCAGAGCAACTCCATCTTCCTGAGGCAGAAGAATTGCTTGAACCTGGGATGTGGAGGTTGCAGCAAGCCAAGATCACACCACTGCATTCCAGCCTGGGTGACAGAGTAAGACTGTCTCAAAAAAAAAAAAAGAAAAGAAAAATCAGTAGTATTTCTATATCCCAACTGCAAACAATATGAAAAAGAAATCAAGAAAGTAATCCCATTTACAATAGCTACAAATAAAATGAAATACCCAGGAATTAACTTTATCAAATAAGTGAAAGATCTGTACAATGAATGCTATAAAACATTGATGAAAAAAACTGAAGAGGACACAAAGAAAGGAAATATATTCTATGTTCATGGAATGGAAGAATCAATATTGTTAAAATGTTCATACTATCCAAAGCAATCTACAGATTCAAAATACCAGTGACATTCTTTGCAGAAATAGAAAAAAATCCTAAAATTTATATGGAACCACAAAAGACCCATAATAATCACAGCCATCCTGAGAAAAAGGAACAAAACTGGAGGAATCTCATTACCTGACATCAAATTATACTACAGAGCTATAGTAACCAAAACAGCATGGCAATGGCATAAAAACAGACACATAAACCAATGGAAGAGAAAAGATAACCCAGAAACAAATCCATACACCTACAATGAACTCATTTTCTTTTTTTTTTTAGTATTATTATTACACTTTAAGTTCTAGGGTACATGTGCACAATGTGCAGGTTTGTTACATATGTATACATGTGCCATGCTGGTGTGCTGCACCTGTCAACTTGTCATTTACATTAAGTATATCTCCCAATGCTATCCCTCCCCCATCCCCCCACCCCACGACAGACCCCAGTGTGTGATGTTCCCCACACTGTGTCCAAGTGTTCTCATTGTTCAATTCCCATCTATGAGTGAGAACATGTGGTGTTTGGTTTTCTGTCCTTGCAATACTTTGCTCAGAATGACGGTTTCCAGCTTCATCCATGTCCCTACAAAGGACATGAACTCATCGCTTTTATGGCTGCATAGTATTCCATGATGTATATACGCCACATTTTCTTAATCCAATCTATCATTGATGGACATCTGGGTTGGTTCCAAGTCTTTGCTATTGTGAATAGTGCTGCAATAAACATATGTGTGCATGTGTCTTTATAGCAGCATGATTTATAATCCTTTGGGTATATGCCCAGTAATGGGATGGCTGGGTCAAATGGTATTTCTAGTTCTACATCCTTGAGGAATCACCACACTGTCTTACACAATGGTTGAACTAGTTTATAGTCCCACCAACAGTGTAAAAGCAAATGAATTCATTATCAACAAAGGTGCCAAGAACATATATTGGGGAAAGAATAGTCTCTTCAATAAATGGGATGGGAAAACTGGATGTCCATATGCAAAAGAATGAATCTAGACCCCTATCTCTTGCCATATACAATAATAAAATCAAAATGGATGAAAGACTTAAACCTAAGACCTAAAACTACGAAACTACTAAAAGAAAACATTGGGGAGGCCGGCAGCCATGAGTCAGGGTTGGCGTGGTCTGTGCAGTAGCCGGTCAAAAAAAAAGAGAGAAAGAGAGAGAAGAAGATATTGGAGAAACTCTCCAGGAAACTGGTGTGGGCAAAGATTTCTTGAGTAATAACCCACAAGCACAGGCAACCCAAGCAAAAATGGACAAATGGGATCACATCAAGTTAAAAAGCTGCTGCACAGAAAAGGAAACAATCAACAAAGTGAAGAGATGGTCCACAGAATGAGAGAAAGTATTTGCAAACTATCCATCTGACAAAGGATTAATAACCAGAATTCATAAGAAGCTCAAACAACTCTATAGGGGAAAAATCTAATAATCTAATTTAAAAATTCAATTTTATAAAAAATCTAATAATCTCAGGGCAAGAGTTCTGAATAGACATTTCTCAAAATAAGACGTACAAATGGCAAACAAGTATATGAAAAGGTGCTCAGCATCACTGAGCATCAAAGAAATGCAATTCAAAACTGCAATGAGATATCATCTCACCCCATTTAAAATGGCTTTCATTCAAAAGTTAGACAATAACAAATCCCAGGGAGGATGTGGAGAAAAGGAAACCCTCATACACTGTTGGCAGGAATGTAAATTAGTACAGCCACTATGGAGAACAGTTTGGAGGTTCCTCAAAAAACTGAAAATAGAGCTACCATACAATACAGCAATCCACTGCTAGTTATATACCCCAAAAAAAGGAAATTAGCGTATCAAAAAGATATCCGCACTTCCATGTTTAGTGCAGCACTATTCATCATAGCCAAGATTTAGAAGTAACCTAAGTATCCATCAACAGATGAGTGGATAAATAAAATATAGTACATATACACAATGGAGTAATATTCAGCCACAAAAAAGAATGATATCTTGTCATTTGCAAGAACATGGATGGAACAACATGGATGGATCATTATGTTAAGTGAAATAAGCCAGGCACAGAAAGACAAACATCGCATGTTCTGACTTATTTGTGAGAGCTAAAAATTAAAACAATTGAACTCGTGGAAATAGTACAAAGATGGTTACCAGAGGCTGGGAAGAGTAGTAAGGGGGTGAGAGGGAAGTGGGAATGGTTAATGGGTACCAAGAAAATAGTTAGAAAGAATGAATAAAACCTAGTATTTGCTAGCACATCAGGGTAACTGCAGTCAAAAATAATTTAATTGTACATTTTAAAATAACCAAAAGAATATAATTGGATTGTTGGTAATATAAAAAATAATTGTTGAAGTGATGGATACCCATTTACCCTGATGTGATTATCATGCATTGCATGCCTGTATCAAATATCTTATATAACCCACAAATATATACACCCTCTATGTACCCACAATATTTTTAAAAATTTTTTAATTAGTATAACCACTATGGAGAATGGTTTGGAGATTTTTAAAAACTGAAAATAGAACTTTCATATGATCCAGCAATCCCACTGCTAGGTTATACTCGAAAGAAAGGAGATCAGGATGCCAAAGAGATATTTGCACTCCCATGTTTATTGCAGCACTATTCACAATAGCCATTATTGCAGCACTAAGCCAATAGCCTTAGTGTCTATCAACAGACAGATGGATAAAACAAATGTAGGGCTAAGGCTAGGGGATCACTTGAGCCCAGGAGTTCAAGACTAGCCCTGGCAACATAGCACGACCCTGTCTCTTCAAAAAAATTGAAAAAATTAGCTGGCCATAGTAGTATGCACCTCTAGTCCCATCTACTCAAGAGGCTGAGGTGGGAGGAACACCTGAGCCCAGGAGGTCAAGGCTGCAGTAGTCCTTTATCACACCACTGCACTCCAGCCTGGGTGAGAGAGAAAGACCCTGTCAAAAAATAAAAAAAAAAGGAAAGAAAATGTGGTACATATATAATGGGGTACAATTCAGCCACTAAAAAATATAATAATGAGATTCTGTCATTTGCAACAACATGGATGTAACTGAAAGTCATTACGTTAAATGAAACAAGCCAGGCACAGAAAGACAAACTTTGCATGTTCTCACTTATTTGTGGGAGCTAAATATTAAAACAATTGAATTTATGAAGACAGAGAGTAGAATGATGGTTACCAGAGGCTGGGAAGGGTAGCTGCAGATCGGGGGAAGAAATGGGTATGATTAATGGGTACAAAAATATAATTAGATAGAATGAATAAGAACTAATATTTGATAGCACAACAGAGTGACTACAGTCAACAATTTATTGTACATTTAAAAATAACAAAGAGTATAATTGAATTGTTTGTAACACAAAGAAAGGATAAATGCTCAAGGTGATGCACACCTCATTTACTCTGATGTGATTATTATACATTGTATGCCTGTATCAAAATATCTCATGTACCCTGTAAATATATACACCCACTATGTACCCATAAAAATTAAAAATTAAAAAGAGGGAGAGAGAACACCAGGTGGGATGCACAGCTATGGTGATAGAGCACAGGGACTCAGGGCTCAGAAGGAAGAGCCCCTGAAAAGGAAATTCCTGCCCGTTTCAGGGTTAAATTCAAGGCCTCTGCCATTTAATGCATCTCACATGATATAGGGTGATTGTAATTAAACTGCACATTGCATCAAAGGAATTGCCAATGGTGAGGTTGTGAGAAGATAACAATTAAAGATGAATTTGGTTTGGCTGTAAAACACTACTAATTTCAGTCACTTACATAAACTATTAAACATTTAAGTATAAATACTGTTTAACATAACAATAATTATATGCACAACTGGAAAATACAGTTGGAAATATACAATTAATTTAAAATGTCATAATAATTAAAGGAGCTTTTCAGTATTTAGCCAAATTCCTTATACTGGATAGACAGTTACTAGTCTGAGCTAAGTCTGCTTTATTCTCTGTCATAACAAATTTAACAGCCCTAACACATTTCTTCATGTCAATCAATCAACAAACACTGAGAACTTCCTTTGCAAAACTGCTATGCTAGGCATTATGGTTGATATAAAGAAGAAAGTTTACTTATGGAGTTTATGATCTAGCTAGCTGTTATATACTCAAAAATAATATAAAATAGAAAGAAAGCTGTAAGAGTGAATGACAGGTACAGTAAAGCAAAGGCATATTTATAGGATAGTCATTTGTATCAGGTAAACAGAGAAAGAGGTAGTTTTGTGGATGAAGCAAGGATGTCTAATCTCAAAGCAAGCAGATATATCTAAATAATATAAAAGTAAATGTCGAGGTAGTAACAACCATTGGCATGCAGCCAATCCCTGTGTAGAGTCATGATGGCAGTGTTAATACACATATTCAGACTCGCGTGCTCCTAGACAACACCTCAGAAACGTGATGGGACATTCAGTCATGCCTAGACTGAATGTTTGAAAACATATTACAAAAAAAAAATGGATGTAAATGGTGTTGTGGCTTAAGGGAAGCCATGATAAAATTTCAGTAAAAGACTTGTAACTTTCTCCCTAGTCCAGAAGGAGATCATGTCCATAGCTTGCACTCTTGGTCAGGCAGAGACAAGTGGTAAGCACAGATATTTGATCCTCCTATCAAAGTGGTCAAGGAGACCATGACTCTCATGGGGCGGCTAGAGGGCAAGGGGAAGTGTCAGGCTCTGGTTCCACAATTACCCTGTCTGAAAACAGAATCTTTGCCTTACAGAATTGAAGTTACCCTTTCAGAGAATCTCAGAAAAGTCTTCAGAAAGGAAAGTGAGGCATGATGTGAGGTATGAGTAACTAAGAGCATGTAGAATTCTACAAGGGGGAAAGAGGAGTCAAAATACAGATGTGACCTCCAGGGCTCTGTTTGGCTCTTAATAAGACATTACCTGCTCCCTTCTACTAACCCAAACCACCTCCTGCCTCACCACTACAATCTGCAGGGCTAAGCCCAGCATAGCCTCTATTTCTTTGTGTTTATGTGAACCAGCACCAAAAGTACAAGCCCCTTCGGTCAATGCTCAACACCTAGACCCCTCTTCCTTTATGGCTCTAATCTGACCCAATTTCCCACCCTCCCAGCTCTCTACTACTCCAAATTCTCTCTGTTCCGCCCTCTGAGTCTCAAGGCTTGCCATCAGCAAAGTCTCTTTTATCTTTAAACTTTTCTTTGAATCACTAGTTTTCAAAGTTTGGGCCAGAATCAGCAGCATCACATCACTTGAGAATTTGTTAGTTCTCCCTTCACTACCATCTGGAGTTATTTTATGTCAATTTGTTTAGAAATAAAAAACAATATAGAAAAAAATCATAGAGACATCCAGAGAAGTGAGTGATTACTTATCTAAGGAAAACCACATCACTGTCATCTGTGAACTTTACACCATTTCTACTCCAAGTGGAGTCATGAACCAGTGCCAGTACCCAAGCTGTCTGTTACTAGTCTACAGGAAGACAAGTACAGAAATTGAAAATAAAAGTTTAGCAACATACAGCAAATTGACTGTGATTTTAAGTCTTATTAATACAATAATAATTTTTAATGGAGCCTGAAAAAAATGGGGGGCAAATTCTCAGGCCCCATCTCGGACCTACTGAATGTGAATCTCTGTGAAGAGGGGCCCAGTGATCAACATTGTAACAAGCCCTCCAGGAGATTCATTAGTTGCTGACCAGCATCTGCAAGGATTCTCCTTCCAAGATCTTCAAGCAGCAGCCTATGCTCCTGCCTTGATCACTACAGTGACCACCTCCATTCTTGCATAGCAAGTAAAATACCCACCCCCATAAAAAATAATAAAATAAAATATCCCAGCCTAAAATAGCAAAACAACTCTTTTCTACCTTTTGTCTTCACCTCTCACTTCTAATACCCACCCCCTTCTCTCTCTCTCTCTCTCTCTCTCACACACACACACAACCCCTGAATTATCCAGTCTGAATTTCTTAGAACTAATTCTCTTTTCTTTTACCCTAAAACAATGATCTCCATATCTTTTTTAGTTCACATTTCGTAAGTTAAAAAAATTAAACAGAGACTTGTCAAATATGTATATTTATATGAAATATGTACATATATGGCTGTAATAATATACTCTATATATTATAAAACAAAAACTAAGACTAGAAAAAATAAAATATTTGGTAAAAAAGTTGTTAAATAAAAAATGAGGAATCATCTTTATGCATCCCAATGATTCATATCGTGCAAATTACTTTGGGGACATTAGCTTTGAAGGAATCAAGAAATTGCAAGGTCAGGCCAGGCACGGTGGCTCACGCCTGTAATCCCAGCACTTTAGGAGGCTGAGGCAGGTGGATCACCTGAGGTCAGGAGTTCAAGACCAGTCTGGCCAACATGGTGAAACCCCTCTACTAAAAATACAAAAATTAGCCGGGCACAGTGGCAAGTGCCTGTAATCCCAGCTACTTGGGAGGCTGAGGCAGGAGAATCACTTGAACTCAGGCAGCAGAGGTTGCAGTGAGCCCAGACCACACCATTGCACTCCAGCCTGGGCAACAAGAGTGAAATTCCATTTAAAAAAAAAGAAAAGAAAAGAAATTGCAGGGTCAAGTTTCCACTACAAGTTTCTAGACCTACTACGCGGGCAGCACCAGAGATACAGGGGTCCTCTGACTAGGTGTCTAAGTAAATATTTAACGACCAAATCACTGAGAAAAATTCCTGGCTTGAAACATTAGTGAATGTTAGTGGTGTAAACACTCCCACTGTGGCTGCTTTCAAGCTGCCAACCTGATGCTGCTGAACTTGGGAAGAGATGTGCACGACTGTCTCTCACATGCCAGCGCAAGCCAGTTCCAGCACTGGATTCTTGTGCCCACGCTTTCCTGATTAAGGCCTATTTTTCAGTTAATTCCCTTTTTTCTAGGGAACTGGTTTTCTAATTAAGCATTTTCTAATTAACTTGCCCTTTTTTAATTTCTCAAAGTCCCTGCTGTGGTGGGGTGGATCCTTAGTCTCTCCAGCTTCAGCAGGGGTCTCCAGGTCTGACAGAACAGCTGGCCGGGTCTGGCAGCCAGATGTTCCCCTGGGATTTGTCCACCTGTCAGGGGAGAGGAGAGAGATGGAGAGAGAAGCAGTGACAGCAATGCCTTGAAAATCCTCATCACCTGGCCCTGTGTCAACGTCAGGGGCTAATGCAAACGCACCCAACCTATACAAAGTGGAGCTGGGATTTAGGTCCCTCCAAAGCCCAGGTTCTTTAACTCCAGCAGCATCTGCCTACCCACCTCCCTGTCCCCCTCCCCACATGCAAATCCCAAACCTGACAGTAGTGAGTATGTAGGAGCCCTTTAACTTTTAGAGCTAAGTCAACCTAAAAAAATATTAGTTAACATGACTGGTTACTAATGTGAATTGAGCAATTGCCAGGTAACAGGCACAGTTCCAAGTGCTTTGTAAAGTACATACTATGAATATTCCCATTTTGCAGATGAGGAAATGGGTTTGGAAAGGTTAGACAACTTGCTCTAGGTGACAGAGCTAGTGAGAGGCAAAATTTGGATTTGAACCCACTTAGGCTGACTCTAGAACCCATTTTCCTCATGTCTCATGTTCTACTGCCTGTCTCTACTATCTGATGTCTTCAGGGTGTCCAGACACTGAGGTGGGCTCTGTCTGGAGTAGAAAACCCCAGAGAAGTGTGTCCCTGTCCTCAAGATGCTTTCAGAAAGCTTATAGGCTCCTTAGGAAAATAAGACTAATGCAAATGAAGTAATTAGAAAATCTTAGCAGACAGCCTGTAATTAGCTGTAATGTAATATCCCCCAAGGCTAAGAAAAGTGCTTCCTAGTGAAGGCCATGAGACCTAACCCCTGCCTCCAGAGCTATAATCACTCTTCTAGAAAATCAGAATCTAGGTCAGACAGGGCCCTCGGCCTGCAATCTGGTACTGCAATTCTCTCTCCCAAGGAATCCCCTCTGACCAAATAGCATATCCACAAAATAGCTACATAAAATGCATCATATGCACAGTTTTTTTCCAGTGTTTTTTTCAAACTAATGAGAAAATATTTTAAAACCTGTTGAAAAAATTCTGGTTCTCAAGTACCACAGAAACCCTAAGTGTGGGCTCGGGTCTTTCACCCCACCTTCTCTGTTGAGTGGTATCAATTATTCGAGTTTGCCCACTGCAGTCCATTCTAAACCAACAAGGTGATGGAAAACTAGATCCATAGAGCAAGAGAAACTTCAGAGTTCCAAACTTGTTCCCACTCCTATCTCTGTGGAACAAACTACCCAAAAATGTAGTGACTTAAAACAGTAAACATTTTATTTTTTATTATCTTTCAGAATTCCTGTGAGTGACAAGTTCTCAGCTGGGTGAGTGTGTTAGTTTGCTAGGGCTACATAACAAAGTACTACAGGTTACAAAGTAAAGTAACATAAACAACAGAAATATTTTTTCTTATAGTTCTGGAGGCCAGAAGTCCAAGACCAAGTTAGCAGCAGGGTTGATGTCTTCTGAGGCCTCTCTCCTTGACTTGTAGGTGCCACTTTTCCATGTGTCTCCACATGCCCTCTGTGTGTGTCTGTGTCCTAACCTCCTCTTCTTACAAGGACACCAATCATATTGGATTTGGGCCCACCCATATGACCTAATTTTACCTTAATGACCTCTTTAAAGCTCTGTCTCCAAATAGTCACATTCTGAAGTGCTAGGGGCTAGGATTTCAACATATGAATTTTGAGGAGGATATAATTTGGCTCATAATAGTGAGTTTTTTGCTCCTTGTGGCATCCACTGATGCCATTCAGTGGGACTCAGTTGGCACATGGGCTAGTCTGGAGGGTCCAAAATGGCTTCAGTCACATCTGTACCTTGGTGGGGATGGCTGGAAGGCTGAACTCAGCTACAGCTGTTGACTAGAGAGTCTTCACATGGCCTCTCCATCCTGGGTATCTCAAAGTAGTCAGATAGTTTACATAGCAGTTCATGTCCCAAGAAAACTGGGCATGACCTTTTATGACCTAGCCTCAGAAATCACATAGCACCACTTCACATAGCACCATGCTTGATTGTTCTAGGTAGTCATGGATCTTCTCAGATTCGAGGTGAGGAAACATGGACCACACCTCTCAATGGAAGGAGTCTCAAAAAATTTTCAATCGTATTTTAGATTGACACAGCTGTTTACAGTTTAGCCATATCATCCATGAATTTCCTGCCACTCAGTCAACTCAACCCAGATGAAAGGAGCTCAATGAACACTATGCTTATTCTCAACCCTCTGGGTTCCTCTCTGCTTCTTGAGGGCTCGTGGAAGTGGCTCACGTTTATAAGAATCAAATGGTCCTTTTCAGGCCTCAACTGCAGTCTGACCTCATAAATCCTTCAGATTCTTTCCTAGTGGTCCAGACACTCCTACTTTGTCATTGTGGATTCTTCCTCACTAACTTCGCTGCTACAAGTCATTCTGAACACTTTGTTTTATCTCCACCACTATCCCCAACATCCAATTACCAAGCCCTTAAATTTCTGGAATCTTTCCTTTCTCCCACAAGTCCAATGTTCTAGGCCAAATGGAAGATTTCACGATCTCTCGGAACTGCAATTGCCTCCCTATAACACTTGGGGTGATCCACCTAAAAATCAAATCTGAACCTGTTGTTAGTCACTTAAGCCACGTCTGTAGTTTCCCTAAATCCAAAACGTGGAGTCCAAATAGTCTTCGTGCCCTATCTAGTACTCAAGGCCCTGCAAACACATAGACTTTACCCATGTCTTCAGTCTCATCTCTTTTCAATCACTCTTGCACTTTATACATCTGTCACCACAAATTGGTCATTTTTTTTCTTTTGATATTTGGTTGAAGCAAGTCAGATGTTATCAAAAAGTTTTCTGTTCTATTAAGTTGCTGTTTTCCCAGTCCTTGGCTAAAGATATAATTTTCTTGGCGCTTCTTTTGTCTCTGCCTATTGGTGATTCCAGGTTACAGTCTTCTCCAACACCCTGCAGTTCAGGAAAAATTAGAGGCAAAAAGAAAACCTAGGGAGCTCTCCACTGTGTTGTTCCTCAAGCCCTGAGGTTCTAGGGCAGCTCACTTTTTTCCATCTGCCTCCGACCGTCTTCTTGTATTTATTGTGTTATGTCTGAAATTTTTTTTTTGTAAGAGGCAGAACTAGTAAGAAATGGGGCTACCTGATCTTGGCCAGAACTGGAATCTATCAATTAAGCTTTAATGAATAAATAAAAGAACTGTTTGAGAAATACAGGACCAAACCAGTTGGGTATTTTTGAAGAATGTATACTCATCTGTTATGGAGAATGTTAAAGAGGGAGTTTCTTAGGGAAGCCCTGCTCTGGAGTTTTGGGATAGACTCTGAATGTCAGAGTGATGAAGAGTTATTCTCTATCAGCTCTGGGGGAGGAGTTTCAAATTGTGAAGCACAGTAAAAACCTACAGAATTGGGCACTGTTTTATGAAGAGTCTGTGGAGACAGAGTGGGCTGGTGTATTAGTCCATTCTCGCACTTCTGTAAAGAAATTCCTGAGACTGGGTAATTTATTTTCTTTCTTTCTTTCCTTCCTTCCTTCCTTCCTTCCTTCCTTCCTTCCTTCCTTCCTTCCTTCCTTCCTTCCTTCCTTCCTTCCTTCCTTCCTTCTTTCTTTCTTTCTTTCTTTCTTTCTTTCTTTCTTTCTTTCTTTCTTTCTTTCTTTCTTTCTTTCTTTCTTTCTTTCTTTCTTTTGAGATGAGTCTCACTCTGTCATCCAGGCTGGAGTGTAATGGTGTGATCTTGGCTCACTGAAACCTCCATCTCCTGGGTTCAAGCAATCCTCCCACCTCAGTCCATTCTCGCACTTCTGTAAAGAAATTCCTGAGACTGGGTAATTTATTTTCTTTCTTTCTTTCTTTCTTTCTTTCTTTCTTTCTTTCTTTCTTTCTTTCTTTCTTTCCTTCCTTCCTTCCTTCTTTCCTTCTTTCCTTCTTTCCTTCTTTCTTTCTTTCTTTCTTTTGAGATGAGTCTCACTCTGTCATCCAGGCTGGAGTGTAATGGTGTGATCTTGGCTCACTGAAACCTCCATCTCCTGGGTTCAAGCAATCCTCACATCTCAGTCCATTCTCGCACCTCTGTAAAGAAATTCCTGAGACTGGGTAATTTATTTTCTTTCTTTCTTTCTTTCTTTCTTTCTTTCTTTCTTTCTTTCTTTCTTTCTCTCTTCCTTTCTTTCTTTCTTTCTTTCGAGATGAGTCTCACTCTGTCATCCAGGCTGGAGTGTAATGGTGTGATCTTGGCTCACTGAAACCTCCATCTCCTGGGTTCAAGCAATCCTCCCATCTCAGTCCATTCTCGCACCTCTGTAAAGAAATTCCTGAGACTGGGTAATTTATTTTCTTTCCTTCCTTCCTTCCTTCCTTCCTTCCTTCCTTCCTTCCTTCCTTCCTTCCTTCCTTCCTTCCTTCTTTCTTTCTTTCTTTCTTTCTTTCTTTCTTTCTTTCTTTCTTTCTTTCTTTCTTTCTTTCTTTCGAGATGAGTCTCCCTCTGTCATCCAGGCTGGAGTGTAATGGTGTGATCTTGGCTCACTGAAACCTCCACCTCCTGGGTTCAAGCAATCCTCCCACCTCAGCCTCCCAAGTAGCTAGAATTACAAATACGCACCACCATACCCAGCTAAGCTTTTTGGTATTTTTAGTAGAGACAGGGTTTCACGATGGTGGCCTGGCTGGTCTCAAACTCCTGACCTCAAGTGATCTGCCTCGGCTTCCAAAAGTGCTGAGATTACAGACATAAGTCACTAAACCTGGCCATGGGTAATTTATTTTTAAAAAGAGGTTTGATTGGCTTATGTTTCCACAAGCTGTACAGGAAGCATGGCAGCATCTGCTTCTGGGGAGGTATCAGGGAGCTTTTACTCATGGCAGAAGGCAAAGCTGGAACAGGCATCTTCACGTGACCAAAACAGGAGAAACAGAGAGTGAGAACGGAGATGCCACACACTTTTAAATAACCAGATCTTGTGAAAACTCTATCATGAGAATAGCACCAAAGGGATGGTGCTAAACCATTCATGAAGGATCTACCCCCATGATCCAATCACCTCCCCCAGACCCCTCCTCCAACATTGGGGATTACATTTGAACATGAGATATGGGTGCACAAATCCAAACCATATCATTCTGCCCCCTGGCTCCTCCCAATCTTATGTCCTTACATTGTAAAATACAATCATCGTTTCTCAACAGTCTCCAAAGTCTTAACTCATTTCAGCATTAATGCAAAAGTCCAAAGTCCAAAGTCTTATCTGAGACAAGGCTAGTCCCTTCTGCCTGTGAGCCTGTAGAATTAAAAACAAGTTAGTTACTTCCAAGATACAAGCATTGGGTAAGTATTCTCATTACAAAAAGGGAGAAATTGGTCAAAAGCAATGACATATAAGCTCCATGCAAGTCTGAAACCCAGCAGGACAATCATTAAGTCTTAAAGCTCCAAAATAATCTTCATTGACTCCATGTCTCACTTCCAGGGCACACTGATGCAAAGGTGGATTCCCAAGGACCTGGGCAGCTCTGCCCCTTAGGCTTTGCAGGGTACAGCACCCTGGCTGCTTTCACAGGCTGGTGTTGGGTGCCTGCAGTTTTCTAGGCACACAGTGCAAGCTGTCATTGTATCTACCATTCCAGGGTCTGGAGGACAGTGGTGCTCTTCTCATACCTACATTAGGCAGTCCCCAGTGTGGATTCTGTGTGGAGGCTCCAACCCCACATTTCCTCTCCACATTGCCCTAGTAGAGGTCCTCCATTAGGGCTCCACTCTTGCAACAGGTTTCTGCCTGGACAGCTTTTCCATACATCCTCTGAAATCTAGACAGAAGATCCCAAGCCTCAACTCTTGCACTCTGTGCACCTGCAAGCTTAACACTACATGGAAGCCACCAAGGATTGTGGCTTGTGGCTTGTTCCCTCTGAAGCAGCAGCCCAAGCTGTACCTGGGCACCTCTGAGTCACAGCTGGAGCTAGAGTAGCTGGGATGTGAGAAGCAGTGTCTCAAGGCTGCGCAGGGAAGCACGGCCCTGGGCCTGGCTCATGAAACCATTTTTCCCTCCTATGTCTCTGGGCCTATGATGGGAGAGGCTGCCGCAAAGGTCTCTGTAATGCCTTGGAGGCCTCTTTCCCATTGTCTTGGCTATTAACATTTGGCTCTTCTTTACTTATGCAAATTTCTGCAGCCAGCTTGAATTCCTCCCCCAGAAAATGGGTTTTTCTTTTGTACCACATTGCCAGGCTGCAAATTTTCCAAACTTTTATGCTCTGCATCCCTTTTAAATATAAGTTCCAATTTCAAGTCAATTCTTTGCTCACCCATGTGAGTTTAAGCTGTTAGAAGCAGCCAGGTTATTTATTGCACACTTTGCTCCATAGAAATTTCTTCTGCTAAATACCCTAAATCATCACTCTCAAGTTTAAAGTTCCACAGATCCCTAGAACAGGGGCACAATGCTGCCAGGTTCCTTGCTAATGCATAACAAATGTGACTTTTGTTCAAGTTCCCAATAAGTTCCTCATTTGAGACTTTCTCAGCCATCTGAGACTTTCTCAGCCTAGATATCACTGTCCATATCACTATCAGCATTTTGGTCACAACAACTTAACAGGTCTCTAGAAAGTTCCAAATTTTTTCTTATCTTCCTGTCTTCTGAGCCCTCCACACTCCTCCAACCTCTGCCCATTACCCAGATCCAAAGTCGCTTCCAAATTTTCAGGTATCTTTATAGCAATGCCCCACTTCTCAATACCAATTTTCTATATCAGTCCATTCTTATCCTGCTATACAGAAATACCTGAGACTGGGTAATTTATACACAAAAGAGGTTAAATTGGCTCATGGTTCCACAGGCTGTACAGGAAGCATGGCAGCATCTGCTTCTGGGGGAGGTATCAAGGAGCTTTTACTCATGGTGGAAGGCAAAGCTGAAGCATACATCTTCACGTGGCCAGAGCAGGGGAAAGAAAGAGCGAGAGGGGAGGTGCCACACACTTCTAAACAAGTAGATCTCATGAGAACTCTATCAGGAGAACAGCACCAAAAAGGGTAGTGCTAAGCCATTCATGAAGGATCTACCCCCATGATCAAATCATCTCCTACTAGGCCCCATCTCCAACACTGGGGATTACTAATGAACATGGGATTTGAGTGGGGACACAAATCCAAACCATATCAGCTGGGACAAATTAAGCTGTCTTATATAAGGCAAATTCCAGAAAGCAGCACCACAGTAATCAGTCTTAACTCTACCCAAGATGAAAAGATACTAGAATATCCCCCAGATGAGCTCTGTTTACTCCCCTTGTGGAAGAAAGGCCAAAAAGTCTTCAGAAAGACAGCTGAAGTTCTCAAATAGTAACAGCCACACCTGTCTAGACATTAATAGAATAATCTTCAAATTGACCACTTTGAACAGCATCATGGAGGAGATGTTAATTGGATAAGAAAACAAGAAGCTATGGAAAGGGCTAGGACACCCAGAATGGGAAGGCATGGCTTGGGAGATACCCTGCTTAGACTTTCATGTGGACTGTATTTATTGTTCCTTATTCCACATCTTAATCCATGCTCTATGGCTGGAGTGGCTTATTAGGAAGGATGAAAATGAGAGGAGTTAGTTAATGAGCTCTTAGAGACAGCATGATCATCCATTTCTAGATAATCAAAGACTGATAAGACTGGACCTGACTTTTTAGCAAAGGACCTAAGAGTTTTGAGGTGGAAAATCCTAAGACATATTGAATTAAAATGGAACATGGTGGTTCATCTGAAATTTGCCCTTTAAATCTCAAATTGAAATTATAAATGTAACTGCTCTGTGAATTCACAAATTCTGCTTCTGACAACATGTTCTCTTTACTACTTCTCGTCTACCCTGAGATTTATTAATTTATCATACCTGGGCCTACACAGCCTCTCTGCTATAGTCTTACTGCAGACTAATTGAGACCTAAATGTGGCAAGGAGAAAATCCCTAGATGTGGAGAATCTGGTCTTATCCCTCATTTTCCAGGTGAAGAAACTCAATGATGAAGTAATTTTCCCAAGGTTATTCAACAAGTAAGTCCCATCTTAAGCCTAAGCTTCTCCACTTTGAATTTACCAACCCTTCTATATCAAGAAAGAATAAATATTTCTGTTTCCTATTTCTGAACCTTTTTAGTGGGATATTACAGCATGAGATGGTGACATTTCATAACAACATTTGAAGGATTTGCTATTAGTCTGGTAATGGAAAACATGCTAATGAATATATATGTATATATACATATATAATTGAGAACTCAGCAACTTGGTAGACAAGTAGAACAGACAAGAAGCACATGGGAAACCTCCAGTCATAAAGAGTATTTTCTGAGCAAAACAGAAACTCATTCTTCCCCACAGCAACCACCATGTGGAGAGAACTTCAGAATCCACCTGGGCATCCAAGAGGCAGTTGCTGAGTTTATCTACAGTGTCTCTAGGACCCTAGGGCATCTCATACAAGCAGAAAAGGGGGAGAAGCAGGTCCTAAAACTGTGGCTGCAGGAACAATTTGCTTTTGCATTTGAAGTGGACTGCTCCCTTACCAGGCAGAAACAGAGCTGTCTCACACAAAGAAAGAGTTGGTTCACAAAAGAGATAATTAATAAATGAGCTGTGCTGGGTTTTGTGTTTTGATTGTTGTTTCTTGGGCTTAATACCGTTTGAAGCAATAAGCAATGGTGAAAGAATTCTATGCGGACAGGTCATTCTCATCTTTGGCCACACTCCTCTTCATTGGTTGGAGGGTATACAACACCTATTTCTGAGGGTTATAAAAGGAATCAAATTAGGCAAGATATGGATTTGCTCACTGGCCACATGCAAGGCACAGTATTTCTCACTCTGAAAGATATAAAGATGAGTTCAATGGGAATTCTGCTCTTGAGAACTTATAGTTTGATGAGAGAGTCAGGCTGCACAAATAGTTAGCTGTATCACCAGGAAGAAAGTGATGGCATGAGATAAAGGATAAAGGACTAGGGAGATACAAGGGAGAATGTATTTCTAACATGAAGAATCATGGCCAGGCACGGTGGCTTATGCCTGTAATCCCAGCACTTTGGGAGGCCAAGGTGGGTGGATCACCTGAGGTCAGGAGTTCAAGACCAGCCTGACCAACATGGTGAAACCCCGTCTCTACTAAAAATACAAAAACTAGTCGGGCATGGTCCATGCACCTGTAGTCCCAGCTACTCAGGAGGCTGAGAGAGGAGAATCACTTGAACCCAGGAGGCAAGGAGGCAGAGGTTGCAGTGAACCGAGATCATACCACTGTACTCCAGCCCGGGTGACAGAGAGAGACTTCATCTCAAAAAAAAAAAAAAAAAAAAAAAAAAAAAAAAAAAAAAAAAGAATCAAGGAGAATCCATGTTTTTAGAGGCAAAGACATTTTAGTTGGGCCTATCCTAATGACCTCATTTTAACTTGATCGTCTGCAAAGATTCTGTTTCCAAATAAGGTCACATGCTCATGTACTGGAGGTTAGGACTTCATCCTTTTGGAGGGATCAATTCAACCCAAAGTGGTAAGTATGTATATCTTCTGGAAATGTGACACTATGTTCTAAGGGGCTATACTATTGGAGTCATAGGGTAAGGCCACAATTGTGTGAATGAAGGTGGATTCTCTACTGAAGGAAGAAGATAATATACTGATTAGGCATCTTTGTAAAATATGGAAACAGAAAATGGGGAATACAGGCCTGGATTGGGGTTAGTTCCTCTGTCTGGACTTTGACTTCGGCC
This sequence comes from Homo sapiens, assembly GCF_000001405.40. NCBI lineage: Eukaryota > Metazoa > Chordata > Mammalia > Primates > Hominidae > Homo > Homo sapiens. Next base: position 114,241,770 of record NC_000003.12, on the reverse strand, counting down.
TAGACACTGTGGAATTGAGGCATGTGTGAGATGTTTCTGGGTGGTAGAGAAAAACTGGCCTCTTCCTAAAATGGTGGTGAAGAGAATGGGCTCTGAGCAGAAGGGAGCTGTATGGAGGCCAGCTGAATGGACTGGGAACTGAGGACTCCAAGAACAGCCCTATCTAGTAGCCAGTTGTTATTCTTTATATGAACGTCCCTCTGTGATCCCCAGCCCTAAGAAAAGTCTTGTTAAAGCCACAGTTTGGTCTAACACTAGAGAGTTTATGTTCATGCCTGGATTACAGTGATAAGGGGAAGTCCATGGGTGTGTCCAAGGACCAAAAATTGCAGGTGAGAGTCTATAGTCACATTGGTTAAGTCATCCACAGGATTCCTTGTGAGAAACCCCCTGAGAATTTCCAGAGAGCAGACTCTGGGCATTGTTACTGATATGATCTAATTCGTACCAACTTTTTGCTGAGATAGTCACATTACTTACAAGCTTTGCTACTGACAGCTCAAATGAGAGAAATTTTTTTTATCATTTTTAGGAGCTGTTTTATATCATTAAAACCATATGCTGAAAGACAAATTCATTAAAGAAAAAAATAGACATTTCCAAGAAATAAAACTAATGCATTTTGTAACCGCCCACATGATCATGGTTAGATTGCATGTATTTAGTGATCAGCTTTCTTTAACTCTTTTTTTTTTCTCAAGACAGAGTCTTGCTCTGTTGCCCAGGCTGGAGTGCAGTGGCACCATCTTAGCTCACTGCAACCTCCGACTCCCAGATTCAAGTAATTCTCCTGCCTCACCCTCTTGAATAGCTGGGATTACAGGCACGTACCACCACGCCCAGCTAATTTTTGTATTTTTAGGAGAGATTGGGTTTCGCCATGTTGGCCAGGCTGGTCTCAAACTCCTGACCTTGTGAACCGCCTGCCTTGGCCTCCCAAAGTGCTAGAATTACAGGCCTGAGCCACCGCGCCCAGCTCTTTAACTCTTAAAAATAAGCACAACAGAGACCAGGAATGACACTTTGAGAACCACTGCTGGAGAGAACTTCACCATCAAATGTGCAGCGTCCTAAGAATGATGAAGGCACTGTCCCTGGCAAGACAGTTCAGAACCGATTCAGAAGAGCTCATGCATAGCAGCCTAAGTCATTGCCATCCACTATTGCCTCCCATCTTGGGGAGACTCTTGCTGTCTGGATAACACAGCTGAGCCTTCTGCCTTGTATTGTGACTGTACTGATTTGTTCCAAATACTTTGGGTGAGAAAACTCTGTTGGATTTTTCAGTTAGCATGTCTGCCTGCTCTTTTATTTCTCTGACCCCAATATTTATATCTTATAAAACTAATCAAGCTGGTGATACCAGTAAAATTTCACACTACACACATTCTTAATTATGAAACATTAGAAGAATTTTTTTTAATCAGCAAAATGAAAATGGCATTTGATAGCACCTCTTCTTTTCAATATAGTAGATAGAGGTTCTGGCCAGCACAGAAGAAAGAAAAATAAAACAAAGTATAAGTATTTGCTAAAAGTCAACGTGCCAGGCCACCTCACTGGGAGAACTGCAATATCAGCGTCTTTGGGTCTCTCCTCTTGAGCTGATTAGATTCTGAGAGAGGAACATTCCAAACAGCTGCTATGACGAGCAAAGAGGGGTGGAGTGAGGGGTCCATATGTCAGTGACCATCAGTTCTCTTCTTCAGTATTCGCCAGAACTGTCCAATTTGCTTCTCATTCCCTGGTTCCAAGATCCTCTCTTCACTTTAAAAACCAGCTGCATTTTGGGAAGGGGAGGGCAGTGGATCAGGGTCTTGCTCAAAGCTCAAGCCACTGCCACCAATCTCCATATGATGGCTTCCACTCCTCACCAGCTCCAGAGCGATTTGGTGCTGTTACACCCTTCATTTTTGAGGATTCTGCAACATAAACTGTGATGCTTCCCTGGCTCCCCTGGGAGAAGTACTGGACGGCAGCAGTCCCAGGCGGCTGAACAATGTTGTATTCTGTGTAGCGGCCATCCTCTTTCCTGAACTCTCTCCAGGTGTTTGCTAATGTGAGCATTCTGGAACACATTTCCTGGTACATGTGGGAAAGCTTTGTTTTGGAAAGACCTTTAGGACATAGGACCAAACTTTTCCAAAGTGATTTTACTAATTACAGAACCATCCACAACATAAAAGAGATCCTGAATTTCCATGTCTTCTCCACACTGAGTATTTTGACTGGATTGACTTTAATGGCCAGCCCCTTGGTACAGTTTATCGTGGGGTCAGCGGGTAAAATTAAGTGATAAGTGGGACACACTCTCTCCACGCCCTGCATGAACAGGTTCCTTACATGTATGTTCTTATGTGCACGTTTGTGCGCAAGCTTGCAGGTCGCCCCGACCCAACCGGCATCAACTTCCATTTAGAATAATTGAGGGTTAAATTCCCAGGAATTAAAAAATGAAACTGAGGCCTCTGAGACTTGTAGTTCGGCTGGCGGAGGCTGCACGCGGCTCTCTGGTATCTGTAGTCGGAAGTACTCTCTGCATATGCGGATGCAGGTGCCGCGTGGCTTTTGTCTTGCTCCATTGCAGCGACATCCGAGGCAGTGGTGCAGGACATGTCCATGATCTTAACCTGGAAGAAGTGGGAGCAGCTGGACCAGCCCCAGAGGACCCCGTACTGGGAGGTGACACCAGAGACCTGCAGACCACTCGTCACGGGGGCATGCAAACCACAGTTGACCTACTAGCTGAAGCAGTGATAAAAGAGCAGAAAATACCTTTGCTAAAGCTGCTGTCCAGGTGACAAAGTAAAAGCCAAAGCCAGCCAGCCTTGTCCTAGGGAGCCTTGCTCCTGGAAAGACTAACTCAGGGAGCCAGAAGTTCCTCCAGGTTGAGGTGAGTGAGGGAAAGAGTGGTTGTGAGAGGTGACAGCGTGCTGGCAGTCCTCACAGCCCTCGCTCGCTCTCGGCGCCTCCTCTGCCTGGGCTCCCACTTTGGCGGCACTTGAGGAGCCCTTCAGCCCACTGCTGCACTGTGGGAGCCCCTTTCTGGGCTGGCCAAGGCCGGAGCCGGCTCCCTCAGCTTGCAGGGAGGTGTGGAGGGAGAGGAAAGAGCGGGAACCCGGGCTGCACGCGGCACTTGCGGGCCAGTTGGAGTTCAGAGTGGGCATGGGCTTGGCGGGCCCCACACTCGGAGCAGCCGGCCGGCCCTGCCGGCCCCAGGCAATGAGGGGCTTAGCACCCGGGCCAGCGGCTGCGGAGGGTGTACTGGGTCCCCCAGCAGTGCCAGCCCACCGGCGCTGCACTCGATTTCTTGCTGGGCCTTAGCTGCCTTCCCGTGGGGCAGGGCTCGGGACCTGCAGCCCGCCATGCCTGAGCCTCCCACCCCCTCCGTGGGCTCCTGTACGGCCCGATCCTCCCCGATGAGCGCCGCCCCCTGCTCCACGGCACCCAGTCCCATCGACCACCCAAGGGCTGAGGAGTGCGGGTGCATGGCGCAGGACTGGCAGGCAGCTCCACCTGCAGCCCCGGTGCGGGATCCACTGGGTGAAGCCAGCTGGGCTTCTGAGTCTGGTGGGGACATGGAGAACCTTTATGTGTAGCTCAGGGATTGTAAATACACCAATCAGCACCCTGTGTCTAGCTCAGGGTTTGTGAATGCACCAATGGACACTCTGTACCTAGCTACTCTGGTGGGGCCTTGGAGAACCTTTATGTCTAGCTCAGGGATTGTAAATACACTGATCAGCACTCTGTATCTAGCTCAAGGTTTGTAAACACACCAATCAGCACCCTGTGTCTAGCTCAGGGTTTGTGAATGCACCAATCTACACTCTGTATCTAGCTACTCTGGTGGGGCCTTGGAGAACCTTTATGTCTAGCTCAGGGATTGTAAATACACCAATCGGCACTCTGTATCTAGCTCAAGGTTTGTAAACACACCAATCAGCACCCTGTGTCTAGCTCAGGGTTTGTGAATGCACCAATGGACACTCTGTATCTAGCTACTCTGGTGGGGACTTAGAGAACCTTTATGTCCACACTCTGTGTCTAGCTAATCTAGTGGGGACGTGGAGAACCTTTGTGTCTAGCTCAGGAATTGTAAACACACCAATCAGCGCCCTGTCAAAACAGACCAGGCCTCTACCAATCAGCAGGATGTGGGTGGGGCCAGATAAGAGAATGAAAGCAGGCTGCCGGAGCCAGCAGTGGCAACCCGCTGGGGTCCCTTTCCACACTGTGGAAGCTTTGTTCTTTCGCTCTTTGCAATAAATCTTGCTACTTCTCACTCTTTGGGTCCACACTGCTTTTACCAGCTGTAACACTCACCGCAAACGTCTGCAGCTTCACTCCTGAAGCCAGCGAGACCACGAGCCCACCGGGAGGAACGAACAACTCCAGACGCGCCGCCTTAAGCCTTAAGAGCTGTAACACTCACCACGAAGGTCTGCAGCTTCACTCCTGAGCCAGCGAGACCACGAACCCGCCAGAAGGAAGAAACTCCGAACACATCCGAACATCAGAAGGAACAAACTCTAGACGCGCCACCTTAAGAGCTGTAACACTCACCACAAGGGTCCGCGGCTTCATTCTTGAAGTCAGTGAGACCAAGAACCCACCAATTCCGGACACAGTTGGAAATGCAGAAGGGCACTTGAGTTTGGCTGCAGTCTCCCACACGGAGACCTTCTGGAGGAAGATGAGCCCTAAACGCGATGGGTTGGGGACAGGTGATGGTCTGCACTCACAGGTTTTACAGGAGCAGGTCTCCACAGGAGACAATCTCCATGAATGTGACTCCCAGGGACCAAGTAAAGACACTTTGGTTCGTGAGGGGAAGACCTACAAATGCAAGGAATGTGGGAGCGTGTTTAACAAAAACAGCCTCCTTGTTCGACATCAGCAGATTCACACTGGGGTGAAGCCTTATGAATGCCAGGAGTGTGGAAAAGCCTTTCCTGAAAAGGTCGACTTCGTTCGACCCATGAGGATTCACACAGGGGAGAAGCCCTGTAAGTGCGTGGAGTGCGGGAAGGTCTTCAACCGCAGGTCGCACCTCCTGTGCTACCGCCAGATTCACACTGGAGAGAAGCCCTATGAGTGCAGCGAGTGTGGAAAGACCTTCAGCTATCACTCTGTCTTCATCCAGCATCGTGTGACCCACACTGGAGAAAAACTCTTTGGGTGCAAAGAATGTGGAAAAACCTTTTACTACAACTCTTCCTTAACCCGGCACATGAAGATTCACACTGGAGAGAAGCCCTGCAAGTGCAGTGAGTGCGGGAAGACCTTCACCTACCGCTCTGTTTTCTTCCGACATAGTATGACCCACACTGCAGGAAAGCCCTACGAGTGCAAAGAATGTGGGAAAGGTTTTTACTACAGCTATTCCCTCACTCGACATACAAGGAGTCACACTGGAGAGAAACCTTATGAGTGCCTTGAACATAGAAAGGACTTTGGCTACCACTCTGCTTTTGCCCAACAGAGTAAGATCCACTCTGGAGGAAAAAACCTTTGAGTGCAAATGATGTGGGAATTTGTGGGTTTTCTTTTTTTTTTTTTCTTTGATACATAGAGAGCCACACTGAGGAGAAGCACTCTGAATTCAGTGGCAGTAGGAAAGCTGTGACCTGCAGCTCATCCTCACTTGGCATTGAAGAATTCCTTCCAGAGATAAACTCTATGAGATATGTGGGAAGGCCTTTTGCAAGTGGGCCCACATCAGTCAACGTCAGAGAACTTAAACTGCGAAAAGACATTTTGACAAAAACTAGTGAAGAAAATCTTTTGGCCACAGGAAATATCTTCCTCAGCATCTGAGAATTTTTCCAGGAGGGAGACCTGTTGGTTATTGTGCACTTAAAAGAACCACCCACACCTCTCTCCATAGTTTATATCACTAAGCCACTTCAGGATTTTTTTTTTTTAAGTAAGAAGGGAACTGTAAAAGAGAAAAAAAGAAATTCATGCATAGCTTCTGTCAGACTTCTCTGAAAGCCATGCCTATCAAAATTTGAATTCAGTTCTTCATTTTGCAGATGGCTGAAAGGTACAAAGGCCTTGCCTCGTTATTTGTCCTTTATATGTATTCACTCCTGTCTACAGGAGAATTGTCCTCTGTAAAGATTAACTCTGTAAAGATTTATTGAATGCATTCTTTGTTCTAAAACATTGTACTCCTGAGGAATGTAAGTCTTTGTGAGAAATATGAACGCTTAAGTAATGGAATATGTGAAACTTGTAAGAACGTAGAATATAAAAATACTGCCATATAAAATCCTTTCATATCTGAGGAGGTAAGTAACCACATTGAATGGGCATATTTTGCTACATCATTTAAGACTACTTAAGGCTTTAATTTAACAAAAAACAATTCTTCATGTGGTTTTGAACACCCAGTGCTCAATATACTTGTTTGTTTTGATTTATTTTCTCAGGGACGAGAGAATGATGGTGAAGCTGTGTTGCTTTCCCAGGTGAGCCTTGATTATTTCCTCTGTGCTTTCTCAGCTTCTTTGGCCTTCTGTAAGAGGGGCTTCTCCAAGAGCATGTCACTAGTTTTCTAGAAGTTAAACAAGAGCTAAGACAAACAAAACAAAACACAGCTTATCTAATCTAATGAGAAACTCAGAAAAAAATGTTTTGATGAATACAATGTATTAAAATATAAAACATGTAGATCCTTTGACATGTTAATTCAATTCTAGAAATCCTCAGAAATGTTTTTATATTATGCAGAGATGTGCGTGCAAAGAATAATCGCTGCAGTTTTGTTTTTATGTGTGAAACGTTGAGAACAATCTAAATGTTTATCAGTTGGAAGTAAGTTATGGTACATCTGTTCTATGAAATACTGTGAAACAATAAGGTATCTCTGTATGTACTGATATCAAAACATCTCTAAGATACAGTATTTAGTAAAAGAGAAAGTTTCAGGAAATAAAACTACATCTAGAAGTATAAGCATAAAACTGTTAATAGTGGTTTTCTGCAGGAAATGGGATGGACCAGGGTTATATGCAATGTTCAGTTTTTACTTTTATACTTAAGTATTGTTTATGTTTGAAAAATAAAAAGCATTTATTGTTTTTGCAATAAATGTTTAAAATATTTCAATAAAGATAGCATGTTAGAATAAAAGTGACTTCTATTATTTCTTAAAAAGCGTACATTTTACAGGGTGTTTTTTTTTAAGTCCTGGTCTTATTATGCCTTAAAAAAAATAACAGACCAAGGATCCAGAGCTACCTAATCACATTTAATAAATGATAATATAATTTTTTTGTTTGCTTGTTTGTTTGTTTGTTTTTGAGATGGAGTCTCACTCTGTCACCCAGGCTGGAGTGCAGTGGCGCATGTCGGCTCACTGCAACCTCTGCCTCCTGGGTTCAAGTGATTCTCTTGCCTCAACCTCCCAAGTAGCTGGGACTACAGGCACCCGCCACCATGCCTAGCTAATTTTTTGTATTTTTAGTAGAGATGGGGTTTCACCGTGTTAGCCAGGATGGTCTCGATCTCCTGACCTCATGATCCACCCACCTCAGCCTCTCAAAATGCTTACAGGCGTGAGCCACTGCACCTGGCTGATAATAGTTTTAAAATGATGAGCCAGCATATATATAGTTGAATACATGTAAAAATGAGAGTTCAGCATAGGCTGCTCTTCAATGAACATTCATTTCCTTTAAACTGCTGGTAACATAAATGCTCTTTTGCAAGTGGTTAAGTTTTAGATGGCTGATTTCTATTTCCCTGGATTTGATCACAAGAAAGCACCAAACTGGTATTGATGTCAATGTATTTTGTACACACATTTGCTAGCCACAGTTGATTTGTGTTTGCTACTGAATGAATGTGATCTGGTTAGCTTTGTGATATACGTTCGTGTTCCAAATGAAGAGAACTATAGCTGCATTTTTCCCAACATAATCGTGCCATGCAGTCAGACCTGTTTTCCAGTAAAGAAAATGAGTTTGATATCTGCAGATCATATCTTACAATTTGCTGTGTTCTCCCTCACAAAATATGTGAACATTTGTTAGCATCATTTCATTTAGGAATCATATACCATCAGAAATATTTTCCCTATTAGAAATAAACAGGGAGTGCAATTTTCATATAAACAAACCTGTAACCCGCTGGTAAAACTCTGTTCATGCTTTTCAGTTGTAGTACTTGGCCCAAAAATGTTGCACCGCCATCTGGGGCAATTTTGTGAGCGTTATTCTCTTCTTTAGCAAGAGAAGTTGACAGCTGTGCCATGATATAAGTAGATTCTGTCCATTTGGGGTCAGTTCCTGGAAGTGGACTGTGAGTAAGATGACCTTATTGGCTTAGGAGGAGAAGATGTCACCTTGGGAAGATCTCTTTTCTGTGAGAGTCATTGAGTAGTCTCTCATGTAAGTCTAGACTGAGCAGGCTTCACTGTCCTGGGAGAGATGAATGCAAGACCTTTGTTGTTTGCTGTGGTTTTAAAACTCTGCCTCTACTACCACCTCCTCAAGTGCAATGAGACTAACAGAACTACAGGGTCCTGTTGAGCCCAGGAGCTGCATGGAATGGTGGCAGTCACTTTGCTAGTGCAGTGGGCATGAATCAGACTGCAAGCTAGAGGAACAAGGCATCAGTCAGGAAGAGGGGATGCACGGCTAGGCTTGAGCCCTCTTCATCCAGATGTCCCCAGACTCCCCAGCACAGGCCCAGCATAAAGGCCGTGTGGGGGTGACCCCCCTGACCCAAGGGGGACTTCATGTGCCACATGCAGGCAGAGCTGTCTCCATCCTCAGAGCCAGAGGCTGGCCCTTCACAGCCTCCAGTCAGGCAGGGGGCCCTCCGGGGTGGCCTGCTCATGGACTACAGCCCAGCAAGTGGGGGGGGGGCAGGGGGCAGTGACATCCCCCAGGCTCTACCAGGTATTTATCTTTTCCCCTCCAGCTGGTGCCTCTGAGCTTCACAGGGCCCAGAAGCGACCAGCCCCACCCACTAAGGGTCCTCAGGAGCTGGAGAGGGGCCCTGGGCTGGGGGCCAGAGAGGGACTACCCCCTGAAGAACCATCTTCTGTAGGGCTATTGGGCCCAGGGGGACTGGGGCTGGGAGTAGGTGTGTCCAGCCACCATTTCTCCCACCGTGGCCTCTGTGTTGTGGAACAGGGAAGTAGTGCCACCTCTTCTTGGACTTCAGGGGCCTGGAGTCCCTCCTGGCCCCGATCATATGCTTCCTGAAATACTTTACACACCAGAGACTAGGCTTTCCCAGACCCAGGGGGACAGGGGTCCCTAGGGGAGTCCCCAGGGCCAGCCCTCTGGGCCAGCTACACACGCTGGACACTGATTTGCAGTTTTGCACAAATAAGGGGTAAGAGCCCAGTGGCTAGGGTGGGCAAGAGGGGGAGCCTCTGGCCTAGGGAGTCCCCTGGCATTGACAGTGGGCACAGTCCCAAGCACACACCCCCAGCCCTGGACCTCCAGGCCCCTGCCCCACCAAGCAAAGGCTGCTTCTGCTGGAGAAGCCCCAAATGTCAGTTCTAAGGAAGAGGGTCCAGCCCTTTGGACGTGCCAGGGAACCCTGGGCCACCCTACTGCTACCAACAGTTCTGATGCTCAAACCACACCCATCTGGAGCCACCTGCTGCCTGGGCCCAAGGAGCCTGTTTTGGACCCAACAGACTGCAGTCCCATGGGGCGGAGGCTGACAGGTGCCCATCACCTGAAGCTGAGCCCACTTTGAAGCCTCTGGAAGGGGCCAGGCCTGCTGAGCCCCCGTAGTGCCTCCCCTGTTCCTACCCCTGCTATCAGCTGTACCCTGCTGGGCAACTTTGAGGAATCATTGCTGCAAGGACGCTTTGCACCATCTGGCCACATTGAGGGCTTCACAGCAGAGACTGGAGCTAGTGGGTCCTACTGCCCCCACCATGTCACACTGCCTGTCACTGTCACCTTCTTTGAGGTTTCTGAGCAAAATGCCCCCACCCACTTCCTGGGCTTTGTGGATCTGAACCTCCTGGGGAGGAAGAGTTACAGCGTGCCCAAAGTGGGCACCACACAAGTAACATTTAACCCCAACCAGACTGTGGTGAAGATGTTCCTGGTGACCTTTGACTTCTTGGACATGGCTGCTGCCACATGCCCTTATTGTGCCATTGCCTCTTTTTGGTGCCTGTGGGTGAGGAGAAAAATGCTAACCCCACCTACTGCCTCCTCTGCTACTCGCTGCACCTTGGGTTCTGGAGCTCCCGCTCAGGCCTCTTAAGCCTGAATGGAGATCTCTGCCAGCTTTTTTCCTGCTAGAGCCTGGAGCTGGACGCAGGGCTCCCCTGCGAACTTCAGGCTGTGACTGGGGCCCCTCTTAACCCACGTTATTCACTTTTGCCCTGATTGCCATTACTCTGAACCAATGTGGATCAATGACCTGCCCATCTTGTCCATCCCATAGATGGAGAGATGGCAAGAGACCCTTCAGGCTCGAGTTAAAGCCCTCACCATGCTCATGCCTAGATTGATCATTTGGGTATTTAGAGCTTCTGATCCTTACTACAACCTGCCCTACTTCAGGTCCTCCATGTGCCTGTCCCCTCCCTTGGTTCTCCCAGTCCAGCTTAGGTAGTAGGGAGGAACCAGAGCCACCCTGAGGTTATCCCAAGTTCCCAGGGAAGTCATGCCAGCGTTGCCTCCCTGTCCTGAAAAAGAACCATTTATTATTTTATTTATTTTTAATTTATAACTTATTCAAATTGGATTGACTTAGTAACCTCCCACACCTGATCATTGGCGTCACCCCTTTTCCTTTCCCACTCTCAGATATTGCTCCAACCTCAGGAGTTGAAGAGGCTTATGCAGGGGAGCAGAAGGAGAACTGCTCTCCCTCAGCTGAGGGAAGAGGGGTTATTCCAGAGGGACTGAGTCAGTAGCCAAAGCTTCAGCTTGCCTTGTCCTTCCCCTAGTCCCTTCACTTCCCCTACCCTCTGACCTAGCTCTGAAAGCCAAATTATATGTATGCATGTGTGTACAAGCTTGTCTTTGTGTGGTATGTGTGAGAAAGAGAGTGTGCATGTATGCACACACACAGAGGTTAACCACCCCTCACCTACAGTTCCAGACTCCAGTTGTCCCTTTCCTCCTACCTGTGTCTCCTTACTTTGGGGTGTGACTGAGGAAGGTGTCCAGGAAGCAGAGTCAGGTCCAAGGACTGGGGTGCCTCCTTTCACCTGGCCAGACTCTGACCCACCTACCTCATCTGGGCTAAGGGGCAACTCTCAGACTCAGTCATGTGGCTCCCAACTATCCCATCCCCCACTCCAGACTCTGACCCAGCCTCAGTCCTGACTCCTGGGGCTGGGCTGAGGGGAACAAGCATTTGCTGAAACTTGAAAAAACAGAAACAGGAAAAAATTGTACCTGGTACTTTTTTTAGAAAAAAAATTTTTTTTAAAGAAAGAATAAATTCTTGTTTGGAAACTTGAAAAACAAAAACAAAAAAAGACAAAACTACAAAAAAAAAAAAAAACCTGCCTCTACTCTTTGAAAGCAGGTGGCCACTCTAAGACATTGGGACAGTAATTCTGCATCTGGGGGTAGTGGAGGTAGTTGATGTGACCCACTGCTTCCTGGGAGGTTATAATTGTCACTCAAGAAGGTTATAAATTAAGAGACCCCAAATGGGGTCTCACTGTGATTATGCAATGATCTGGATTTGTTAGAGAGACCTTGTAGTAAACAAATATCCATGGAATTTTTCAAGGCAAAATTCAACTGCAATACACATGGCAGTGAAAAAAGTAACTGCACCGGGTGGTATAAACTGACTAAATTTCATCTCCCTCTACATCTCACATTGGAAGGAGATCAACCTGCTTTGGAGTAAGTGTTCTTGGACAATTCAATTAAAGGGCATGGGAACCCTCATAAGAAGATGCTGAACTTCAGGATAAGGAGGCATAGGAGACCACTTATGTGGTTAACTGCAAAAATAGGGAAAATGTCCATATTTAAATTCCAAGTTTGTGGGGCAATTCATTCCAGTTACAGGTGAAAAGGCATTTTCCTAAAGCTAATAAAACATAGTCATTTGGGGCATGTAATTCTTTAGCTATGACATTTGGCTTGTTAAATATTTTCCAATGAAGGATTTTGAATGTATATCTCTCCTTTAATTTTCATTAATGATGTTGAGAAGTAAGCTATCAGTTTATTGTCATTTCTTTATAGGTAATTTTTCTTTTCTGTATCTTCTTTTGCAATCTATTTATCTTTCATATTCTATAATTTCAATATGGTGTGTCTAAGTGTGATTTTCTAATTTATCCTGCTTGGTGCTCATAAGGATTTCTGAATCTCAAGATTTCTTTATTTCTCCAATTCTGAAAATTTTTCATACACGATAACTTTGAATATGAGTCTCTCCCATTATCTCCATTATTACTCTCTGTAGATATATATTACAACCTCTCACTTTATCTTCCCTTTCTCTTACCTTCCATATTTTCAATCTCTTTGTTCCTCTATGCATTCAGAGTAATTACTTCATATCTACCTTCTAGTTCATTAACTCTCTTTTCACCTGTGTAACTGAAATTTTTAAATTCCAGTGGTTGTATTTTTTATTTCTGCAGGTTCTAATTGGTTCTTTTTTAAAAATCGGCTTGATAGTTTCTTATACTTTCAATACCTCTTTTATATTTTATACTCAACATCACTAATACCTGAAGTTTCTACAGGCCTGATTCTTGATGTTTCTTTTGATTACCCCCCACCTCCCCGTGACATCTTGTTTCCTCCTTTATTTTGTGATTTTTATTTTTGAGCCTATATTAATTGAAATTATATCTTAGGAATTTTTTGAGGCTTGGAATCAAGGTGCATGCCTTCAGGAGAGTTTGTGTTTGCCCTTACCAGGCACCTGGAGACACAGTGTAACCCAGAATATTTTGAATTATCAGCTTAGGATTTCTCAGCTTATATAAGCAATGGGAATTCTAGACTTAAATCCAGTGGGAGTAACTCACTGTTATGAATCTTTCAGGAGAAATTTATCCTTCCCACCATCCCAAGGGTAATTGTATTTACTGGACTGCTCTTGAGGGGCACTTTAGTTCCTATTTCCTTTTTTCACAGAAGATGTCACCTTTTAGGAGAGCCAGCTTTCAGTCTTTAATCCTATTTCCCACCTTGCTTAGAACCTGAGATTTGTCTCCTCTCTCCCAAATATGGCTTTCTCTGTATTTGTGCTTTCTTGTCATTTTTGGCCTCTAAAAATTTTCCTTTCTTGCCAATAAAACTATGCATTTTTTAAAATATATAATTTTTTCCAACTTTACTTTCTTTTTTAGGTGCTTTGCACCAGAAGGATTTTTTTAATATCTAGTATTCATATTGCCAGAAACAGAACTTCTATTTTTCATTTAGTTAGCTATATCAAGTTTCCCTAGCCTTTTGAATTAAACCAAATGGGAAACTTTAACAGGGAAGGATTGACAGACAGGTTTGCCAACTTTTTATTTCATAAAATAACAATAACCCAAAAAAAAGCAAAAAAAAAAAAACCAAAAACCCTCCTACTTTTACCATCATTCCATAATGGAATGTTGAGGAGACATAACAGAAGTGGCCTTTAATTTAAATTTACTTTATTCCACACATTGCAAAAATTGGTGACAACTTTGTCACAGACTATCATTGGTCCAGGAACTGGCATTTGGGAACCACTGAGCTATGTCACATGCCATGAAGGTCAGTCTATCTGATAGTATACTCACTATAGGATCTATTAACTAGAGGTGCTAACCACCACCATCACGCCAATGGCCAGACGAGCTAATGCCATTAAATTTACTTGTTTGCAGTTGAACAAATAACTTCCAATTTACAAGAGAAAGAAATAAAGCATGGGAGCTAAAGTTGAAATCTTGAATCTCACCTCTATTTGGGAAAATCATTCAACCTCTTACCCTCAGTTTCTTCATCTGGGATAGCAATACATTACCCATATGGATATTTTGAGGACTAATAGGAAAGTTCGTTGGGATTAATAACTTCTCTATTATTCCCCTCCCTGATAGAATACAAACTAAATTTCCCCCAAAAGGAATAAGCTCCAAACCATATACAGTAGGGCTTTCTTTTCGATATGACTCTAGAACAGGCAGTGTGCCCAATTGGTTCCTTTCTTTCCTACCATGGAGGAAGAAGTTTTGGCCAGCTAAGAACTGTAGGAGAATAAATTTTGCTGGCAAGAGACATAACCTCACCAAAATTTAAACTCCATGGAAGCTGGAACTTTGCTCATAGCTGAATCCTCAGTACCTATTACAGTGCTTGGCACATGTAAATGTTCCATAGATGAATGAGGAATAAGAAATAAATCAGATCCCTACAACAAAATTAGTCACAATAAAACTGCAATCAAAATTACCCAACAGGAGTGGGAACCCTGTGTTCCACTTCACAGTCTTCACCCTCTTCAACCCTCTTCTCCCCGCCTCCCAATTTCCCCTGCCATGCAATGCTTCTCCAACAAGTTCTGCACAGTCCCAGAGGCAGAACCTGGTTTTGGGAGAAAACAGGCAGAATTAAATTCAATATGCAGAACCATCTTTTCAGGGTCCTTGCAATCTGTGCACAAGTCTGTCATGCTATAACTGCTTGTATGGTGCTCACTGGTGGCTCTGAAGACCTTCAGGAGCATCAATCAACTGTACAGAGGATGGTCAGCTACAAGCTATGAATAACAAGACTAATTAGCATTCATTGACCATTTTCATTATGCCAGGCTCTATGCCTGTTTTATATGTATTATCTCACTTCATTCTCAGTGAAACCCAAGGTAGTTACTATTTTCATCCCCATTTTCTAGGTGGTGAATCTGTGGCATAGAAAGGTGAAACAGTTTGTCCAAGGTCACAAAGCTGATTCTCTGCAAAATCCATGCTCTTAACTGTGGCGCTATATAAAATACAGATTTTATAGCACTTCCAAGTCTTTGGCATGGGTTGTATGTAAGCATATTCATATTGTGATGTGAATTTTCTTAAATAAATCTCATTCCTTTTGATTTTCTTACACTGGGATATAACTTGAAAAGATAAATATGAAAAAAGAAAACCAAGTCTAAAAGTGAAAGTAGAGTTTGAAGTGACTAGAGTAAAAAGAACAACACTGCTCTTCCTCCTTCAATTGTCTTCTTCCTCCTCTCTGTATCTCAGTCCTGTCTCTCTTCTTTACCACCATCACCCCTATCTGATATAATATCACTTCTTACCTTCACTACTACTGCAAAGGCTTCCTAACCGATCTGCCTCCACCCACTTTCACCCACCTCCACTGCCCCCCGCACCTGCCACCCCATCCTATCAATACTTCAAGAAAGCAAGCAAGCATAGGATGTTTTAAAAATCACCAGAGCAGTTTTTAAACACTGCCCTCATTATGGCCATCCTCCTGCCTAACACCTTTTTCAATTGCTTTCTCTTACATTCAGGAGAAAAGTGAAAGTCCTTAGCAGGGCCAACAAGGCCTTTCCTGTCCAGGCCCTGCCCCAAGCCTCCAGCCACATGGCCTCTGCCCCTTGTTACTTCTACTTCAGCCCCAGGGCTTGTGTACTTCCTGTTGTCTCTGCCTGACCAGCTCTGCCATCGCTTCTCCACCCAAGGGAGTCTTTCCTATCTTCCAGGATGCTTACCATGACCTTACCTATGCAGAACACCCATGTGCCTGCTGCATGACAGGGGCTCAGTAGATGTAGTTAAGTGAATGAATAAAGGAATGAATTTCTGGTGGTCCACATATCAGGTCTGTGGACACCTAGTTTTAATATTATATCCTCCTGAATGATGAGGCTGGAATTCTTTCACTTTTGGCCTCTGCCATGATTGGCTTAGGATATAGGTCCAACCTGGGCCTGCAGGTGGGTCTCATGACCCAATCCCATCAGGGAAGACAAAAGCCAGGCCTATTCAGAAGGAAAGCTGCTCAGTGAAGTAATCAAATGGAGTGATCTGTGTCTCAGTTAAAATCAACAAGTGACCAGGAAGCCAGGAAGACAGTGGGTGATGCGCATGTGTCCTCATGATTAATGCAGCAACAGGCCAACATCATGACTTCTAGCAGAATTAATTGGAACAACCAGGTGGCCATTCCTGAGTTCCTGCTCTTGAAACGTCAATTGCTTTCTCTGGACACTGAAACTCAGCTGCTTGTCTGAACTCTGTACGCCCATTACGCTTCTCACATCTCCCACTGTACTCCTCATACTCTCTGCCTGACCCTTCCCATCACATCCTCGTGCACACCATGGCTGTCCTTCTCCAGCTTCCACAACCTTTGAAAAAGTAACCAAATTCCCCCAAGTCACCAACCCTCAGGGGCCAGCAGGATCCAATATTCCTTCCCCAAGCCTCTCAGCATATTAACTAAAAGAGTGGCAGTTAAGTATGTTTTTTGGGCTTCAAATCTGGTTAGAATCTAGAAAGGATATGGTCCTGTTGCAGATACTATGATTGGCTTGCTTTGAATTTATTATAACCTCATTCTCATGTTTTCCTGTGCTGAAGAGGCCAGGAAATCCAAGACTATGTTTCCCAGACTCCCTTGCAGCTAGGATTCCAAAAGACTCTCCAGTATGCTCAAAAGAGACTTGAATTCAAAACTGAATTAAGAGGAAGGAAACATAGAGCTCATATCTGACATGAACTGAGGCAGAAGCAGCATGTTCTGTAGTCAGCAGTTTCTAACTCAGTGATCTCCTGCAGCAGAAATGTAACTTTTCTGATTATGGATGAGGCTGTATATCTCTGAAGGCTAGGAGTTCCTGGATGCTCACCCTAGAGCCAGCTCTTCCAGCCCCTCAGATAATTCTGTAGCCACTTAATGTTTGCTAATAAATCCTGTTCTGCTTAAATTAGCTAGAGTGGTTTCTGTTGTATGAAGCTGAATCCATCAGTACAAGCCCCAAAGAGTGACCTGTAGGCCTTTGGGAGACTAGGCATAGACTTGCTGAGTCTTCTTGGAGACCTCGTCCCAGGGCCAGGTCATTTCTCATCTGTGACAATTAGACCCTGGGCAGCACCCTTAAGATGTCACAACTTAGCAAACTGATGTCCAGCTTTTAGTGACACCAGGCTAAAGGATCATTCCCAGGAAGAGTGAGTCAATTCACCCAGGAGCCAGTCCCTATGTTTTTGCCTCTAATTGCCTCTCTCGCTTTCCTTATTTACTGGCTTTGCGCTTCCTTTCTTATTTGTCCATGATCAGCAAATGGACTCTTCCAAGGAACTCCTCATCCCTACTTCTAGGGCTACAAACCGAAGTTGTAGGCTGCTTTTACCAATCACATAAAATGTAAATAGTTACCCCTCTATATGCTCCATTGCACTCTGTATACACTCCAATGTAAAGCTTGTCACATTATATTATCATCATGTGCTTGCTTCCACTAGACTATGTCTACATGAGGGTCAGGTCAGGGCCTATTTTATGGAGTACTGACTTCCTAGTGCTTAGTACTATGCTTTATATGCAGTAGGTACTCAACAAATAGTTCTAGAGTTTTTTAATGAATACATAAATGTATGATATAAATGTAGTGTTTCTTACAAAATTTGAGAGACTTTTTCTAACTCCTCTAATCAACGAAACCTTACTACAGAGAGAAAGAGAACTGCCAAAAGACTATCAATTGAACAAATAGACTATTCTGAAATGATAACTCACATAAAAAATTGCATAATCTCATGCATCCTCTGGGGAATGTTAAAATTCTACAAAGTTATTGTATAACTCTATGAAGCTCTTTCCACATGTTATGATTTTCTTGGGCTTAGAATTGAATATATCTCAATATTGTATATTAAGGTATAATTATAATGAGATATTTGAAATCCAAAATAAAATTCTTTGACCATATCAAAGTCCTCCTTGGCAGTTCCTTCTCTTGAAGATTGACATTCACAGATCTCCAGTTACACCCATGTTCCTGCTTACAGTTAGCAACACACAAATGAATAGCAAATGGTGTCAGAAAAACAATCCTGAACACCTGTGTATGTTTGTTTGCTTTTGGCATTTCATTCAACTGCTAGTTATAAATTAATTATCATAGTCAAAATTAATTTATTTCCCCTTCCTCTATTTCCCAGTAGTACTTTCTTTATTCTGCAATTACAGCACCTAGCACATTTTCCCATGTATTGCAAAACTAATGTCTGCTCAGAACTCTACAATTTATAAAGCACTTATTACATATATTTAAGTCATCTTATTCTCACTACAGTCCTGTGACTTAGACAGAGCCAGTATTAATAAGAAATGAGAACAGAAACCTGAAACTCAGAAAGGAAAATCCTGGCCTAAGTAGGTAGCTAACAAATACCAAAGTCGGTTTGAGCTCAGGCCTTTTTGTTCAGGGCCTATATGCTTCATACACACTTCACGGAACAGGAAATGACTATAATCATTTCCTCATGGAAAGTCACAATGTGCATAGCTTTTTGTAAGCTCTGACAAATGCTACATTAAGAAAACATATTTAGGTTTAACTTTGTCTGTGGCTTACCTATTAACATCCTGTAGCATTGAGTTGCCCCGCATACTGGTTTAGGAACTGCTACACCATTTATTCAAAGATTAATAGAGAGCCACAGCTATTACTGAAATGAGGGTCCTAGGTGATCAATTAGCTTAACTCACTAGCTAGCTGACTAGTTCTCATACACTAGGCTCAAAGCACTTGGATTCAAATATATACCACAGCATTTTATAAATGATATTTATTATATTAATACAGGCTGTGAATCTACTACACCATTACCCAAAGAATGTGTCTGTAACCACCTGAATCAGAATCATGCAGGGTTATTATTAATAATTCATGAAGATTCCCAGCCTCCATGGTAGAGATAGCAGATCAGAGAGCTCATCTTGGGGAGGAGACACAATAACATAAGATGCTGAGACCCAGTCCACTTAGTAGCCCACTATTTTCCCAATCCTAGGTGGAATAGTAGCCCACTATTTTTCCAATTCTAGGTGGAATTGTAGTCCACTATTTTCCCAATCCTAGGTGGAATAGTATTCCACTATTTTCCCAATCCTAGGTGGAATAGTAGTACACTGTTTTCTCAATCCTGGGCCTGCATATCATAGGTGTTTAATAGATTCTTATTGATTCTGCTGCTTTTAAATTCTTATGACCACTAAAGTTTGAGGACTGCTGGTCACCTATATAACAAACTACAGTAAGAGAAATAAGTATAGACAATAAATAAATGGTAAAAGAAAATAAGAGAGATAAGTATGAACAGTGTTAGGAGGGACCAAGTTAAAGGTAATCAATTCTGCATAGAAGGCTCTAGAAAGGCATTACAGAGCACATTATAGTTGAATGGGGTCATGCAGAATGTTTTGGAGCTAGCCAATCAGAAAAGCAACATAAAAACACCATCCATGGGAGAGCAGGCACTGGCTTGGAAAGGCAAAGATATCTTAGGTATCAGATATAAGCAAGTCTCCCATGAGAGCTTAGGGGCAGGGAGCAGAGGGCAAAGGTGAGGGGAACAGAAATATGTGGGAGGTGAAGCTATCTGTCATGACTGAGGCCATAGCATCTTGGATGTGGCCAAGATGCTCTGAAGCATCTTGGATGTGGCCAAGATGCTCTGAAGCATCTTGGATAGTGACAATGCATGTGTGTCTGCACCTGAATTCTTAGAGCTGTGATTGATCTCAAGAGCAAACTGGCATAGCTGCCATCTAAGCTAACATGAGGGAAGGCTGCTCTCAGACATGAAGCTCCCATAATGCTCACTTGTTTTTCGGTGTATAGTTGTCTTTATATGACCAACAGGTGACCCTTTTTACCTACTTCAGGCCTTTCCTGGTACATTAACCAGTCAAGTCAAAGAGCCTAAACATGCTGAGACCCTGAATCGGCCACTGTGGCTTTCAAATACACTGGATTGTCTGGCCTGTGATTTATCTGAAAACGAATCACAAATGGAGCCATGAGTCATTTTCAGCAACCGAGGCTTTAGCGTCAAACAGTAAATTCTGAGAAACCAATTTCCGCTGTGGGCAGAACCCAGCTCCTGGTGTCTAATCATTTGTCCAAGCCTCAGAATGGAGGAAGCTGATGAAATACTGTGACGGGTCCAGCCTGGACAGGATTTGCTTAGGGGATTTCAAAACTTGGAAGGAAAAGTGGAATCCCTTGTCCCTACCTCTCAGTGGAAAGGGGTGAGGACAGGCCCTTGGCGCACACATTCATTCTCCATTCCCAGAGAATTGGGCAGGAATAAGGCCTGCAGAAGAAAGGAAATGACTGCTGGACCACAAGAAAGGTGGGCAGGAACTGAAACAAAAGGTCATTCCAGATCTTCTCCCTGTGGCTCTCTCTCCTGTTCTCTAACAAGAGAAGAAAAGCAACCTGAGCAAGTCCAGCCTCTACTCTCCTCTTTGCAGCAGCTTGTTTCTGCCGCCAGTTGGGCTCTTTCTCTCCAGTCTCAGAGGAAAACGAGGAAAGCATAGCCCTTTGCTCACATCAATCTGTCTACCTGTGCCCCTGAGCTTGATCTTTCCACATCCAATAATAATGGCCAACACTTCCTACACCCTGACCACACCCTTTACACAAAGGGTCTCACGCAATACTCCCAACAGTCTCATGGACTGGAATACTGTTAGTACCTCCATGTTACAGAAGAGGAAACTATGGCACACAGAGGCGAAGTCATTCATCCACAATCATCATCCCCTGCATAGATGTAGAGCTGGAATGTAAACCCAGGTATTCCGACTTCGGAACCCATAGGCTTAGCCTCTACACTGCACTGCTTCCCAGGCAGAAATGAAGCTTAATCATAAAAGCTTCATTTACAGAACACAGGTTCTCTATAGGAAATTTGGGAAAACATAAAGAAGGCACAAAAAATAAATAAGTAAAAATCACCCACAATCCCACCACTTCTACCTTTTTGAGAAGGATATAAATTAAAAAGTGAGAATCCTTTCTTATTTCTGACTTCAGCACTCAAATGTATCCACTGTCCTCTCAGACTGTTTTCCTCTGTTTATACAATTACATATAGGCACATGCACACATGTACAGTGTTTCTTAATAAGACTGCACACTGCACAAGATTTTTTTGCACATTGCTTTTTTCACTTAATATAACACATCTATTCAAACCTTGTGAAATGACTGGTAGTAAACCACTGCTGCCGAACCATAATTTATTCAACAAGTGCTATAATAAATTTGTTTGTCCCTATATCTTTATATACCCATGCTAGTAGTTCTGTAAGATACATTCCAACAAGTGACTGGTAAGATGTGCATTTTCATTTTGCTAATTGTCAAATTACACAGGGAATCCTTAACTCTTTATAATGGCAAAAAAAGAGAGTCGTTGGTAATATGAATCTATATTGTGATGAACACTACACATTGTTTATTTAAGCGTTATTGTACACAAGACTGAATCAGTGATATAAAAGGGGTTTCTCATGTACATTTCTAACCCTTCTTCACTGACAAACTGGAGAAACACTTTCGCCTATTGTGGGTAAGAAAATGTGTCTCCTTCTGACCCTTCTGGAGTTCTCCTACTGTGACATCCTTTTTCTCTCTGACAAATGGGTGCCGTTCTTGCCCACATTAGTTCACATTGTCTCTTTCTTGTAAGGTGACTTTATTTTATTTACTATTTTTTTTGAAAATATACATTCTCAGCACCTGCACTTGTTCAAAAATACTTCAAATGCCAAATCCTTACCAACAACTCTCCTCAGATGGCTGCTCCCTCCAGTACAGTCTGCCAGGGAAATACTTGCTGCTGATTTTTCTGTCCGCTTGCCTGACCCTGCACCTCTGCTCTCTAACTTGCAAATCTGAGGGCTCTGTGTTATGTAGTCAGCAAAGAGGAGGGGAACGTCACTCCTTTTTCAGGAACAGAACATTCCAGATTGAGCTGAGATTCAAAACAGACCATTTGACTCTTCCTGGTCAATGTCTTCAACTTTCCACCTCTGTCTGTTTGCCATCCCTCCCAGAGGGATTTCCCCCTTAGCCTGCTAGCACACTCTCTGCCCTGTCAGCCAAACACGCATCTCCTCAGGGACCCTGCACTTGTCCTTCACCCACTGTGGTCAGATAAGCCCAGGAGTCCCACTCTTCACACCTTTACTTGAACCAGCATCTCCATGCATTAATTATGACCCCTGCCTGAGAGGCAGTGTAACCTAATCCAGAGCATGTGGGGCTTTGGAATCAGAAAGTTTGAAGTTCAAATCCTGATGCTTAGCCCTGTTGCCTGTGTGATCTTAGGCAAGGCATTTGACTTCCCTCTTCTTCAATTTCCTCAATTATTAAATAAGTATAATAAAAAATGAACTCACGGGAAGGTTGAAAGCATGTAGTATATATTGTCTGACACACGCAGACTTGTAACACTTTGTAGCTATTCTTAATATCATTCCACAGCCAAATTTTTCAGATGAGGCGTTATTGGTAATGTCATATAAAATTTTAGGATTGTTTCAAATTTGGGAATTCTATCAAGTTTCTTTCATACACGAGCCTTGAAAGAGGCTCCAAATCTTAAAGCTTCATTAGCTTCAGAGTAAACACACCCTCTGCAGGTGGTATGTGATGAACTGGGACACTTATGCATGACTGAAGGTAGTGTGACTAATACAGCCCTTGCACAGAGGGTCGCATCTCCACGAAGGGGACAGCCAGGATCTACAGTCTTTAAATACTTGTTCAGTCTCGGGAGACTGCTCTGCCAGCCTCCACCATTCTCAAACTGCGACGAGGGAGTGACTCAGATGAGGCCAGGTAGCTGGCCAGCCAGCTGGTGTGCAGTCACATTTGCAGAGAAGTCTATTTGCACCGAGGACATGCCAGGCGTGTTGTCACTCATACTAAGGTTTTCAACCTGGGCAAGTTATGAAATGTGTAGAGATTTTTGGTTATCGCAGTGCCTGTGGATGGGAGACTCTATCAACATGTAATGGGCACAGGCAACAGGTGTTCTATAACCCTGCACTGCCAGGGGCAGTCCCACCCAATAAAGAATCGTTCCTCCCAAAATGCCAATAACGCTCTTTTGGGAAACCATCTGTAGGGCTTAGACTTCAACATGCCTTAAGTATTGTTTCCCATCTCGGCGAGCTGGGCTAGAACATGGGATAAGCTGTTGGGACTCCTTTTGTCCCTCAGCTTGGAGGCTAGGTTACAATCATAGATGCCCCCTCCTGTCTCCTTCCCTGGACCCTATCTCCGTTCCCATTTGACTTCCAATGCAGAAGGAATGGAAGCCAAATTGATACTGTTCAATCTATAAAGCTTTGACTTCAAACCCCTATGTAATACCCTTGTAGGTGAGCTGTAATTTGGCATCTTGCCTCCAAGCTTATACACAAAGAGAAGCCAACTGAAAGAAAAACCAAGCCACCGAATCTTGGGATTCCTCAGGGGAATACCGCTCTCCAGCACCATTGTCCAAATGCCACTGATTCTCCCCCAACCCTGATCCCTTCCCCAGGGCTTGAAGTATGCCAAATATGGGAGGCCCCCTAGGTCTTATCAGAAGAACTCAAGAAAACAATAATTCTTGAGTCAACACTTCCTGAGTGCTCACTATGAGCCAGGCTCTGTGCTATTTTATATACACTATGTTACTTAGTCCCAAGTGACATAAAATAAAGCTCACATTAGAAAAAGACAAGACAATTTGTGCTAGTCCGGTCCCTTGGCATTAGTGGTTGAGGATTTCTTGAACTGGGGTGAGGCTATGCCCTGGGCCTTCCACACTCTCAGAATCCCTTAGGTATCTAAGAGGCTTGGGAAGGCAAAGCTGTCGCATTCATGATTTGGAGGCCCACACAACGAGGATTTATCTTTCACATGTCTTCTGCCATTAACAGAGATAAATCCAGGTATTGTCATTAGAGTAATGGCCTCTGTGAGTAAGAGGAGCTAAATAGAAAGTCAATGAATGTCAAATATCTTGAAAAATCTATTCACCATGAAGTCACCTTGTAATGTGCTCTCAGGAAACAATAACATCCATTTTCAACTCAGACACTACTCTCTGTGGTAAATAATATCACTAGGTGATTGTACCCTGTAAGTCCCCAGAAATTGTTTCTAATTATTGTCAGAGGCACATCAATTACCAATAGAGCCTCCAGGCAACCCTCCTCATAGCCCTGACTAGAAACATGTTTTACTTCCACTTCTTCTGTCAAGTCTCTCAGCTCCCTACATATTTAATTGTTCTGTCTTGGCTGTGGGCCTGTTTTCCTTACCCTCCTCTCTGAACTGTGCCTCTCATGGCTAAGTCAGCATCTGTGCTCACCCTCCTTGAGAAGCTCCTCAGTACCTGCCAAAAGCTCATTCTGTCCCTTCAGAAATACTGGGGCTCTGGTGACCTAGATAGCTGATAAAACTGCTTCAATTAAAAATCTATCCATACTCACTCTGCACCAGGTACTGTGATAAATGCATTTCAGACATTGCCTCATTGAATCCTCAGAACAACCCTGTGAGAGAGGTACAATTATTATCTCCATTTTGCATTTGGGATAACTGAGGCATACAGAGGTTAAATAATTTTCTGAGTCACATAATTAACAAATGGAGTCTCTGCAACCATTCAAACGTCTTCTCCTCATTCCTTTAGAGCCCTAGGTTGGAGGGTAAGTTGAGTGTCTTCCTTTCTGTTCATCACCACTTCTAAGCCATTGTCCTCCCTGGGTCCTTAGTGCAGTCATCTCCTGACCTCGCTTTCCTCTGACCCATTGCTTGAAGATGTCAGTTTGGTTGAACCCCTTCCAAAGCTACTTATATTGTAATTCTTGGTGCTTTCAACATCCTTTTAGACTTCACAGAGCTGGGCTCCAGCAGGGCATTACTCACATAAAAAACAACAAGAAAACTGCCCCCAGAGATGTACCGGACCTGCAGGGAGATGCTCCTCCCAGAGTGCTGGCCCCCCAACTATCTCACCTCCTCTCTCCCAGTGATTCTGGTTCTACTCTACCTTTGCTAGCAACACAAGTTCATGCCCCTGCCTAGTCATCATCAACAACTACAACTGCAGCTGCACCATGTTTCACCCTCTCCCTCTCGGACCTCCGCCTCCTCTTACCAGCTCACCTTCTCTAGTCTGCCAACTCCAACAATTCGTGGACCACACAGAGACCTAAAAACCATTGTTCCTGGAACCTTTTTATTGTCTTTCACTCCCTTCATTCCCTACTTCTCTTCCCACCTAGTTTAGATTTCATGGACCATGATGTGTTACTCACTGCACACTCCTTCAACTGCCTCAACCCTCTCTTTCTTTGTCATACTCAGCTGACAAAACTCTTGGCCAGCTCTCCACTTCTCCATGCCTGTACCAAACCAGCCAAATATACCCAAAGAAAACAACCATGCTGACTGGTCTCACTTTAAAGTTATCATCACAAACCACAAGTGAGCCCTTAGTGTAGCGTGGCAGCCTACTCTATTTCCCTAGTCAACTCACTTTTCCAGGACTATTTCACATCTTCCTCTCTCTCTTCAAATCTCCAACACATTCTTTTCCTCCACACTGTCAGCTGATAACTTTGCTTCCTACTTCACTGAGAAAATCGGAGCAATTAGAAAAAGAACTTGCACAAGTTTCTACCCTCACATCTTTCTACACTATGTCCATGCGTTTACCTTCACTCCTGCTGCTCTGGATGAACTGTGTATTTTCTACCTAAAGCCAACCCCTCCACTTTGCACCAGATCCCAACCCCTCACGCCACCCAAGGACATTGCTTTAGCATCATCTATTTTCCTTCTCTACTGAATCAGAACTAGAATAATGTGAGAATAATTAATAACATGGATCAGAATAACGTGATGCTATTTCTCCAATCAAAACCACAAACAACAACAGCAACAAGAAATTTCCCTGGGATTCCACTCCTAAGTCAAACGACTCCATTTCTTTCCCCCTTGCAGCAAACTTCTTAAAATGGTTGTTCTTACTCTCTCTCTCATTCTTCTTGTCTTCTGTTGAAGACATCTCAAGTAGGCTTTTGTTCCCTCCACAGCATCTCTATAATATTCTATCTGAAATATTATACATTTACTTGTTTATTTATTTGCATTTCTACACCTTCACTAGAACCAAAATTACAGGAAAATGTGGAATGGCTCTTTCCTCAGCATCTAGAATAATGTCAAGTTCACAGTGGGCACTCCCTTAAATACATTTTGAGTGGAGGAATGAGTTTGGGATTTGAACCCATGCAGTGTGGCTCCAGTGTCATTAAGTCAGAATGGTGGAAGAGGGGCATCCTTCTCACCAGGGACTCCAAGAACTATTTGAGAATTGGTAAGGTTGGAAGTCTCCCCTAGTAAGGGCAGAGCCAAAAAAAACAAAAGCTGTTTATTATAACCCTATCTTGCCCCATCTCTGATAGGCTGAGAAACCCACGTTACACATCTGTGTTAATGTGAGAGCTGCAAAACACCCCTGTATCCTGAGAAGATGTGGTTTAACTTGACGTGTAACGGCATCCGCAGATACTATAGGGTACTTATGAGTCTTGTGTTGGTTTGCTGGTTTTTTTTTTAACTCACTAAATTCTATTTTAACAACCATGTGCTCACCCCACCTCCTGACCTAAGGTATTTTCCTTATCTGAGCACACCTGTGCTTGTTCCTAGGTAAATCTGGGCCAATGCAGAGTACTGTCTGCACTGCTTAGTTGGTAAATGTGTCTGTAGCATGACTATCATCACAACTGCCATCTGAGCAGCAGAGCCAGATGGAATCAGACCACTCATTGGTCTACTGAGGTAAGGATGGGCTTTTTAGCTCTGCTCTCTCTTAGAAACAAAAACAAACAAATCAAAAGACTAACTTTTTTTTTTTTTGCATTCACCTAGACTATTATGCCAGAACTTGCGTAAGAAAAACACTTCTTTCCGACCCCTGTAGTGATCAACTGATGCCTTCAAGCAGGAAACCTGATTGCCCTCATCTCAGGCTGAGTCTGTTTTATCAATCACAAAGTGACTCAACCCTTTTTTAAAAGCCAGCTGTGACCATTGACTCTGTGACCTCCTGTGGTGGTGAATTCAGTTTAAAAAATAATAATGTTAAAATAACAAAGCTTATTGAAGCTATTATGCTTCAATGCTCCACCCTTTGGGGGCTAAAGGAAATAAAGCAAGTTGGCCAGACCTGAGGAGTTGATGATACACATTTTCCTCCCCCAGAAGCATCTTGTAACTTGTCCCACACCAGCAGTGACTTCCCAGTATGGCGTTTCTCCCCGCTGCTCCCATCAGCAAGAGCGTGCTGACACATGGGCTGATGAGCAGTGCCGAGACTTATGGAGTGTGTCCTTCCTGCTTCGAACCTCACAGCCTGTCATCCTCTGTTGTCACACGCTCTTGCTCATTCGCTCGCTGCTCACACTAATCTAGAAGATGATCAAAGAAAAACTCCACTGACTCACCCCTGCCTGGACCAGCGCAGGGATTGGTCAAGCGTGCGCATTAAATATTACCAGATTCTAATCTATTATTTTCACCCGCTTGCTTGCTCTCTCACTCGTACTCTCTCACTTCCTCTCTCTCATTTTTTTTCAAAAAATAAATAAATGAATTCTGGGTTGGCTGAAGATTTCAGCAATGTGAGTGCTGTGCAGATGGATCCTGCTGAAGCTGGTGCTGGCTCTCTAGGGAGTAGCATGAAATGCTGGTTTTCAAAACCTGAGCAGCGTGTAAATGGCAGCTAAAAAGGAAATGCAGATTGGTGCTGAGTGTTAATTGTCTCTTCCTCTCTTCTTCACACACTTCAGAGACTGTGTGGTGGCAGGAGACAGGAAAGCAGGCCTGCCCCCTCGTGGGGTGGGCTTTTTTTTTTTTTTTTTCTCAAGCTGGACTGAGAGAATAACAACACCTAGAGTCCAAGTCAAAACATGGAATGGGTTTTTTTTTTCTTTCAAGTTTTCATCTGATGAAAGTCCGGGAGGTGGCACCGAGCTTGTAATGAAAGTAAGAGTCTGCTGAGAATGAGTCGATGAGGTGTGACACAGAAAGGGGAAGCAGGATGTCTTTGTTTTGAAATGACAGGCGATAAGCTATGGGGGTGCCTGGTGAGATTTTAGTCCATAACTAGGTAGCAACTTGTCAAATGCAGGCCCCTTAAATGCATCACAAGAATTCTCACTTGAGATGATTTCAATTCTAGCTCTGCGTGTGTGAGTGTGTGAGTGTATGCATGCACGCATAGCAAAACATAATTGAATGCCAAAAAACATTGTCATGTCCTGTTAAGGGTACAATTGTAATCACACTGGAACGAGAGCTCTAATTTCCTCCATTGCTTTCCTCGCTTAGGCAGTGACAAGGTCAGGTTTATGACCACAGCCCAGGCTCAGAGCCATTTATTTTCATCCCTGAAGACTCATGTTAGCCTTCTCCCAAGATGTTAATCAAGCAGAATCTTGATTGACTGTCTTTTCTTTTTACGTTTTTGTCTAGATGAAGTGGGGTCATTTGAATTTGTGCAGTTTTGAATAAGATGGGGGCAATAGAGAAGCAACTGGGAAAATTGACTAGCCTTTGGCAAGGAGAACAGAAGAATCTGGAATCCTTTTTTAAAATCATGAAATTCCTGTGCCCCACCTGAGTCACTGTAACCTGTACCTGCTGATGCCTCATTTCTCCATGCATTTATGAAAAGGCTGTGACTCCCTGCTGTTGTCGTGTGGTGCCAACATCATTCCAGCTTGCCAGTTGGAGACAAAAGATAAGCAACCACAAATGAAAACACATTATTGTCTGGATCCATTCTCACCTTCATGGCCAGGAATGTGAAGGTGAGCTGGTCCCCGCCCCTGCACTTCACTGGCAAGACCAAGGAGAG
Organism: Homo sapiens; assembly: GCF_000001405.40. Taxonomy (NCBI): domain Eukaryota; kingdom Metazoa; phylum Chordata; class Mammalia; order Primates; family Hominidae; genus Homo; species Homo sapiens. Next base: position 114,212,858 of record NC_000003.12, on the reverse strand, counting down.
TGCAGTGGACGCTCTCCAAAAACATTGCTTCCTACTACTGCTGCTTGTAATGGAAGTAAGAGTCTGCTGAGAATGCTCATCTCAGGCTGAGCCATGTGTTTCCCATGGCAGCCTCTCTTGGCCCCTGTTCCTAACCAGGACAGAAAGAGATCTCAGCCTGGGATGGGCTGGATCTTGCTCCTAGCACAAAGTGTACTCACTCAAGCCGTGTGAGAAGAAGACAAGGAATGTCCTTTCAAGAAATTGCCTAGAATGCCAATTGGGGGAGGATGCAAGTAGGCTGGACCATCCTGGCTGGCCCCACCCCATGAAAGACCTTTCCTGACTAGAAATGGGGCTCAGATACGGGGCACAGTACTGGGCAGCCAGGTCTCTTTCCTCAGAACCATCTCCTGACTCTGATTCGTCACTTGCCCAGCCACCTTCTATCGATAGTCCAATTCCTCAAATCTAATTCCTTCCACAAAGGGCAGTGGCCCCCACATGCACGTCATCTCCACAGAGTTACCATAGAGTAACTACAAATAAAAGGGAGTAGTGGCGATTGCTATTGAAGAAGATGTTGGCTAATGGGCTCTAAAGCATGACTCAGTCTTCCCAAGCCTGTGTGCAGGGGAGGGTCTCTCTCCCAAGGGGAGCCCCCAGAATAGATGTTTACGGGATTATACCTGCTCTTCACAGAGGTAGATTGGGATGGAGCTGACATCTTTTTTATGTCAACATTAACTTGATTCCATTGGTATGCTATGTGCAAGTGAACAAGAACCTCAGGCAAGGTCTCGAAGCTGCTTAAATGACACTCACTACCTGTTAGAATGCATAAGGGCGCTGTTGTCACAGAGACTCTGCCTCTGTTCAGTGACAGCTGGCAGACCCATCCAACTGGCTCACATGTAGACTGGCTCCAGCCTGACCATGGCAACCAAAAGGAATGACAAAGTCGCTGCTGTTCGCTTGGCCCTTACTGCAGGTGACCGAAACAGAAATTTCTTAAATAAGTTCTCCAAATATATGGGACAGAAATCAGAACAGAGGTTGCTAGCAGAACAGAGAGGGAGGGGTAGTTGATTGACAAGGGATATGAAGTGATGGAAATGTTTCCAGAGTGATGGAAATGTTCTACATCTTGATCAGATGTAGGTTATATGCATGTCTGCATTTATCAAAACTGATTAGCCTGTGCACTTAGTGTCTGCATTTTACTGTAGGTCAATTATACTTTCATTATAAAAAAGCTATTCTATTTTTCATACAGGAGACCAAGAGAGGGGCAATTCTGACACTCCTCACCTCCAACCTACCTTTCTGGTACCAAGTGAAAACGGGCAGCCTGGAAGTTCCATTCCTGGCTCTGTGTGCAGTGGCTGATCACACTCAGAACTCAAAATCCAAATGTCTGCATCTGAAGCCCTGCCTGAGGCCCACCAAGCCTGTGACTTTCAGAAAGTTCCCTGATCTCTCTGAGGCTCTGTAAAATGGAGGGTAATGATCCTTGCCTACCCTAAAAGACCACTGCAGGAAACAAAAAAAAATAATGTTTTTATAAACAGGGAAGAGCTGCAGGAATACAGATTGTACACCATCTCACAAAGATCATCACTGTTTAGACACACACACGTACTGAAACTGACAAGTTCCTTGGTGTAGTGTTAAAATTCCAATTGGAAAATTTGCTATGAAAACCTCCATAAACAAGATATTACTAAATAATCATAAGTAGTGGTATGAATGTTACTCCACAGCACCCAGGTGTGAAATAATGTTATATATCTTTATTTCTTTAATCATATGATCTATTCTTTTTTTATTATTATTATACTTTAAGTTCTGGGGTACACATGCACAACGTGCAGTTTGTTACATAAGTGTACATGTGCCATGTTGGTTTGCTGCACCCATCAACTCGTCATTTACATTAGGTATTTCTCCTAATGCTATCCCTCCCCCAGCCCTCCACCCCTCAACAGGCCGCAGTGTGTGATGTTCCCCTCCCTGTGTCCATGTGTTCTCATTGCTCAACTCCCACTTATGAGTGAGAACGTGTGGTGTTTGGTTTTCTCTTCTTGTGTTACTTTGCTGAGAATGATGGTTTCCAGTTTCATCCATGTCCCTGCAAAGGACATGAACTCATCCTTTTTTATGGCTGCATAGTATTCCATGGTGCATATGTGCCACATTTTCTTTAGCCAGTCTATAATTGATGGGCATTTGGGTTGGTTCCAAGTCATTGCCATTGTGAATAATGCTGCAATAAACATACATGTGCATGTGTCTTTATAGTAGAAAGATTTCTAATCTTTTGGGTACACACCCAGTAATGGGATTGCTGGGTCAAATGATATTTCTAGTTCTAGATCCTTGAGGAATCGCCACACTGTCTTCCATTCAATGCTCTCCCTATCAAGCTACCACTGACTTTCTTCACAGAATTGGAAAAATCATATGATCTATTCTAAGCCTCCATTGGCCTGAAAGGGAAACAGTTCATATTCAATCAGTTTGAGGGTCCCCCAATCAATTTCAAGCATAGACATTGCCATCTCATACTCTCAGATTAATTATGCTCTGCAGGACTAGAAAATACACATTCATTATTCTTCTCACCACCATCCCTGTGATGAGGATGGTAGAGTAAAGACAATGAATGGGAAAGACATGTATGGGTGTGTGGGTGCAAACATAACATATACGCATACATATATAAACATAATATGTAAACATAACATTAGCAACATCTCCTTCAGCATCTAGAACCCCCAACCTATAGGTTACAGTACAACTGATGGGGAGAGGTAGACTTAATGGATGGGACTACTTTCAAGAACCTTGTGAGGGAGGAGAAAAACCCTCTCCATTATTGTAGACAAACAGATGCTCTCAAGTTGAGCGAGATGAGGGGGCTCAAAAACATGACATGAACAACTCTTTTTCTTTTTCTCAGACAGAGTCTTGCTCTTAATGCCCAGGCTGAAGTGCAGTGACGCCATCCCAGCTCACTGAAACTTGGGCCGCCTGGGTTTAAGCGATCCTCATGCCTCAGCCTCCCAAGTAGCTGGGATTACAGGTGTCCACCATCATGCCCAACTAATTTTTGTATTTTTAGTACAGATGGGGTTTTACCATGTTGGCTAGGCTGGTCTCAAACTCCTGACCTCAGGTGATCCACCCACCTCGGCCTCCCAAAGTGCTGGGATTACAGACACAAGCCACCACCCCCAGCCAAACAACTCTTAAAGTAACTTGAATTGAGAGCTGTTTTCAATCATTGGAACAGCTGCCAATGTGAAGAAAGAAGCAGAGCAACACTAGGGTTTGTTGGAAGATATTTCCAACAAAATTGACCAGCAATGGAATGGGTTCTTTGCAAGGATGATAGAAGCTCTTCAACACTGGAGAGAAGACTGTGATAAGATAATATAATTTGGACTAGAGTTCTTCTACCTTCAATGCTAATTGTTTATCATTTTGACACTAAAGAAGAGATTTATTTGCCAAAAAGTCTCTTCTTGGCATTACCAGGTATGTATAAGAGTAAATTGCCCTGAGATAGAAAAACAAAAGCACAAAGGAGCCTCACAATGGGCCAGCAGATAGGAGTTAGACTGTACAGCATGGACCAGTGCTCCCACTGGGAGGTTGCCTGGCCAACTCAGGCACAGTATCTTAAGAGGCTGTGGTTACCTGGGCCCAAGCTGAGCTGCTGTCAGTATCCAAAAGGTCCAGTCTTGTGATCTGAAGAACAACAACAGGAGACTCTGGACAGCAGAAAAGGTCCATCCCTGATCTGAGTTCAAAATAAGGGTGCAGTTATAGCCAGGAGTAAGCATGCTAATAAGAAACCCAAGCTATGGTCTTTAACTGTTTTAGATTCCATACCCCTTTGAGAGTCCATGAAAGTTATGGCCCCTCTCTGCAGGAAAAAATGCAATTTGCACAAACATACATCATTGTGCCTATAATTGCAAAGACTTCTTTGAACCCCATATAGTCCATTCAAGAAATACAGGTTCAGAACACAACGCACCATCAATACTTTTTACTGATGTTGATGATGATAGATTGGATTTCTTGTATGAACGAGTGCCAAAAGCCTGATAAATGAACACTGAGGTTTTAATCCAGAAAAATTCTAAAGTAGGAAGAAGTCATAACGTATTTGTCCCTCTCCCTAGTACCTTTCTGTCCAATGGAAGAACCTAGAGATTCCAGAGAAGAGGTAAGGATATCTCAAGATAGCTTTTCTGTGCTCCTAAGGGAGACTAGAGTATAGGCTGAACCCCATGACTCACAAGAATAATCCAAAAGGTCAACACACAAAATTATTTTCAATAAACTTCTCATAACCACAGTCAGGTTGACTATTCCCATCCCAAATTTAATTCCTTCTTTAGGTTGGCCCATGTCTGCTGTGCCCAAACAGGTCCAGAGAGAGTACTTGCCCCATTATCTTCTGTTAAAATGTCTTTGCTTGGCATCTAAACCAATTTAATGTTTTTACTTAAAAAGCAGTAGATATGAAGCGTTAGTTATCTATTGCTGCATAACAAATTGCCTCAAAACTTAGCAGCTTAAAACAACAAATATTAATTATTTATTAGTATTTTTATAGGTCAAGAATCTGGGCACAGCTTAGCCAGATGCCTGTACCCCAAAGTCTCTCACAAGGCTATAATCAAGGTGCTGACCACAGCTGTGGTCTGATGTGATGGTTTAACTAAGGGAGGACTGATTTCTAAGCTCCTCACATAGTTGGTAAAATTCAGTTCCTCACAGTTTTCTGGACTGAACACCTCACGTCTTCACTGGCTGTTGGATGGCCAGAGGACTCCTTCAGTTGATTGACACATGGGTCTCTCTATCATGTTGCTCACAATGTGGCAACTAGCTTCCCTCAGAGTTAACAAGCGAGAGAATGAAAAAGAGCAAGCACGATGCAAGCCACAATCTTTCACTTCCTAATCTCAGAAGCGGCATCCCATCCCTTTTGATATATTATATCTATTAGAAATGAGTCATTAACATTCACCTCACACCCCAGGGGAAGGGATTACATGAGGGCATGAGTATCAGGAGGGGAGAATCATGGAGACCCTCTTAGAGATGCCCTATCATATGTGGATTCAAATTCTGGCTCTGCCACTTATAGTAGGACCTCAGACAAGTAACAGTCTCTCAGCCTTGATTTTCTCCTCTATGAAGTTAAAGCAATAATGCGTAATTTGCAGAGTTGTGATGAAAATTAAAGATAATAAATATAACTCCGACAACTCAATTTAAAAATGTCAAAGCACTTGAATAAGCATTTCTCCAAAGAAGATACACAAATGGCCAATAAGCACATGAAAAGATGCTCAACATCATTCGTCATTAGGGAAATGCGGATCAAAGCCACGATGAGATACCACTTCATAACTACTAGGATGACTACTTTTTAAAAAAGGAAATAATAAGGAATAACAAATGTTTGTAAGGATGTGGAAAAAATGGAAATTTGTGCATTGCTGGTGAGGATATAAATTGTATAGCCCTCTGGAAAACAGTTTGGCTATTCCTCAAAACATTAAACATAGAATTACCTTATGACCCCGCAACTGCACTGCTAGGTATATACCAAAAAGAATTGAAAACAAAGACTTAAACAGATACTTATAAGCTAATGTTGATAGCAGCATTATTCACAACAGCCAAAGGTGGTGTGCTATGGTTTGAATGTGTCCCCCAAAGTTCATGTGTTAGAAACTTAATCCCCAGTGCAACAATGTTGAGAGGTGGGATATTTAAGAGATGATTAGGTCATGGGGCTCAGACTTTATGAATGAATTAATGCTGTTTTGCAGAGTGAATTATCTGGAGAGTGGGTTACTGAAAAAAGAATTAAGCCCTCTTTCTCTCTCTAAGTGAAATAAATCAGACACAAAAGGACAAATATTGCATGATTTCAATTATATGAAATATCTAGAATAGACAAATTCACAGAGATTGAAAGTATATTAGAGGTTACCATGGAATGGGAGAAGGGAATAATGGGGAGTTATTGCTTAATGGACACAGAATTTCTCTTTGAGATGATGAAATGATTTTTGGAAATTGTGATGGTTATATAAGATGGTGAATGTAATTAATGCCATTGAATTGTACACTTTAAAATGATGAAAATGGCAAATTTTAAATTATATATGTTTTACTACAATTTTTAAAAATTACGAATATAGCAGGTGCTTGACAAACAATCATACCATCAGCAGAAACCCATGAAGGCAATCGTTTGAATGCCTTGAACTGTGTGGCCTTGCCAGATATGAGATGTTAAAGAGATTGTGGAGAGGATGAGGGAGGTCAAATTTTCTTCCACCAATAGCTTCTTCCTTGGTTGACATTTCTAGGATACCACATTTTCCATAAATACCTAGCTCTAATCTGAGAAGGAATAGGGGAGAGATTACTATATTTCCTGTGATAGTTTGGGGGATATACGCTCATAGTTTCAGGTAAAACTTACACAAAAGCAAATTTTGCCCTTTTAGATCATCTACTTTTCACCTTAGTTGCCCTCAAGATTTGATGTGATTTCACAACGTGTTTTAAAATTGCTCAGCTGTTCTTCTATAATGGCTACTTACCTATGGCACTCTAGACCAGTGGCTCTGGCCTTGAAGCCAAGTACCCTGGAGCTTGGATCTCAGCTCTGAAGCTTCCTGAGAGAGTGATTTGAGCTGGTCAACCTCTCTATACTTCCATTTCTTCTCTGTGAAAGGAAGATAACAATGCCTGGTTCATATGATATTGTAAGGTATGAATGAAATAATGCATATAAAGGATTTAGAAGTGGCCTGGTACATGTCACAGTGAGAAATAAATGGCAGCTAATATGATTTCAGAGCTCTATCAATCACTTACCAAACCTTTTAAATATCTGTCTGTGGAACTTTAAATGAGGGAAGAATTATTTAACTTTAGTTTCTAAGTATCTGATGAATAAAATAGATCATTTCCCATTTCTTCATTCAAACATTAATGAATGCTTCCTGTGTGAATGCCATTCTACTTATGCAGTCTTGCTTCATTCGTATGATAAAGTGAGGGCAGAATTGGGAGGTGTAAACTGGATAATAGCCATGATTGAAGTCACTGTGAGAACTAGATGAAATTCCTAGAGCAATTAAAATCTTCCAGATTCATTCTAGTGTCCAGTTCACCTTACATTACAAATAGTTTTGAAAAGCCAGTAAGACTGTGCCAATATCTTTAAATAGAGCACACTGATTCCTGAGAATAAAGAAAGAAGCATTGTCATGACTAAGGACTTACGAAGACCAAGACTGTTCTTTCACTCCTGGGTAGGAAATAAGACTCATTTGTGTGCTGTTTAGGACAATCTGTTTGTGCTGTTTCGGATAAGCTAGACTAGAAGGCAAAGGAACACCTGTTCAAATTTTGTGACAAATGAACAGGTAGCCTTTTCTTTAAGATTATAAAGAAATAGCAAAAGAAAGTTGCTAAGTTGAACATATGAACTCACCTAGGTTCTGAGGGCCTGCCATGAGCCTTTCCATCTTAGTTCAGATTTCTCCCACAGGGATAATTTGAAATTATTTTAAAACAGCTATTGTGGTAGCCAGTTTCATGTGCTGATTATTTCATGTTAACTGATTGTAATCAAATCATTGCTTTTCTTTTAAAATATTCTAATACACTATCCATGATTCCTCCCACCAAAATATTCTGAATTAAAGACCATTTGACAATATTTACCCTAACTTTTTAATTTCTTCTCCTCAGAATGCAAAATATGCCTTCTCATACCATAGAGAAAACTCTCTTCTAATTCATTCATGCAATGAATTCAATAAATATTTGTTTATACAACATATAGCTATTGAGTGCCAAGGGGAAAGCAGTGATATATTCTCCCTCCACCCCTCTTAATAAGTATAGAGGTAAAAATAATAAAGGAGGAATGATCATCAAGCTCCCACTTGAATGATTCCAGTGATAGGCAACTCACTATTTACAAGAGTTCAAACTCAGTATTGACAGGTTTTATTACCAAGTTATTTCTAGTTACTTCACTGAGCTGAGTATAGAAGAGGCTTAGTTCTAATATAACATCTGGTAAAGGTCTCCTAGTCAGGCAAAAATCAGGGACCTTGTCAGGCAAAAATCAGGGACATGGCCGGGGTTATCCCAATTCATATATAGAAGAGACATACTTTGGCACAGAGGCAGAATTCTCTACAGTTCTCTCCTGGCTCTAGCTGCTTTTCCACTCCCTTGAGACTTTAAGCATCTCTACACTAGTAACATGGATTTCCAATATAACTAAATAGTGTATACTTCTTTGTTTTGGACTGAAGTATTGAGAAAGGGACAACCACAGTATGTCAAAGAACCCATTCCAACTCATATTTTACAGTAAGCTAATAATTGTCAAGCATATGTTGACAAACTAAAGATGAGTAAGCAAGAAAAATTACTGGACCTTTATAAAATTTCTGCGATTAAAAAGAAAGGAATTTGCTTCCAATTTTGGTATGCCAAAGCAAGGTCCAACCAGACTGATTCTCCTACAGATAACAGCTATAAACTTCGCACAAAATATAAGAAGTAAACTATCTGAAAGCCTTGGAGAGTGAATAACAGCAGGTAGACTCTGGAGGAATGTTAAAACTTGTAAAAAAGGAATAGGCACACGATGAATTTCCCGTTTTTCAAATGGTGTTGAGCAAGCTGCAGTCAGCAACTGAAGGCAAGCTGCAGTCAGCAGCTGCTCAAAGCAGCTAAAACTACTAGAAAATCATAATCCATCTAGTCTGAAGAATGAGAGGACAGTCCTGGGGAAACCACAGCCATTGAAAATTAAGGAATGAATCTCAGAAAAGCAGTCAGAAAGGAGAAGCTCTACATGCTGTGTATAAATTCTGCCTAAATCTCTGGTTGACTCCTGAACCATATCTCTGTGGAGCAAATTCCAACTAAAGACAAAAGAAATGAACTGAGATTTGAGTTGCTACCTAAAAAGCAAAGTTTGCATCTTGGGGGTGCAATCAGGTCAACTGCCTAATAAAACAATGCCAGTGAAATAAATATTTAGAAGAATGCAGCAGAATCCACACCTATACCATTCACAATGTCCAGAATAAAATGCAAAATTACTCAACATACAAAGAATGAGAAAAGTTGACTTGTTCTCAAGAGAAAAAGTAATCAATGGAGACCAACTCCAGGATGACCCAAATGTTGGATTAGCAACCGTTATAACTATACTTGATGAGGTAAAGAAAAACAATCGCAATGAATAAAATGATAGGAAATCTCAGCAGAGAAGTAGAAACTATATTTTAAAAACCAAATGTAAACTCAAGAACTAAAAAAGTAAACATTTAAAAAATTTACTGAATGGACTTAATGGAATTGAGATGACAAACAAAACAATCCTTTAACTTGAGATAGGTTAATAGAAATTTCCCAATCTGAAAAAATAGAAATAAGAAAAAAAATTGAAAAAAATGAACAGATTTTCAGAAACCCATGGGACAATATCAAATGGCCTAACATACATGCAACTGAAATCTTTAAAGGAGAAAAGTGTGAAAATGAGGCATTAAAATTTTGAAAGAGTAATGGCCAAAATTTTCCCAATTTTGGTGAAAAACATAAATTCACAGATTCCACCTTAGGCAATTCAGTTATAAGCAGAATAAATACAAACAAAGCCATACCTAGCAGCATCATAGTCAAACTGCTGAATACCAAAGATGAAGAGAGAATAATTTTAAAGTTCCAAAAGAAAAATATAAACTCAGGATTCTATATTCAGCAAAAATATCCTTCAAGAAATAAAGGAAAAGAAAGAAAATTAAAATAATTCATTGCCAGCAGATGTGCACTGTTAAGAAAGTATAAAGGGAGTTCTTCCTGTCGAAGGAAAATGAAACCAATTTTTTTTTTTTTTAGTCATATGAAACGCATTTTTTTTCTTTTTTTCCAACTTTTATTTTAGGTTGGAACATGTGCAGGTATGTTAACATGGGTAAATTGTATGTCACAGGAGTTCGATGTACAGATAATTGTCACTTCAGTAATTAGCATAATATCCAATAGGTAGTTTTTTTCATCCTCACCCTCCTTCCGCCCTCCACCCTTAAGTAGGTCCTGGTGTCTACTGTTTCCTTCTTTGTGTCCATGTGTAGTCAGTGTTTATCTCCCACCTATAAGTAGGAACATGCAGCATTTGGTTTTCTGTTCCTGCATTAATTCACTTAGGATAACGGCCTCCAGCTCCACCCACGTTTCTGCAAAGAACATAATCTCATTCTTTTTTATGGCTGCATGTCATTCCATGGTGTATACGTACCACATTTCCTTGATCCAGTCAACAATTGATGGGCATCTAGGTGAATTCCATGTGTTTGCTATTGTGAATAGGGCTGCAATTAACATACTCATACAAATGTCTTTACAGTAGAGCAATTTCTATTCCTTTGGATATATACCCAGTAATAAGATTACTGAACTAATTTACATCCCCTCCAGCAGTATATAAGCATTCTCTTTTCTCTGCAACCTCTCCAGCATCTGTTACTTTTTGACCTTTTAGTAATAGCCATTCTGACTGGTATGAAATGGTATCTCACCATGGTTTTGATTTGCATTTCCCTAATGATTAGTGATATTGAGCATTTTTTCATAGGCTTTTTGGCCACTTGTGTGTCTTCTTTCGAGAAGTGTCTGTTCATGTCCTTTGCCCATTTTTCAATGGGATTGTTTTTTGCTTGTTGATTTGTGAAGCAAAATCTTAAGGAAGGAACGAAGCACATCAGAAATGGCAAATATCTGATAAATGTATAGGACTATGTATTCCTCTTAATTTCTTTAGACTACATATAACTGCTTAAAGCAAAAACAATAATAATATTTTGTTAGGGTTTATAATGTTTATAGATGTAATACATATAGTAACTAAAATATACATTATAGGGATGGGAATAAATGAACCTACATAGTTAAAAGAGTTCTACATTTCATGTGACAATATTAATTCTAAATAGACAATGAAAAATTACAGATGTATATTATAAACCCTATAGCATCCACTAAAATGTAATACAAATAGATACAACTAAAAACCTAATTTATCAACTTAAATGTAATTCTAAAAAAATATGTAAATAATCGAAAAAAGAGACCAGTCTAACAGAGAAAATGTTGTCCTCTTTGAAGGAGAAATTTCCCCAAAATGTTCTAGTTTCTTTTGTAATCCTCAAGAAAGAACATTGTATCTCTGAAACTAAAACCAATAATACAGAGAAAGCAATATAAAAGAAGACTTCAGGAGGAATTAAAAGAAACAAATCATTATTGTGATAATTAAAAACAGTCATAAAACAAATAACAACAGATTAACTGAAAGACAAAACTGAAAACACTGAAATTAGAGAAAACAGAAAGGTCAGTGACATCTGTAGGGGGCCTGGGGACAGTACTAGAGGACAACCCTGAGAAATCTTACCTAGAAATAATAAGGATCCTGGAAAGCAGGATTGAACAGGGGAACAAGTTGAGCTATGATGCTTCTCACTGTCTGCTTCACAGGAAGTACTACCTACAATACCTTAAAATAAAAAATAATTGCTATTCACCTTTTTTAAAAGTAAAAGTAATGCCACAGGTAACTCTTAAGTCAGAAAATGGTAAATAATCTGAAAGGTAATAACAAAAGTAATCTGTCTATAAAATCTCAGATTTTATTAATGAAATCCAGAACTTGGGAGAGGAAATATGAAGGAAGTAAATGAATGATAAATTTCTCATCCAACACAGTGAATACATATTTATTTATTTCTAAATAAAGCTATAAAATATAATCTTGTTTGAATCTTACAGTAAAAATAAACTGAAAGGAAACTTTAGGTGTCACTGAACTTCAGAAAATTATTTATTAAAAAAAAAAACTATTTCATCCAAAAATTTGTCTTTGAAGTTAAGGAAAACAATTTAAGAAAAAACATGGGCCGGGCTTGGTGGCTCACACCCATAATCCCAGCACTTTGGGAGGCTGAGGCATGCAGATCACCTGAGATCGGGACTTTGAGACCACCCTGACCAACATGGAGAAACTCCGTCTCTACTAAAAATACAAAAAATTAGCTGGGTGTGGTGGCACGTGCCTGTAATCCCAGCTACTCGGGAGGCTGAGGTAGGAGAATCGCTTGAACCCGGGAGGCAGAGGTTGCAGTGAGCCAAGATCGCACCATTGCACTCCAGCCTGGGCAACAAGAGCGAAACTCAGTTTCAAAAAAAAAGAAGAAGAAAAAGAAAGAAAAAGAAAAAACATGAAGGGGTTTAAGTGATTGTGTGAAGAGTCTTTCAACATGTGCTTAATGGGCATAAGTTTACGTTTTCAAAAGGCAATACTTAATCAACTGTCTTTAAGCATCTGAAGATACTACTAGGCCTAAACAACAACAGAAAAGTTTTTATTTTTAAAAACTTTGAACCCATGGAGGAGATAAATAGGGACAAGCTCCTATGAAAAAGAAAATAACCTATAAAAAAGACAAATTAGTTTCAAACAGGAAAACTAAATACATCACAGGAATATGATTAAATTTAGTAATTATGACAAGCCTAAAGAAAGTATACACGAATACCAAGCATTAGTTGTTCCTCTTCATCTTTCTGAATTATCTGAAATTTTGCTTTGTTATTTCAGAAAATACTGCTTTTTCATTTCCATCAATTGCTCATATCATGCAGTATAATTTACTTCGTTTTCATAACATAAATTTCTTATATGCATTTTCAGTTTTCTCTGAGTTTCTAATTGTATTTCTTTGTTGTTGCTGCTGGTGATACTTTTCATTTATAGAGATTTGTTGTTGTTGTTTTAACCTTCCTCTCACCAATAGTATACCTTGTACTTGCAGGTTCTTAACAATTCATAATACATCTATCTGCCTTCTCTTTGAAGACAACTTTCATGACTTTTCTTGTTTTATGTTATAATCTGAACTGTTTAATTTTAGGCCTTCTAATCAATTGTTACAGTAGAATTTCTTTTTATCTCATTCAGGGATTAGTTCCAATAGTTATTAACTCTCATAATGAGGGGAAAAATAAGTTAGTCAAAACTGACTTAGAACTGACACAGATATTAAATAGGCAGGTAAGGATATTGACATCATTATTGTTACTGTATTCTTTATATTTAAAAAGTTATGTAGAGGCATGCAAAAGAAAAAAAACACATTGAATTTTTAGACATAAAAATCATGATATATGCTATGGTTTGAATGTGTCCCCCAAAGTTTGTGTGTTGGAAATTTAATCCCCAATGCAACAGTGTTGAGAGGTGGGACTTTAAGGGCTGATTAGGTCATAAGGGCTCTGTCCTCATGAATGGATTAATGTTTCTATCACCAGAGTGGGTTAGCTATTTTGAAAGTGGCTTCATTATAAAAGCAAGTTCAACCTCCTCTTGCTCTCACCCTTTCTTGCTCTTCTGCCTTCCGCCATGAGATGACACAGCACAAAGGTCTTTGCCAGATGTCTGTGCCACACTCTTGGACTTCCCGGACTCCAGAACTGTGAGCCAAATAAATTTCTGTTCATTATAAATTATCCAGTCTCAGGTATTCTGTCATAGCAGCACAGAATGGACCAAGACAATATGGGAGATGAAAATGTTGTTGGATGGAATTAATGGCATGTTAGACATCATGGAAGAAAAAATTAGTGAATTTCACATGAAAACAAAAACTATCCAAAATGAAACAGTAAGAATTTTTAAATTCTATATAACAGGTATAATTTTTTGCTAGGCATAGTGGTTCACACCAATAATCCCCATGCTTTGGGAGGTTGAAGTGAGTGTATCCCTTGAGGCCAGGAGCTCAAGCCAGCTTAGGCAACATAATGAGACACTGTATTTACAAAAATATATATTTTTAAAATTAGCTTGGCATTGTGGTATGCACCTGTATAGTCCTAGCTACTTGAGAGGCTGAGGTGGGAGGATCACTTGAGCCCAGGAGTTCAAGGCTGCAATGAGGTATGATCATGCCACTATATTCCAACCTGGGCAACAGAGCAAGACCTTGCCTCTAAAAAAACAAAAACATATTTATATGTTTTGTAAATTAAGTGTAGCGGTGTGTGTGTATTTATTTATCTATAGATACCTATGTATCTATAGCTATAGACAGATTGGGAAATAAAAGCTAGCCAATTAGAAAGAAATAAAACTGTCATAATTTTCAGATAACATGGTAATCTATGTATAAAATCTACACCAAAAAATCTACCCAAAAAAAATCCTACTAGAACTAAATAAGTAAGGTGCAGAATACGAAATCAATCTATAAAAAGCAATTGTATTTCTATATAATAGCAACAAGCAATTGGAAATTGAAATTATAAACCAGGCTGAGTGTAGTGGCTCACACCTGTAATCCCAGCACTTTGGGAGGCTGAGGTGGGCAGATAGCTTGACCTCAGGACTTCGAGACCAGGTGAGGCGGGAGGATTACTTGAACCCAGGAGGCTGAGGCTGCAGTGCCCCATGATTGCACCACTGCACTCCAGCCTGGGTGACAGAGTGAGACTCCATCTCCAAAAAAGGAAAAAAAAAAACACAGAAATTATGAAACAATATCATTTATAATAGCATTAAGAATAAGACATTTTCTTAAAGATACATCTGACAAAAGATATAAAAGACCTGTACCCTAAAACCTAAAAAATATTGCTGAGAAAAACTGAGACCTAAATAAATAGATTTACTTTTGTTTATGTGTTAAAAGATTCAATATAGATTTATATAGAAGATCTATATAACTTGATCTGTAGAATAAATGCAATCCCAATCAAAATCTCTGCAGACTTTTTGGTAGAAAATAAGAAGCTGGTTTTAAAGTTCATATGGAAATATTAAGGAACGAGAATAGCCTGACAAATTTGAAAAACAAGAACAAAGTTAGAGAGGTCTAACATCACCTGACTTGAAGACATATATAGCCACAGTAAACAAGACTGTTTGGTATTGGTGTCAAGATAGACAAATATATTAATAGAACAAAAGAGGAGTCCAGAAATATACCTAGATAGATATGGACACTCATTTTCGATGAAGTTGCAAAGGCAATTCAATGGTGAAAGAATAACTTTGCCAACAAAAGTTGGTAGAAAACATGAAAATTATTATGCAAAATATGAACTTCAACCCATGTCTTGTACTATAAACAAAAACAAACTCAAAAGAAATAATAAATTTAAGATTAAAACCTGATAATACTAAACTTTTAGAAGAAAATCTTTGTGACCTTGGGTTAGGCAAAGATTTCTTATATGAGACATCAAAACACAATCCATTAAATGGAAAGTATTAGTAAATTGTACTCTATCAAAATTTAATACTTATGCCCTTTAGAAGACACTATTGGCCAGATGCAGTGTCTTATGCTTGTAATCCCAGCATTTTGGGAGTCTGAGGTGGGGAGATTGTTTGAGGCCAGGAGTTCAAGACCAGCCTGGGCAACATGGCGAGACCTCTTCTCTACAAAAAAAAAAAAAAAAAAAAAAAATTTTTTTAATTAGCCAAGTGCACCTATAGTCCTAGACACTCAGGATGCTTAGGCCGGGGGATCGCTGAAACCAAGGAGTTTGAAGTTACAGTGAGTTACGATCATGCCACTGCACTCCACCTGGACAACAGAGCAAGATCTTGACTTAAAAAAAAAAAAGGAAAAAGTAAATAAAAGACTATTAGACAAGTTAGTGGGTGCAGCGCACCAGCATAGCACATGTATACATATGTAACTAACCTGCACAATGTGCACATGTACCCTAAAACTTAAAGTATAATAAAAAAAAAAGAAAAAAAGAAAAAAATAAAAATAAATTTAAAAAAGACTATTAGGTGCATAAAAAGACAGACATAGACTGGGAAAAATATATTTACAAAGCATATATTAGATAAAAGACTTGTATTTAGAACGTATAATGGACTCTCAAAACTCAATAATAAGAAAACAAACATCCAATATAAAATGGGGGAAGGATTTGAATAGATACTACACTAACACAAAGATATGGAGATGGTAAACAAGCACAAGAAAAGATGCCCAGCATCGTTATTCATTAGAGAAACGCAAGTTAAAACCACTAGACCTCAGGTCATATCTATTAGTATGACTAAAATTTAAATGACTGGCCATACAAGGTTCAGTAAGGATGTAGAGCTGGAACATTTATGCATTGTTGGTGGAAATGTAAAATAGTACAGCCACTTTAGAAAACTGTGTGGTACTGGTTTATACCTATCACAGGACCCAGTCATTCCATGCCTTAGTATTTATTCACAAGAAAAGAAGCATAAATCCCACCAGGCATGGTGATGTGAGCATGTGGTCCCAGCTACTAGGTAGGCTGAGGCAGGAGGATTGTTTGAGCCCAGGAACTGCAGGCTTCAGTGAGCTATGATCATGCCATTGCACTCCAGCCTGGGTGACAGAGTGAGACCCCGTCTCTAAAAAAATAAAAATGAAAAAGTAGAAATAAAGTAAAATAAAAAGAAGCATATATCCATACAAAGATTTGTGTATGTATGTTCATAGCTGCTTTATTTGTAATAACCAAAAACTGGAAATTGATAAATAATGGGATACTACTTAGCATTAAAAAGAAGTGACTACTGATACAAACAACATGAATAGGAAATTACTAGGCCAAGTGAACAACAAAAACAGTTCCTATGTTACGGATAGCAATCCCTCTGCCAACATGGCCATCCTGCTCAAAATGTGCTCTTGTTGCACAAAGGTATTCCAAAGGTTACCTAGAGAGTCTAGAGTACAACAGGTATATTCCTTCCCTGGTTCTGTATACTTTTGTTTATACAGCCTAAAGTTGCACAGCTTTGAAGTTTTGTGGATGTCTCCTATATTTTAACCAGATTGCTCCTTTTAAGCTTGTGATCCAATCAACCATTCTCTGCCCAAGTCTTAGTCCCACAGTATTGTCAAGCCGGATCTCCCCAACTTCTTCTTATGTAAATGGGTGTTTTATATGTAAGTAAGATATTTTATAAGTTTAAAGTCTTATAATATTATAAATATAAATGCTTTATATTTAACCCTTTGGTATCCTAATTGCACTATTCAAAATGGCAATATACTGGCTACCCCTCCCCACTTTGAATGAACTTTAAACCTGAAAATAAAACTATATAGATGTTCAGTCACAAGGCCAATAACGTTTAAAAGTCAATTTATGTCTTATTCTCTCTATTTGCCATCTTCTGTTATTACATAAATAATAAAGAGTACTATGGAACTTAGTTGCTTTGCTTAGCTAAATTGTGAATAATGGAAATATTTTCATAATTTTATACATTTTACTATGTGATTTCAGACATTTAACATTTTCTCATTTTGATATTCACACTTTTTCCAGGGTATGTCAATCATCCTTGGCTATGCATAGTGAATCAGTACAATATCAGCCAGACATCCCTTACCTAGACTAGGGCTGAATGTACCTAGTCTTCATTTTATGGAGATTCTTTTAAGTATCTCCCAGTTGTTGAAAATGAGACAAAAACTAAACAAAAATAACTTACAGGAAATCACACTCTTCTCCTTAGAATTCAGGTACTCTACCTCAAGAAAATGTTTTACTGGTATTTAGTAGCAGATTTATAAGCTCCTCCATGGCTCCCATCTTCATCCACCTTTATTCTATTCCTCCCTGTTCCCCAAAAGGCCTAAAGTACTTGATAAGCCTCTGGCTCAGCCTCAAGTGGTTCCTTTTGAAAGAAAATCACTGATGAGTAGATTAGAGCTGATTGAAGATACCTGCCTGGGGGAATTTCCTATGAATTGAGAGCAGACAAGCTTCCCGTAAGTCTGGAGAAAGTTGTTTCTCCTTCACTGTTGATGACTAAGAAAAGCAGAATTTTCTCTGAACATTAGTAACAAATGACTTGACAGCAGGAGACTTTGTTTTACTTAAGTGGTTTCAAAAAAAAAAAAAAATCTTTGCAAGATGCCCAAGACCATGTCAGTCTTTCCCATGGAAGGAAGCAATGGTAGGAAGGGATGCAAGACAATACAGCACACTTGCCTTCAGAGTAACAGAAAAAGGCGGGTAGCAAGTCCAAGTTCATCACATGAAAAACTAATGACAGAATGTACCACATTTGTGTAAGATCAGAAAAGTCGGCATGCTCAACACATCTTTGAGATGTTGAGGACAGAAAGCTTAATGGATTCAGGATTCAGGGCACCTGCAGTGGCTCACACTTGTAATCCTAGCCTTTGGGAGGCCGAGGTGGGTGGACTACTTGAGGTCAGGAGTTCAAGACCAGCCTGGCCAACATGGTAAAACCCCGTCTCTACTAAAAATACAAAAATTAGCCGGGCATGGTGGTACACGGTTGTAATTCCAGCTACTTGGGGGGCTGAGGCAGGAGGATCGCCTGAACCTAGGAGGCCAAGGTTGCAGTCAGTGGAGATCATGCCACTGCACTCCAGCCTGGGTGATGGACTGAGACTCTGTCTCAAAAAACAAAAACAAACAAAAAATGGATTCAGGATTCAGAGGGTCCTACTATGGTGTGCCTTCTGAAACATAGCTAGACAAAACCACCAGTTGGATGGAAACAAAATGAGGAAACTGAATCTAAAACACTGACTTACAGGACTACAAAAATCACATTGGCTGTGTTATTTGGGGATATCATTTAGGATATGCCATCATAGTCCTAGAGGTAAGCAGGGATAGCAACTGATTGACACCTTGACCATATTTTATGAATTAAAAATCAGAGCACATGATCAGACAGATGTGAATTTATTTATAGGATAGAATATTTTAAATTAGAACTGACCAAGAGTGCAGAATGTGTAATGACAAAGGAATAAGGAAACAGGAAAATCTAAGTTATATCTACTCAGTGAATGAACATCATCAAAAAAAGCCAAATGAAACTGTTTTATATTTGCAAACTATATGTGTGTGCTCATGTATACTCAAAAACTTTAATAAATAAAAATTAAGATGTTTATTTTAATATTTCCTTTTCTGGAATTTGATATTCCATTCCTCTATGTCTTTAATGTAGGAAGGAATCTAAGTCCCATTATTAAATGCACAAAATCCCTAAGAAGGAGAGATAGCGTTTGGGGAAAAAAATGTGATTAGGATGCAAGGAAGGTATGTTATCTCCTCCTCTTCCTCCCTTACTCTCCATTCATAGGAGGTGGCCATATGCAATAGAAATGCTCTATATCTGCATAGTAGGTGAAATAGAAGTCCAGTATAGCCCCAGTTGACTCAGGAACTGCTCTGAGAAGCAGGGAGAGGGAGCCTTCAGGCTGGAAGAGCAGCCCTTATTTATTCAGGTCAGACGCTGTCTCTGACCCCATGGATAAGCATTCAACTGTTGGCTTGCCTCCATTTCTCATCTCATTCTGGTTGTTGTAGAGCTGGCAACTGTGAGAAATCTAGCACAGTATTTTTCAAACTATATGTTATGAAAGTTCTGTTGTTGTTGTTGTTGTTGTTGTTGTCGTTGTTGTTTTGAGACGGAGTCTCACTCTGTCGCCCAGGCTGGAGTGCAGTGGCGCGATCTTGGCTCACTCCAAGCTCCGCCTCCCAGGTTCAGGCCATTCTCCTGCCTCAGCCTCCCAAGTAGCTGGGACTACAGGCGCCCGCCACCACGCCCAGCTAATTTTTTGTATTTTTAGTAGAGGCGGGGTTTCACCGTGTTAGCCAGGATGGTCTCGATCTCCTGACCTCGTGATCTACCCGCCTCGGCCTCCCAAAGTGCTGGGATTACAGGCATGACCCACCAGGCCCGGCCTTCTTTTTTTGTTTGTTTTGTTTTGTCGCTTTTTTTTAAATTTCCAATCTACCTATAGGAAAGACGAAGTGGGGTAAAAGGGGGCATATAAGCCTAAAATTTAAATATTAAGTTCAACAGAAATAAAAGTATTTTGTCAAATTGCTATAAGTGTTTCTGATACTTACTCTCAATTTTTGTATCTACCTTATCTCAGACCCAGTTACAAAGTTTGCTTATCGCATCAATTGATAAACCACACTTTGATCTCTGGAGACTGTTCCATTGACAATTGGAATAAGTAGACATAAAATTTCATTAGTCAACCTCAAGCTTTAGGATTGGAAGCTCGATGAACATCTGTCATAAAATAGTCATCTGGGAGAGGTAATTGTTGTATGAGCTATTGAAGGCAAGTGTAATCACCAACAGAACTGAGGTTGAAGCAAAGAAAAAGACAGAGAACAATAAGGAGATGAAGAGAAATGGATTTGGAGGAGCACAGAGAAAAAATGTATCAAAATGTATGACCTACTTCAGAAATAAAAACAAGCATTATCAAGGCATTGAGAAATTGACTATACAGACCCTAGCCAGACAATACATAAATACAGAACTTTGGCCCACAATCTACAGCAAGCTACCCAGGAAACCAACCCCTTATCTACAATAAGCAACCAGGGAGCCAGACTGCTATAAATCAGACTTGCAGGGAGCCAGACTGCTATCTTCAGTGACAATCCAAGAAGCAAAACAATAATTTTCATAGCAATTGGTCCCAAGTGGCCAAGACTTGATTAATAACTGACAGCTTCCCTAATTTTTGTCCTCACTTCCAACTTAGGCCCAGTCAGAGAAAGCAAAATATGCACCTCTAACCAATCACAGAGGATAGTCTGCTTCTATAATAGTTAACCCACAGCTTCCCCATGCCACCAGCCTCCAATCAGGGCATACCTGAAGCCTTCCCTTTTTTTCCATTATAAAGCTTCCCCCTCCTCTCTCTGCCATTGAGCCTTTGCCAAAACACAAGTGATGATATCTGACTCCCTTACTATAGCAAACTCCAAATAAATAGCCTTTGCTGTCTTATTTGGTTGGTCTTCATTTATTTCTACAGCATGTTTCCTCTAATTGATTGATCCTCAATGCTCTTATAGAACTTCCTTAAGCATTTCAGAGAAACCAGCACACTCCTAATAACTGGATCCAATTCAATCACTATTTTGGCAGCTCCCTTTCCCTCATGTCCCACAATTTATCCATTGATAAGTCCTCATATATAACCCAATGTATTCACTCTTCCCCATCTCTAGTACTACCAGTGGAGTCCAGGGAGCCGCCAACTTGCTTCTGAGTTACCGTAACAGCCTCCCCACGCCCTGGCTTGCTCCTGCTGTAATCTACTCTCACACAGAAGAAAGAGGTACCTGCATATCAAATACATCATTTCTCTGCTTAAACCTTCAAAGGGCTTCCATCCCACTTAGAATAAAATGCAAACTCCTACACCATCTGGCATCTTCTCTCCCCAGCCTCACCTTGTTCCACCTCTCTTGTCATCCACTACACCCAGCAACACTGGCCTTTTCAAATGTGCCAATCGTGTTCCCATCTCAGGGCCTCTGCACAGCTGGGAATACTCTTCCCACTGACCTTTGCATGGTTGGCTGCCCCTTGTCTTTCAGATATGAGCTTATCTGTCACCTCTTCAGAGAAGCAAAGAAAGCACCAAGTCTACCATAGTCAGCCATTCACTGTCACCCAATTCTACCTCTCTGCATAATGTTCACCATTATCTGAGACTTTCTCGTTTTACTTGGTTTTATTCTCCACCTCCCTGTACCAGAGCAGAGATCTATCGGTCATGTTTATTCACTGTATTCTCTAGGCCCAAAACAGGCCTGTCATAGAATTAATTCTCAATAAGTATTTGTTGAACAAATGAACAAAGGGGTTCATGAATAAATGACTCACTGAACTGCCAGAGACTTTGGACTCTGGTAGGTAAAACTATTCTCTTTTATCATGCCCTAGCTTGAACGTAACTCCCATACCCTATAAGGCCCAAATCAATCCCCCGCTTCTCTGGAGAGTCTTCCTTTTCTACTCAGATGATCTGCCTTTTCCTTTTCCATACACACAGCTCTGACTGTTCAAAAGATTCATTTGGATTTGATCATATCCTACTTTGGGGTCTCCCTTCTAGTCCTGTTAAACTCTTTCCTTGCTTCTTAACTTAGGCAGATGTGCATGTTCTACCCTCCCAAACACATTGCTTTGTACTTCCTATAAAACAGTACCATGACATAGTGGAAACTCAGTAACTAGTTGTGTTGAATAAATTTTTAAATGCATATCAGGTAAAATTAGTATAACTATTGCTAAGCTGTTCAGGGCAGAGCCAACAACAGCATAAAGTCAAAAGAGATCTCAGAGCACTTCCTCAGGTCCACATGGCTTCCCTGTTGGGACAAGCCCATGTTTCCCATTTTCTGTTTATTGGTTTGCTCTGTAAAAAAAAAAAAAAAAAAAAAAAAAAAAAAAAAAAAAAAATATATATATATATATATATATATATATATATATATATATATATATATATATTATCCTTTTTCCTCTCTAGGATGCATTCTGTGCTCCAAAGGCAATAGTTATGCATGGATTGGGATAACATTCACTGAGGACATGCTTATAGGCCCAGTGGGCAGCCAGCCAGCAATTGCAGCTTGAATGACATATTTTTGCTTGGCAAAGAAAGAGCTGCTTCACCACCCCTGTGCTCAAATACCAGTTCACCTGGTTGGTGAAGGCTTCTTGCTATTTTATTGAAATTATACTTCTGCAAACTCATATATTAGTTGCTCCCCTAGAGTTTGGTTTGTGATACTGGCTCTATCTAAAGTATGTAAAAGAGCTAAAATTATGTTTTTATGAGTGAATTTTCAAAAAGAATCAGCAATTCCACAGGTTACTCCGGCTTTTTTCCCCATCTGCTGTGACAGCAGGTGTGATTTCACAAGCCCACTCCCATCAATCATCCTTTCCAACCTGTCTCTGATGCCTGACAAGGTGTTTATGTGCATAACATGGAAACCATCACAAGATCTTGCGAACAAATAAGGCTGCCTTTCAACAATTCTTTGAAGGAAGACTTCCATGGAAACCTAGGTGCTAGGTTCAAGGGTTCAGGCTGGGGAGTCATTCAATTGCCACAGTGTCACCTTCTTCCAGGGGTTGCAAACTCAAAGCCCTTCGGGGCAAGACAGGTACTAGAAAGGTATGAAGCCTCCTAGTGTCAAACAACAAGGAGTGGAGAAAACTGTGACCAAACTGAATGGTGCATGCTCTATCTAAAAAGTATTTGCATTCACTTTCCATAAAAATAGGCTGGCTAAACATAAGTTTTCTACAGGCATAATGTGGCCACCAATTTTCCATCTCTATGCCTTTATTAAGTCAGTTTCCTAGTCTGCGGCCCAAATACTTAAGCTTTTCAAAGGATCTTAGAATTCATAAAATCATGGACAATTGGAGCTGGAAATGATCATAGAATTTATTTATTCCAACTTCATCTTTTCCAAATAAGGGAACTGAGGCTCAAAAGACTGATAAACCAGCCAAAGCAAATGCAACAAGTATATAGCAAGGATATAGACAAAACTCCAGTCTTCAACTCCAAGTCTGATGATCTTTCAGCTACTTGCCATTGCTTTTCCTAATGTGTTGGTAATAATCTTACTCTTGATGTGTGCTTAATATAAATAATCCCTTTAAAGATATATTGCACTGATATTAATAGTAGTAAAAGGATCAAACGATATAGGCTGGATTAAAATGTTAAATCAACTGAATAAAAGAGAATTTAGTCATTAAAGATGATAACCATAATATAAAATGTGTACAAATATTATTTATAATTACTTTACATGGTAAAGATAGACTATAAAATTAAGATTTCAACTATGTAAAATATACGTACAAGTGGACAAAGACTAGAATAAAATTTGCAAAATGAAACTGGCATGATTATGTTGTTATTCTTTTTAAAATCATTGTAATGCTGCTATATTATTCTTTGGAGTGTTTCAGGTAATTCCCTTTGACAACATTACTTAGGGTTCATTTTAATCTTAAGTGTAGCCATTTGTCACTTCCTACAGTCTTCCTTGCTAGCAAAAATTCCACATTTTATTCAGGTGTCCCCTCTTTTCCTTTATGACTCAGGAATGTCCTAATAAATCTGTCAGCAGCAGTGCTCCTATTTCCTTTGCTGCTAATTGATTCAAGTATGGACATGTGATGTAAATCTGGCAAATGAAACGTAAAGAGAACTTGCCAAGGGACTTCTGGGAAAGAACTCCCTTAATGTTAAAAACAAGTCTCATTCTCCACCTCTGGATGTTGCACTGAGAATATGAATACGTGTAGCTGGTGCAGCCATATTGTGAACATGAGGCAAGTCAGCCCCAGGATAAGATCTATAAAAGCAGAAGTGTTGAAATGGGGCTGGGTGTGGTGGCTCACGCCTGTAATCCCAGCACTTTAGGAGGCCCAGGCGGGCGGATTACTTGAGGTCAGGAGTTCAAGGCCAGCCTGGGCAACATGGTGAAACCCCATCTCTACTAAAAATACAAAAATTAGCTGGGTGTTGTGGCACACGCCCGTAGTCCCAGCCACTTGAGGGGCTGAGGCACAAGAATCACTTGAACTTGAGGCGGAGGTTGCAGTGAACTGAGATCTCACCATTGCACTCTAGCATGGGTGACAGAGAGAGACTCCATCTCAAAAAAAAAAAAAAAAAAAAAGGGAAAAAAAGAAATGTTGATCCCTAATGAATTCGTGTGAAGCCATCTGCCTCTGGATTTTTTATGTGAGATAATAAACTCTTTATCATTTCATTCAATTGAGAAGGGGTTTTCTGTTATTTGCCAAAGCCCCAGCCGAAATAATAAACTTGATTCTCCAAGTGCACTTGGATACCTATATGGAGAGGGGAGATGCTCAGGTATTTGCTTCTCTTTTTCTCTTCCTAGGGCACAAGGAGCATGATTGTGTTGAATTATCTAGTGTCTCATTTCACGAGTTTGGTCATAATGAATATGAGGCACAATCCATTTGCCTGAGTTACCTGCTATGGTTCTATTAAGTACCCTAATATGACTAGAACCTTATGAACATCAGCACTTTTATATGGCATTTTTAAAACATAAGTAACAGTTTGAGCCAATTTGAGAGAGACATAGGGAAAATAAGATAGACAAGAGGAGAAAATGGACATTTCCAGGGATAGTGAAGCCATTCCAATAAAGCTGAGTTTTTGAACTCCCAAGAGTTCTAGTGATACCAAATGCCCTTCTTGGATAGTAATATTTGTCCCTTTTCAAACCAACTACTTTGTAATAGGCTGTCATTTTGCTTTACTCTGGGAATGACCACATTTCAATCATGGCAGTGCAGTAGGATATCTGAACATCAATGACAAGATTGCAAAGGAGTTGTGGAAGCAACAAAAGCTTCATTGAATTCAAGATTATTCTCATTAACATACAAAGTCCTACAAGTCCTGTCTGCTGGGGAGAACTGAACTTTTGAAGATTAGACAGTGTAACCCACAGAAAATGGATTGCAGATATACTTTATACATGCTGAGTATCTTGAAAAACAAGATATGAAGATAAAGCTGCTCCTTTGTGCTCTAGGGCAGAGATCAAACCATTATAAAGGCACTTAACCAAGAGAAGCACAGTGTGTGAACACACAAACCCCAACTTACGACAAAAATAATGATCGTTTATTTCTAATCTTAGAGAACATTTTTTAGACATTTGCAAAAAAAGAAAAGAAAGAAAACACATGACCTGTTCTTTGATGGAATGTTGTCAACTATGAAAAAGTTAAAGTGCCTCTACTACTCCTCCATCTTATTCCCCATGATACATGTCCCTAAATGCCTAGAATAAAACAGTTGAAACATGTCTCACCCAGTCTAGAGTCTCCAGGCAACTTTTGAGCCTCTAGATCTTCACTTTCTCAGACATTTCTACTTCCATCATAATAACACTTCCATATCTCTCTCATCTTCCATCTTCTATACACACAGTTCTCTGATTTCCAGGGGGAGCACTAAAAGCCAATGGAAAAAAGGGGATGATTTCAGAAATATGGTGGAGTAGGAAGCACCAGGAATCTGTTTCCCCAGCTAGACACAATTGCACTGGCAGAGTCTGCCTGATGTAATTATTTTGGAACTCTGGAATCTATTGAAAGCTTGCAACTTCCAGGAGAAGCCTTGAATGGTAAATTAAGTTTATTTTGGTCATGTCAGCTCTTAGCATAATAGCAATTACTCATTCTCCACTTCCAGCAATGTGGCATACAGCTATGTCTGAATTCTGGGAGCAGCTTGCAGGAGCCAGAGTGGGCAAAAAGAACCTTGTCCTCCAAATAGAGGGGAACTATGGTCTGATAATTGATTGCTCCTTCTGATCACAGAGATTCAGACAAAGGAGTATGCTACCACGGTTGTTGCACCTCCCCCACTGTTATAAGCCCCTCCCTGTCTGGCTGTAGTAACTTCAAGAAGATTTAGAGCCAGGTGCAGTGGCTCATGCCTGTAATCCCAACACTTTGGGAGGCCAAGGTGGGCAGATCACCTGAGGTCGGGAGTTCAAGACCAGCCTCACCAACATGGAGAAACCCTGTCTCTACTAAAAATACAAAATTAACCGGGCATGGTGGCACATGCCTGTAATCCCAGCTGAGATTGGGAAGCTGAGGCAGGAGAATCGCTTCCATTTTTTAAAAATCTACCTTTATTTTTCTATTTCCACCTTTTGGAAGTCAGACATTAAAGACTAGGACATTAAAAAACAATGCATATACAGGGAAAATTAGAAAGTGACTGCACTTACCTAGGGAAAGGTGCAGATTTAGAAAAGAAACCTTAAATTTGCACGTCAGGCTGATCCTTGACACAGAAACAGCACTTAACATTTTTTTAAAGTAGTAAACAAAACACTAACAAAAAAATATGCAAGCCCTGGAGAAGAGGGAGAATCTGATTTACAGAGTTACCACATTATTAACTTCAAATGTCTGTTTTTCAACAAAAAATTACAAGACACCAGCCTGGGCAACATTGTGAGACTCCACTTCTATAAATAAATAAATAAAATAACATTTTCCAGGCATGGTAGCCTGTAGTCCTAGCTACCCAGGAGGCTGAGGGAGGAAGATTGCTTGAGCCCAGGAGTTTGAGGTTACAGTGAGCTATGATCATGCCACTGCACACTAGCCTGGGTGACAGACCAAGCCCATCTCTTAAAAAAAAAATAAAATTACAAGGCACATGAAGAAACAGAAAAGTATGGCACATTCAATTTTTTTTTTAATTAATCAACCAAAACTATTCCTGAAAGAGTCTCAGTGGCAGATCTACTAGACAAAGACTTTAAAACACCTAACTTAAAGTCTCAAAGAACTAAAAGAAGATGTGGGAAAAGTCAAGAAAACAACCTATGAATAAAATGGAAATATTAGCGAAGAGATAGAAACACTAAAAAGAAACCAAAAAGATATTCTGAAGCTGAAAATATAATAACTAAAATTTTAAACTTCACTAGACAGATTTAAAGGCAGATTTAAGCAGGCAAGAAAGAAATCAGCAAACTTGCAGATACAATGAAAATTATCAGTCTGAGGAACAAAAAGAAAAACGATTGAAGAAAAGTGAACAGAGCCTAAAAGACATAGGAGACACCATCAAGTGAACCAACTAACACACTGTGACAGCACCAGAAAGAGAAGGGCTAGATAAAGGGTAAGGAGAATATTTGAAGAAATAATGGCAGAAAAGTTTCTAAATCTGATGAAAGACATAAACATCCAAGAAGCACAATGAACTTCAAGATGAACCCACACCAAGACTCACTATAATCAAACTTCTGAAATATAAGGACAGTGAATTATGAAAGCGCAAAAAAAGAACTGATTCATCATATGCAAGGGCTCTTTGGTAAGAATATTAACAAATTTCTCATGAGAAACTTTGGCCCATCAGGTAGTGGGACAACGTATTCAAAATGCTAAAAGAAAAAAATACCTGTCAACCAAGAATTTTATATCAGAACAATTGTCCTTCAAAAGTGAAGGAGGTCAGTTGCAGTGACTCACACATATAATCCCAACATTTTGGGAGGCCAGGGTGGGCAGATCACTTGAATTCAGGAGTTCGAGACCAGCCTGGCCAACATGGCAATACCCTGTCTTTACTAAAAATGCAAAAAATTAGCCAGATATGGTGACATGCACCTGTAGTCCCAGCTACTTGGGGGACTGAAGCAGGAAAAGAAGGAGAACATAAGACATTGCCAGATAAACAAAAGCTGAGGAGCATTACCACATTACCACTAGACTTTCCCTGCAAGAAATATTCAAGGGAGTCCTACAAGGTGAAATGAAAGGACATTAGACAGTAACTTGAAGCTGTATGAAGAAACAAAGAGCTCAATAAATGCAAGGACCTTTATAAAAGCTAGTAGTATTTTGCTATCTACATAATTTAAGAGACTAATACATTTAAAAGAAAACAATCATTAGTCTAAAAGCTAACATTATTGTAACTTTGGTTTGTGGCTCCATGTTTTGTTTTTTATATAATTTAAGAGACTAACGCATTTAAAATAATTATTAGTTTATGTTTGGTGTTACACAATATATAAAGGTATAATTTTATGACATTAACAACCAAAAAGAGTGAAGAAAGAATAGTAGAGGACCAGATATTTTATGTTATTGAAGTTAGACTGGTATAAACTCCAGTTAGAGTATTATAACTTTAGGATGTTAAATGTAATCTCCACTGCAACCAAAAAGAAATAGTTAAGGAATATAAACAAAAGGAAATAAGAAAGGAGATTAAACATTTCACCACAAAACATCAACTAAACACACACAAAAAAGAGTCATGCAGAGTGAGATGTGGGAAAGCTATAAGGCATATAGAAAACAAATAGCAAACAACAGAAGTAAGTCCTTCTTTATCAGTAATTTCTTTAAATGTAAATGGATTAAACTACCCAATCAAAAAACAGAGATCAGCAGAATGGATAAAAAACACATGATTGCTGGATATACTGTCTACAAGAAACTAACTTTAGATCCAAAGACACACACAAAAATAATAAAAAAGAGAAAAAGAAAACAAAGATACAATAGGTTGAAAGTGAAAAGATGGAAAAGGATATTCATGCAAATAGTAACCAAAAGAGAGCAGGAATGGCTAGACAAATATCAGACAAAAATGAATTTAAGTCAAAAAATTATGAAATAAAAAAGGGTATTATATATTAATAAAATATTTAATACAACAAGAAAATAGAGCAATTTTAAACATTAACATGCCTCATAACAGACGATCAAAATACATGAAGCAAAAACTGGTAGAATTAAAGAGAAAAATATACAATTCTACATTAATAGTTGGAAACTTTAACATTCCACCTTCAATCACAGATAGAACCACCAGACAGAAAATAAGTAAGAAAATAGAGGATATAAACAACACAATAAACCCACTAGACCTAAAAGACATATACAGAACACTCTACCCAACAACAATGATATGCACATTCTTTTCAAGTACACATGGGACATTTTCCAGGATGGGCCATATGTTAGGCCACAAATTGTGTCTCAATAGATTTTAAAAGACAAATGTCATACAAAGTCTTCCCTGATCATAATGGGAGGAAATTAGAAATCAATAACAGAGTAAAACTGGAAAACTCACATATTTGTAGAAATTAAACAACACACTTTTAAAGAATCAGTGGATCAAAGAATAAATTACAATGGAGGCATAATGCTCTTGAGGATGTGAAGATATTGGAACACTCATGCACTATTGATGGGAATGTAAAATGATACAGCTGCTGTGGAAAACAGTATGGTAGTACCTCAAAAAATTAGAAACAGAATTACCACATGAACCAGCAATTCCATTTCTGGATATATATCTAAAAGAGCTGAAAACAGGATCTCAAAAAGATATCTGAACACCTATGTTCATAGCAGTGTCATGCACAATAGCTAAAATGTGAAAGTAATTTAAGTGTCATCCATAGATGAACAGAAAAGCAAAATGTGGTACAATTGAATATTATTCAGCCTTGAAAAGAAAGAAAATTCTGACATATACTTCAATATCAATGAATTTTGAGAACATTATGCTAAGTGAAATAAGCCAGTCTGAAAAAGACAAATATAGTAGGATTCCACTTATATGAGGTACTTAGAGAATCGCTTAAACCTGGTAGGCTGAGGTTGCAGGGAGCCGAGATTGCACCACTGCACTGCAGCCTGGGTGACAGACGGAGACTCTGTCTCAAAAAACAGAAAAAGAAAAAAAGAAAAAATTAGATGATGATGGAGGGTAGTAAAAAACAGGAAGAAAATAGGTCGAAAAGTTAAGATAGAAGTAGAAAAGGGAGGTAACATGCAAGCACACAGAAGGGTAGATGCAGATATAAAAAACCACTATCATTTATTTATTTCCTTCCTTACTATTACTCTGCTACCTATAATGAGTGATTTGGTACAAATCTGATTGATTGAGAAGCCTCCTTCTGTTATTTCCTGCCATTCTCTTGTAGAAAGGAAGAAAGTGGTGCTCAATATTAGATAATAATAAGTGAGTTGAACTATTTTTCTTTCAAGAACTGTATTACAGCAGCAGAATGAATTCAAACATAAAACCTAACACTTTCTCAGATGGTTCTCATCTATCACCAGATCTCATTGGAGAGGAACAGGGGCTAAGGTTGAGAAGAAATAACCATACTACTGGACCACTCACTGCATTTGCCAACTTTCATTTACACTTTTACAACTTGAGGTCTGATTCCAGTGAAAAACATACTGAGAGGCTCTTGTTCAGACCAGATCAGTATCATGCAGTTTAAGATCATCATGATAATCAAATCTTCCAGTTCACAGTAAGGAATGCCAGTTATAATAAGACATGGAAACAAAATGTTCCTTTATTCATATAGGTCCTGCAAATTGCCTCCCCATAATGCTTCATTTAGTCTCCATACTGTCCTAGTGAGTGGGAACTCAGTGGGGGTTTAAAGTGGTGTACTCAATGGTCGGTGCTCAAGGCAAGGTTTCTTGTATCATTCCCTGGAACAGCATTTCAAAGACAAGAAGAGAATAGTCCCACCACAAACTTCACATCAATTTCCTTTCAAACAAAATCACTGAGTAACCATATGTATCAGAAGCCCACCATCTCTCTTCTCTTGCTCTAGACTTGCCACTTCAAGTTGAAAACATAAAGACTTTCCCTGATGAAGGGCCATTGGCTAGTACATGAGAATGTTCCAGCCATGCTATTGAGATGGAGTTTCTGGAAGGAAGATGAAAAAAATGATCTATATTTTTCTTGATTTCTGCCCAGGCATATCTCTTCTGTAGGCATCTTGGAGTTCTTCCCAGAAGGCATATCTCAATGCCAATCATGAATAAGGGTTCCACTTACTTAAAAGAATAAAATTGTTTGTTGTTGTATGAATGGGAAGTGCCAGATAAAAGGAGCAATTGCTAATCTTCACCTATAGTGAAGTCCAGAGAGAAAGGATCACTTCATTTACCCTGCTTCTCTTCTATTTCCACACCAATCCCTCCCCATTCACCACGGGGGTCAAGGAGTCTACCAGAGACAGCTAAGTCAGAACAGAGTTGACTGCCTAGATGTGTGATTTTAGGCATGTCAGTTAATTTTCCTGTCTCTTGTTCCTACACAGAATTAGAGTCTATATCACTCTTTATCTTCCTTTTACTTTTGCCAAAGGAAGGCACTAAAAACATGCTGAGGAATATCTTGCCAGCATTTACAACTGCCCTTGAAGAGAGAATATGTGTTCTCAACACAGAAAGTTAGAAATAGGGTTCTTCCTACTACATTCACGCATTATCAAGATAGCATTATCATTAGGCACAATGTCTTCAAATGTTAAAGAAAATAAACATAGGATACTGAAACGTGAAAACCATGTTGCTGAAAATGAGTGATATGAGGTTCTTAACTCCTTAGAAGGCCTTTGCTTCATTCTGCTCACATAACAGCCTGACATTACTCCCTGCTTTTATATGTCAGACAAGCCAAGTTTTAGCAGTGCATATTCTCTTGGTCCCCTTATCCAAGGGAAGAAAAGCCTTGGAGTTCACATTCAACCCAGGAGTTCTAGTCTTAGGGCATGTTCAATATAGTTATGTCATATAACTAATACATTTATGCCCAATAAGTTATGGGCAACCTTGGATATGGAACCTAACCTCTCTAACCCTCTGTATTAGTTTGCTAGGGATGCCATAACAAAATTCCACAGGCTAGGTGAATTAAACAAGAGAAATTTATTTTTGCACAGTTTTGAAGGGTAGAAATCCAAAATCAACAGGGTGGCAGGTTTGGTTTCTCCTGCAAGACCCCTCTCCTTGGCTTGCAGACAGATGCCATCTTCCTGTGTCCTTTCCTCTGTGTGCACATTTCTGGTGCCTCTTCTTTTTCTTATAGGAAACCAGTCATATTGGATTAGGGCGTACCCTCCAGGCCCCATTTTAACTTAACTCACACTTCAAAGATCTTACATCCAAATACAGTCATGTTCTAAGGTTAGGGCTTCAACACTTGAATTTTGGAATGACACAATTTAGTCCATAACAGCCTCTATAAAGATGGCATCATGAAGACTGATGTAATATAATTTACAGAATGATTTCTAAATCATCTAAATGATTTCTAAATATAATTATATACAAATGTATTATTAATATTATTATTACTGTCATAATTATTATTCTCTCTGACATATTATCAGTCTTTTGGGAAGTTTAAATTTTCTTCTTTTGGAAGACTATACCATAGTGGTTAAGAGAATTAGGTTGTTTAGATCCAAATCTTGGGTCAGCCACTTGTTAGCTGTGTGACTTTCAGACATTATACTAACCTCCATAAGCTTTAATTTTCCTATCCATAAATTAAGGATGGTAAAAAATAGTACCTGCCTTGTAGGGTTGTTGAAAGGATTAAAAGGAGCAATGCATTAAAATGACTGGCTAAAAGTACATGCTCAATAAATGATGGTTGTTATCAATAGCAGTATTTAGACCTTGTTGATGCTGCTGCCTTCTTTCTCAGCCAGCAGAGGTCTCCATCATAGTCAAACAAGAGCTAGCTTCCCTATAACTGCACCGCAGTTGCCAAGCACATCCACTGTTGGCAGAGAAAACAGCCGAAGAATTACCACACTGACCAAACAGAGGAGAAAAAAAAGAGAGAGAGAACAGGAAATGGTTAGGATGCCACAGTAAAATGTAAGATGAACAGGTGACCATAAGTTAGGATTGTTTATGTTCTACTGCTGACTTTCACTGATATTGTCCTTGGTTGCATCTCACTTTAGCTTGTTCCAAACCAGTTTTAAAAAAGGTATCTATGTATATATCACAGAGAAGCAGTAAGAATGAATTGGCAAATATTTATGAAGTCCTCTGAAAACAAGAAGTGCTGCTAAGTAAACATTTAACATTTCTTACAGTATTAAGCTTATTTCATCCTTATTGCCAGTTATACGCCATGCCTCAGTTTTGCTACCTTTGTAATATGTTTCCTTTAACCTTCTTTTCCCAGACAGGCTTACACCTCCAAGTTCAATTATCCTGTCAATTGTGTTTTAAATTGTACTGATTTCCATTAACCAATTGTGGTATCAATTTGATGATCTGTTCCTTCTGAACTAATCATCTTTACACCCACCAAAATCTGGAAAGGCAATTAAACTGAGGAAGGTGAGAGTTATTCAAGAGAAATTAAAGCATAAAGGTAAAAACAGTGGAAAAACTAAGATTAAAAAGAGCACTGAGGAGAAAATATACATGTACTAAAAAGCACAGTATCCGAGCAGATAGAGAGACAAAGAGGAAAAGAGAGCGAGGTAGAAAACGGATACTGCCTATGCCTACTCCATCCCTCTTTCAGCACCAAGGACAGAACCTCTGAGCGGCTGACCCAAGCAACGCTCAGTTTAGGGTCCCTCCCAAATCCTCTAAAGAAAACGGATACATTCGAAAGCAGCTATGAAACATGCACTAAGGTCTAATAGGGAAGCTGGAAAAGCAGCACTCAAGTAATTTCACCTTAGAGGCAAAAATGGGTGATTTCTTTCTGTTCATTTCATAGTTTCTGAGTCCTGAGAAAGGCAAAGTTTGCTTTGCTTGGGTATGTCTGCTGTCAGTAAATGGCTGCAGGAGCCGAAGTGGTAAACTCCTCGGTCTCCAGAAATCAGAAGAAAATTTTAGGGTAAGTAATTTTTCTTTTCGTTTCTAATTTAGGACATAGTATTTTCCTCAAGGTTATTTAATCAGCTTGGGGTTCTGTGGATCTCTAAAAATATGCATTAAAACTCAATATCCACTCTTATTTAAAAACCAAAGCCCTGAGGAAATGGTTTTCTTTTTCTTCTAAGTGGTTGGACAGCAGAAACCTTTTATATTCCTTTTTCTTTTATTTTTTCCCCCAAAATTGTATCCTTGTGGGCTCTAGAAGCTATATCAAGGAAGAATTAAAAGATAGAAAACAAAAAGCTGTTATTATTTCTAGGATTTGTATGGAAGTTGATTGTATTCCTCTTAAGGATTTTACTTAATTGTAAGGGTCTGTTATTTTAAACTCCTCAATTCAGCACCCTGGCAATTCAGAGCTGAAGGTTTGGAGAGGCACTATTTTCAATGGTCTATTTAAAGTCAGGCTGTTTCTAAGTCAGAATCCAATTATTCCCAGCAGAGATATGTAGTACTTGAGATGATGATTGTGTATGTTTCCTTTGATGATGGTATATGATTTTTAGGGTATTGTTATTTAATTGTGAGACTTCCATTACTTGCTGTAGCTTACTGGGGCAACAGAAGTCATTGCAATTAGGTATTTGTTCCAGTTCATGCATTTAGTTTAATTGAATACCATCAAAATACATGCATGAATAATAATGCAGCAATAGCAAAGTGAAACTTGGATTCTAAACTCATTGTGCATGACTATTTCACTTTATAGGTGAAGCCTTTGCTTACTGATACTAAAAGGTCTGTAAAATATCTGTCCTTAGATAAGAGTGAAGAACCACTGCTTGACATGGCATTAGGATGTCTTATAGTCAAGGAGAAGTAGAGACAATGTGAGAAAGATTCTTACTCGGCACTCATTTATTTGTAGTTGAATATTTTCAAGGGTCTGTATGGCTAGCAGTGAGCAAGGGTATTGAGCAAGGAAAATACTGACAGTATCCAAATGGGTGCCTAATATTAAAGCATCCATACAGAAGGCTATTTGTTATGGAATATACATTAAAGCAAATACCGAACAGTTTCTACTCAATATCAGATTCAATTTCTAATGCATTGAAGTTTGTCATCAATTAATATTTGCTTATTGATTGATTTATTTGCTGAGTTCCCCATTTTATCTCTGATTAGAATGGTAGGATGCTCAGTCTCTAGAGGTTGTGAAGGAAAGTGAGTATGCTCTGCTTTACTAGTCAGGTTTAATGAGGGGAAAAAACTGTTATCTTAGCTACTCAGTAACCAGCAATAGTTTTTCTCTGTACATTTACCAACAATGTAAATGTGCCCAAATACATAAATATGCTATGTATTGCAATCCATTTGTGAATCTTTTTCAGGAAAATAGGCAGCAATTTGCAAGAAGAAAGTAGCATAGAAATGCTAAAGACTATCTCTAATAATAATAACAATGTAACTCCCACTGGCTCTATGAGCAGTGTGCACCTGCATTACTTCACCAAGCCTAGTCAGATGATGTGACATGTTCACATACTCTGAACAAGTGAGATTGTAAAATTAGTACCCATTTCACATTTGTCTGCCTCACCCCAAAAAGTGGCATAGTTAAGTGGCATAGTTAAGAACATGAGCTCTGGAATCAGACAAATCTTGGGTTGAATCAACTCCATCATTTACTGGTTTGTGATCTCAGCAAGATATTTAACCTCTCTGTGACTCACCTTTTTTATCTAGAAAACTTGATAGGATAATAGTGCTTACCTTCTTCATCAGGTTGTTGTGAGGTTGAATGATGATAATGCTTATAAATTTTAGCTATAATTATTAATTTTATCAGGCAATATAGCAAGTCCGAATTACAGCCCAGACCAGAAAAGCTCTGGCGACTGGTGGTCAGGAGTCGTCTGAGTAAAAGATTAGATGTAGCAACAGCCAGAGATCTGTGAAATGAGTGAAGATGTGGTCATGGAACCCTGTTACTGAAGCGTTTTGTTCTGGGTTGAGTAAAATCCATCTCAACTCGGGAATGACAGTTTTGTGGGTTTTTTTTTACTTTGAGACAGGATCTTGCTCTGTCACCCAGGCTGGAGTGCAGTGGCACAATTATAGTTCACTGCAGCCTCTAACTCCTGGACTCAAGCAATCTTCCTGCCTCAGTCTTTCGAGTAGCTGGGAATACAGGCACATGGCATCACACGCAGCTAATTTTTCTTTTCTTTTATTTTTGCAAAGATGGAGTCTCACTATGTTGCCCAGGCTGATCTCAAACTCCTGGCCTCAAGTGATCCTTCCATCTCAGCCTCCCAAAGTGCTGGGATTACAGGAATGAGCCCCCAAGCAGGGCTGGGAATGACTAACGTCAACTTCCATGCTGCTATAAGTATTAAAATGCATGTAAAGTACTCATACTTGCCACACAGTAGTAGCCCAGATGTAGTTGTCTTCATCTTCATTTGTTTTCTTACAGAAAGAGAACAAATAATTAAAACTCTGTAAGTCTTAATGAGGTGCTAAGGAGGAACCCCACGAATGTTTCAGGAAGACTGTTATTCAGCACTGAGGGATTGAACATCAGCAAAGCAGGACAAATGTCATAACTGATGGGGACCTGACAACTCTCTGTTCCCCTGCCTTTTTAAATAGGTTATGCACTCACTCTAAGAGATGCCAGAACAAACTATAAAGACCAAGATAAATCAATACTTTGTAAGGCATTTAAAAGCTCATTAAAATGTGTAAGTAGTGTTATATGTAATGAATCTTAAAAGACTGACGCCAAGAGTAATCTTCTATTTCTCTGCCTTCTCTATTCTTTTACCTCCTATCCACTTTTAACTCCTAACACTGTTTGCTGGACTTTTTCCTCTGCCAAGAGGTTTGACAGCTACCTAAAAATAGTATAGCTGAATGCCAGTGGCTAATTATACAAAGGGAAACCCTCAACTCTGAAAATCAATTCTGAGCCTGATGTTGGAATCACAGTTGCATGGATTTCTGATTTCATATTTATTTTTTCCACATCTGATCTTAGATCCTTTATAGCAGAAGGTGGGTTAAACCGTGATTGTTCAGGTAGTTTCTGATGAGTTGTGGATGTGGGAGATGAAAGCAAAAATGAGTGAGATGCTAGATTACTCTCTGTCTCTCAGCTAATTGTTTCAACTTCCTCCCTGCTTAGATTTTGTAAGCATGAATGCCATCATGAATATCGTCCTGAATGTTTAAGCATGTCATCATGAATGTTGACATGATGACATTAAGAATGTCTTCATGAATGTTTAAGCATGAATGCCACCATGAATGTCAGTCATCATTTCCAAGTTCACTAGATACTTTACAATTGCAGCTTATTTAACTCTTCACCTATTCCCACTTTCCTCTTAACAATAAAAGCAACTATATTTCTAGTGCTATGTGCCAGACATTATGCTAGAGTGATGATTCTTCATGGGGAGAGCAATTTGCACCCCCGCTCCAGGATATGTGGCAATGTCTAGAAGCATTTTTTATTGTCCCAACTTGTGGGGAGGGGTATGCTACTGGCATCTAGTGGGTATATGTAAAGGATGCTGTTAAACCCCCCACAATGCACAGGACAACCTCCTCAACAAAGAATTATTCAGCCCAAATTGTCAGTAGTGCCAAACTTCATGTATATAATCTCATTTAGTCTTCATAATAACCTTATGGAATGGA
This sequence comes from Homo sapiens, assembly GCF_000001405.40. NCBI lineage: Eukaryota > Metazoa > Chordata > Mammalia > Primates > Hominidae > Homo > Homo sapiens. The sequence goes on along the minus strand of NC_000003.12, from coordinate 114,174,964 downwards.
TATGATTATCTCCATTTTGCTGATGAGGAAACCAGCCTATCATTGTAAATTACTTAGAGAGTGATTGAGTTAATGAATTCTCTAGGCTCTTTGCTTCTTCTTACCTGAGACCCGTTTCCTATCTGTTAGCATATCTAACAGAGGGGAAAAGAAAGAAGAAAGCCCAGCTCAGTTCTGTGTTATATAAGCAACTCTGGTTTGAAAAAAAAAAAAAAAATCTAAGCAGGGAGGAAGTTGAAACAATTAGCTGAGGGATAGAGAGTAATCTAGCATCTCACTCATCTTTGCTTTCATCTCCCACATCCACAACTCATCAGAAACTACCTGAACAATCACGGTTTAACCCACCTGCTGCTATAAAGGATCTAAGATCAGATGTGGAAAAAATAAATATGAAATCAGAAATCCATGCAACTGTGATTCCAACATCAGGCTCAGAATTGATTTTCAGAGTTGAGGGTTTCCCTTCGTATAATTAGCCACTGGCATTCAGCTATACTATTTTTAGGTAGCTGTCAAACCTCTTGGCAGAGTAAAAAGTCCAGCAAAAGAGTAACAAGTATCCTAAGGTTTTATGCCTCCCTCTTACGTGGCAGGTGAGAGGAGGCTAAGACATTATTCACCAGTTGCAGACCCCAGAAAAGAGGGATTCTGGCCACTGTGTTCCAAAGTGGCCCAGTTGTGAAAGGGAAGACATTTGGGCCTCAGCCTGCCTTAAAAGTGGGAATATCCTTGAACAATCAGAAAGCATTGTATTTTTCCAAAAGCTCTTGGCAGCAGCGGTGCTATCTCCAGGGTAGCGGCTGCCCTCCTCTGAATAATGAGAAAATTATAATTATTATCAAGAATTATTATTATGTTTTAAAATACATTGAGTGCAAACAGTGTGCCAAGATAAAGGACAATTTTTTTAAACAATTCTCTAAATTCATTCCAAGTTTGTCACCCTTTCCCAAGTATTTGTTCATTTTAACTCTTTCATATTTCAGGCTGAAACATTTCAAAGTGAGGTACAAAATGACAGCCATGATTAGGCCGGTCTCCTAATCAAGGGAGAGCTACAGATACCTGGCTTGAGGGCAAATTCTGGCCACCAAGTCAGCCTCTACTTTTGCCAAGGCCTGAAGAGAGAGTTCCCATAAAGGTCTATATGTACCATGCTTAAATATTTTAAAGTTGTAACCAACAAGCCATTGAGTAAAATGTTTCATCCTCCCACCTTGACAAATACACCTTCGTAACAACATGGAAGGCCAAGTTTGAATTTAAGATTCCTGGACCTTTCAAAATTCCATACAAAATGTGATCATACAGGAGAAGCTGGGCCCCCACCCCTAATCTGCTTCAGGGACCCTGGCCTCTTCTCTCCCAACCTCAGGCTACATAGAATCTATTTGTCTGAGCTCTAACTGAAAGCCACCACTTGGCCCCAGGAACCCTACACATTTATGGCACAGTCTCCCGTCAGAGTGAGAGATTTAGAATGAGACCCGTGATGTCTTGGAAACAGGCTCTGAGCAGTTGGGTAGAGAATTCCCTGAGTGTGGTCTAGACAGGGTTGTAAACTTAGTGGACCTTCTCCTTGGCACTGTGGGAGGTTACAACATCATTCTATAGAGGTTAGAGGCATAACCAGTAGAGGGTGCCTTAGTCCTTTTGGGCTGCTATCACAAAATACCATAAACTGAGTAGTTTATAAACAACAGATATCTATTTTTGACAGTTCTGAAGGCTGGGAAGTCCAAGATCAAGGCACCAGAAGATTCAGTGTCTGGTGAGGGCCTGCTTTCTGGTTCATAGATGGCTGTCTTTTCACTATGTCTTCCCATGGTGAAAGAGATTAGCTAGCTCTCTGGGTCTCTTTTATAAAAGCACTAATCTTATTCATGAGGGCTCTGTCCTCATAACCTAATCACCTCTCAAAGACCCCCACCTCCTAATACCATCATATTGGGAATTAGGATTTCTACATATGAATTTAGGGAGACACAAACACCGAGACCACAGCAGAAGACCAGAGTGGACTCCTCTATAGCACCTCCTCTAGAGCTTGGGGCAAGAGTCACTTTTGCTTGGGTTTCAGGGTTACTCCCTAAGTCACAGGCCTTATGTCTTCCCCTAGCCTTCAGAACTGTGAGACAACAAATTTCTGCTCTTTATAAATTACCCAGACTCAGGTGTTCTGTTATAGCAACCCAAAATGGACTAAGATAGATGGGTTTCATTATTCCCACATTTTACATGGGAAGAATCTGGAGCTCAGAGAGGTAAAGTAATATGCATAAGGTCCCAGAGTTAGGAAGCAGCAGAGCTGGGATTGTAATCCTGCAACAGCTTCCCATCTCACTCAGAGTCCAAGCATGGTACTTTCAATAGCCCTGCACAATCTGTCTACCTCACACCCTCCTATTCTACTCCTGCCTCACTTGGCTCCAGCCTCACCAGACTCCCTCCTATGACTTCTATGTGCTAGCCCTTCCTGCTGGCCCGTGTTGTTCTCACTGCTCAGACTGCTATCACATCTGATAACTGCATGGTCTGCTTCCTGATCTCCTCCAGGTCAAGACTCAATTGCTGATTTCTCCATGAGGAGTTCCTGATTATACTCAGATACTCACTCACATACGCACAATCTTCACCCGTTACTTACCTGCCTCTCTGATTTGTCTCCAATATACGTATCATTATTGAACACACCACATCTTTTATTTATCTTGTTTATTATCTGTCTTCTCCTCTAGAATGGGAGCTTCAAAGGGAAGGAATTAAGATTTTATCTGTTTTGTTCATTGCTCTATCTCCAACTCTCACAACAGTGCCTACTATATAGAAAATGCTCAATAAATATTTGCTGATGCAATAAATAAAAAAATGTAACTAAGCAACCAAGCCCCAAAGAGTCTGATTTTATTAATATTGTTTTCTGTCTCCTCACAGGAAGCCCCTTGGCATCACGCACCTCCCTCTGGGCTATGGCATCTCTGAGCCAGCTGAGTGGCCACCTGAACTACACCTGTGGGGCAGAGAACTCCACAGGTGCCAGCCAGGCCCGCCCACATGCCTACTATGCCCTCTCCTACTGCGCGCTCATCCTGGCCATCGTCTTCGGCAATGGCCTGGTGTGCATGGCTGTGCTGAAGGAGCGGGCCCTGCAGACTACCACCAACTACTTAGTAGTGAGCCTGGCTGTGGCAGACTTGCTGGTGGCCACCTTGGTGATGCCCTGGGTGGTATACCTGGAGGTGAGTAGACTTCAGGTGCATGTTGTCTCTATGACTGTGCTAGTACTTGTCTTCCCTGAGTTCTGGCCTTTGGGGCTCAAAAGACTCCCCAGACAGTCAGGAACTGAGGAAGGAAGGAGAGCTCTCATTCTCCCTGTAATGAGAGAGTTAAAGCTCTGGAAAACAGTCACCATCCTGTCCCTCATCCACATCAGAACCAAGGAGCTGAGAATGATTCTGTTCATGGGTCTCCAGTGTTCAGGTGACTGGATTTGAGTGACGGGACTCTTCCTAATATGGCCTAGAGTTTATTCTCTGTGCCAGACATGTCTCAATGACATGGTGGGCTGGGTGAAGCAGTCCAGAAGACCTCTTCACCAGTGTTTAATGTATATGAGGGTGAGGGTGTGCAGGAGGGATGTGAGGCCAGGAGGAAAAAGGAATTATAGAAAAAAAAAATTAGTGAATGTAAGGGAAGATAGAAAGAATGACCAGCGAACAGATCAGACTTCTTTCGATGGCTCAGTCCCTCTTTGCTCTTTCCTCCTGGGTACCAGTTCTCCATAGACTCTGCTACCAAAGGAACAGACAAAACCCTCAAATGTATATTTTCCATGTGTCCATGAATAGTACAGAGCCTTTGCCAGAGAGATAGTGCAGCAGATCCTGGTGAATTCTTTTGGGGAGAAACATTTATTAAATTTGAAAGTATTTTCAATTGGGAGTGCAAAACAGAGCCAGGGGGTGGTCAAGACAAAACACCCATTTGCTAACAAAGAAATCAGGGTGACCATATCTGTTCAAGAAACAGATATTCTTACCAGGAAAACATGCAATTACTTAAGATATGTTTTTTTAAAAAAACCTGAGTATACTATTAATATTTCTCCTCTGCACTGTGTGTCATTTTAAAGAGGTATCCAATGAAGGATCAAAATGATGCTATGATTAAGAGAAATTAAGATTCATCAAATTAATATCTCAGTTAATATTGATAGTAAAAGTGACAGTTAATTAAGTATGACATATCACGGGAGAGCAAAAACCTTGTACATAGACTGCCTGTGCTAATACCTTTGTTAAAGATGGCTGGGAACTAAAATTAGACTTATGATCTCAAGGGGGAGACATAAAGAGAGAAAAAAAGAAAACAGAGAAATAAAAGGAAAAGAAGAAAAACAACTAGGCTGTGTAGATCTAAAGGCTAAGGGAATACTTGAGGAAAAAATATGCATTTATTCTTCCCAGTTAGGATAATCCTAGTTGGGAGGGTGAAGGGTCTTATAATTATCTTGATTTTTCTGTCAACCCAATTAGTCTGAGTCAACCTTGAAGTCAGAGACTAGATCTTTACTCTTCATCTCCTGTAGCCTAAACATACTACCTGGCACAAAATACATGCTAACTGCTATAACATTTGATATATGAATGATGAAATGAATCTTCTCTGTAATGTATGCATTATATGGGCTATTCCTGCTAATACCATCTGCCTCTCTATCTATTGTTACACTCAGACTTTTTGGGGAGAGGACTTTTGGGGACGAGCTATTTGTTATTTTACATCCAACAATAATGAGCCTGAAAAAATTTCGAAGCATGTGATATTTCTGTTCAAGAATGAGGCGCTTTAGGTGCAACCAGCCAATATGAATTGGTCAATAACTCATAGCACTGTCATCATCTTCCTAAAATGTTTTTGTCCATTTCTATGTGTTCCAAGGAATGTTAAGTCCTCCAGAAGGATGAATGGCAGGAAGAAATGTAGGCAGTGGACCTTCACTCTAATGAGCATTTTTATTCCCTCTAAGATAAAACCAGGCTTTTGGTGTCTGTAACAAAGCCACTCAGGGGCATTTGTTGGCTATGTATTTGTGATTATTTCTAGGACTCTGGTTGGACCATACTGGAAAACATCTGTATGTACTGGTTTAGGAGATAGACATTGTGACTTTTCCACACTAGAAATCCATGGCACCCCTTCTAGCCATACCTTCTGATATACTGGTGCTCCTATTCTACTACTGAGCATAGAAGGGCAGGTGAGACTATAGAAAATGACAGGAAATCTTGCCAAAGGCCTTAAAGAAATCACTGTAGTAGTACATATAGGTTTTCTTCCATGAGAACAGCTCTGATGAAGTTTTTGGTTTCTCCCCATAAAAACCATAATACTATGCCCTCTGTCCAACAGGTTATTTCATGTAGGTATTCAGTGATCAAGATCATAATTTTTACATTTGATCTTAACCAAAAGGCTGAGAAGCAATAAGAGCATGATTTTTAAAATCTATATTCACACAAGGAAGATTCAGGGGAGCAGAGACGTCTCCTCACTGGCTTTAGGACCTCTTTTTGGTCTTACCAATTTGCTTCAAGACCCAGTCAATGTCTTGAAGCGAGTTGGTAAGACCAAAAAGAGGCCCTAAAGCCAGTGAAGAATACAGAGGACCAAGTCTCTCCATCTTACATCAGTCTATACTTTTCTTAATCTCAAATGTTTTCCTATCTTTCCTTAGAGGCAAATGAGGCACCTTAATGAAAGAAAAGAGCACTTTGAGCCCTTAAAATATGGGCTATGAATACATAAATCCATGTTCCTCAAGAAGAAGCAAAGTATTATTCTCACTAACTTGTCCTAATGATAGTACAGTTTGAGTAGCTACTCTACTAATTACTTAATTATACCTAAGAGCTCCCTTTGGAAAAGAAAAGGGTGCAATGTTGACCACCGAGACTGCTGTAGGCTTGAGGGCCCCCAGGAAGATAAGATGTACATGAGAAGAACACCACTTTGGGATCCAAAAGATTCACCAGATTCATAGCCGCATGTGCTTTGATTTGAACACATCCACCTTCTTCGAAGGAAAATTGGCTCATTTTGCCAGACACCAGTATTTATGAGGTAGGAATGTTTTGGCTGTAAATATTGGAAACCTTGATTAGTTGTGGTTTAACTGCATTTAATGTTTTTCAAATAACCAGAATTCTGGAGGAAAAGAATTATTGTGTTGGTTCAGCTGCCCCATGGTGTCATCACAGACCAGACTTTTCCATCCTTCCTCTTCACCATCCTTGGCAAGCTGGCTTAGTTCTTTATCTTGCCATAGCCCCCAGCACCATGGCAGTATTCAAAAATAGGATGGGTAGGGACAGCAGGAAATGAGAGAGAGAGAGAGAGAGAGAGCATGCACTTTCCCTGTAGTAGCTTAAAGCATGTTTCTAAGAGGTTTCACATAAGCTTAATTGGCCAGAACTTAGTCATGAGGCCACCTTTAGCTGCAAAGGAAGCTAAAAAAGAAAAAATGAAAACGTGTGTTTTATTTATAAAAGATGTAGGGGTGGGGAATTGCTCTGACGTAGGCAATAAAGTATCACATTTCCTTTATTGGAATTCACTGGGATGAATGTCATTTCAACACAGTGTCATGCTGTGAGAAAAAGACTCAGAACTTGGAGTCAGAAGACATGGATTTAAGTGCATAAAATGGAGGTGACAACAACATTTTCCACCCTGAGCTGATGTTAGACTCAGCTGTCATCAACTGATAGAGTATTTTGATAACCAAAACTTTTGATCTATAAATATCTCACTTAAGACACTTTTAATTATAAGTTTAAAACAGCTTAACTCCAATTGGCTTAAATGAAAAAACAGAATGCATTGGCTGTCATACCAGGAACTTTATAAAGTCCTCTGGTAGGGTGGGCTGCAGGCACAGTTCCATCAGGGCACCAGCTCCATTTCCCTACAGTTCTCTCAGCTCTGCCTTTTTCCATATACTGACCTTACCTGCAGGCAACAGGCTAAGCTATAGGTCTCACATGTCCACACCACACCATTCACAGCAAGAGAGAAAATCCTTTTCTTAGAATTTCTAGTAGAAGTATCAAGATGTGCTCTGATTGGACTGGCTTGTGGCACATGAGTTCCAGCTTGAAAAATTGATTTAACATAGGTTATATGTTTCTTCTTTGGATACTGCCCAGCGATCTCATAGATTCACAGTGGCATCTAGGGACTATTTATTGAAAAGATAGAAGAGGATAGTCAGTAAGTGGGAACCACAGTCAGCTTTCATTGGTATCATTCTCATCTTTAAGACACACAGGAGCCTTCACTTGGGCATATATAAGGGGGCCCACAGGGACCAGTCACTGACGTGCTTCAGTATTCTCTGTCCTCAAGCCTGGCAGATAAGTTCAGGACAAAAACCAAGCAGGTGACCTCACAGAAGATTATATTTCAGAGGGCTTCTGGCTTGGCTATCTGCTTAATTCAGTTTGCAGCATTTTCTCAACTTTTCTGTACCATCCCAAATAGTTCTGTCTCAGATTTCCTCTCAAGATTTTAATTTCCTGCTTTACCGTCTGCACTCCAGAGCTTCCTCTCCAAGCACAAACTTCTCATTTTGTTCCACTCAGTGAAGCACCTTTTGTGATGTTTAAAACACTTTTATCAGGATAGAAAGGCAGTATAAGCGGCCAGGGGAACATTTGGAATACTAAACTCAGACTACTTGGGTCCCAGTGTAGACAGGAGGAAAAACTTGAGGATTAAGAAAGGTAGTCAAGCAAGATAGAATAGGATGAGTTCAGGCAAGGAAACGCACCACAGAAAAAGCGATCGAGGTCGGACTGTGATGAAAGAAAAGAATAGCAAAATTTTGGGAAGGGAAGAATCTTTGAGTTTTGTAATGATATCGATTATTAAAAATAAAGAAGTGGGTTTTTTTAAAGGAAAGTTTTACCACAGCTCAAAAAACCCCAAATGATAATTTAAGACCTCCCTACTGGAAAACAAAGACAGGAGATTCTCACGATCTCGTCACCAAACTCTGGATTTTGATAAAAGTCATAGAATATTAAAGCTGGAAGGGCTTGGAGATTATTTTTGCCATCATTTCCACAGTGTGATCCAACCACAGGAAATTCCTGGCCATATTCTACTGACATGGTTTCTCTGAGGATGAGTCTTGGAGTCTCATATCCAAATGAGCTCCTCCATACTTCTTATGCACCTAAACTTTGAGCAGCTCTGAGCTAAACGTTCATTAGGGGGTGTGTTAATCCATTTTGTGCAGCTACAACAGAATACATGAGGCTGTATAATTTACAAAGAACGGATTTATTTCTTACAGTTCTGGAGGCTTGGAAGTCTAAGATCAAGAGGCCTCCATCTGGGAAGGGCCTTCATGCTGTCATCCCATGGTGGAAGGTGGGAGGGCAGAAGAGAGGCAAAAGGGGAATGAACTTGTCCTTTTATAAGGAACCCACTCTCACAAAAACAACATTAATCCACTCATGAGGGCAGAGTCCTCAAGGATAATCACCTCTCGTTAGACCCCATCTCCCAACACTGTTGCACTGGGGATTGAGTTTCCAACACATGCCTTTTGGGGGACACAATTTATAGCATAAGGGAAGGAGAGACTGCTTGTTAAAAATACAAACTGTTGGCCGGGTACGGTGGCTCACGCCTGTAATCCCCACACTTTGGGAGGCCGAGGTGGGTGGACCACCTGAGGTCAGGAGTTTGAGACCAGCCTGGCCAACACGGTAAAACCCCGTCTCTACTGAAAATACAAAAATTAGCCAGGCATAGTGGCAGGTACCTGTAATCCCAGATACTTGGGAGGCTAAGGCAGAAGAATCGCTTGAACCCGGGAGGCAGAGGTTGCAGTGAGCCGAGATTGTGCCACTGCACTCCAGCTAGGGCAACAGAGACTCTGTCTCAAAAAAAAAAAAAAAAAAAATACAAACTGTTGGGTCTACCTCGGGTCTACCAAACCAGCATTTCCAGGGCAGCCCTGGAAGTCTAGAGTAAGCCCCAGGCCCCACTCCCACCTTATGTGACTTGTGCAACCAGCTAGTCATCTGCTACGACATTTGGGAACCAATAAGCTACAAACCCCCTATTTCATAGATGGAGAAATGAAGATGCAGAGAAGTGAAAAATCCTTATTTATTATTCTGTTTTGCCCCACAGCAACCCTCCCACCAAGAAATACTCCAAATGTGGCAAACAAAAATGGACTGAAGAGGCTAATTAGAGAAGTACTTCTATCTTTGCCTCTTAGATATTTCCAAATAACTAAAAATTCATCCCTTTAGAGTTGGAGTTCTTAATCTGGGGAGTTCATCAACTTGGATGTAAATAAAACTACTCCTTTATTTTCCCTGAGATGAAATTTAGAATTTCCTTTAATTCCAAATGTAGGTATCAACCCACAGCAGAAGAAATCTTTAGTGTCACCAGTAGAAATCACAGATTTTTTTTCTTAACTTTTTTAACTTTCTTTTTTTTTCTTTTGAAATGGAGTCTCACTCTGTTGCCCAGGCTGGAGTGCAGTGGCGCAATCTCAGCTCACTGCAACCTCCACCTTCCGGGTTCAAGCGATTCTCCTGCCTCAGCCTCCCAAATTTTGTTTAACTTTTTAACCCTCCTTCCTGCACACTGATGATATTTATATTTTCAAACCACATTATGATTGTTGCGGACATCTTGAAACATCACTTATACTCATCATTTCTTTGAAATTATAGGAATTTTGGACCTGCCACTAGATCTTGTTATTTAATGAATTATTAAAGAAACACATATATTTTAAATACTTTGACAATTATATTTCAATAAAACTGATATCCTTTATGAACCACTGTATTTATTTCATGCTTTAAAAACATTCTTCTGGCAAGGCGCAGTGGCTCATACCTGTAATCTCAGCACTTCGGGAGGCCGAGGTGGGTGGATCACCTGAGGTCAGGAGTTCAACACCAGCCTGGCCAATGTGGTGAAACCCCGTCTCTACTAAAAATACAAAAATTAGCTGGGCCTGGTGGCATGAGCCTATAATCCAGCTACTTGGGAGGCTGAGGCAGGAGAATCACTTGAACCCGGGAGGTGGAGATTGCAGTGAGCCGAGATTGTGCCACTGCACTCCAGCCGGGCGACAGCGCGAGACTCCATCTCAAAAAAGAAAACAGAAAAATAAAAAGAAGAAAAGCATTCTTCTGAGAAGGGGATCATGAAGCTAACGAAATCCACAGGATAAAGAATGCTTAAGAAAACCTGCTTTAGGAACAACAATTTCTCAGGATCATTTTATGCTCCCCTTAACCCCAGACCAGTGTTTCCCAAACCAAGACAATAAGAATCACTTGAGGGACTTATTACTCTGAGCGAGGCCTAAGAATCATTTTGTTTAACAAGAGTGTCTGGAGATTTGGGAAATGCTGCCTTATAATCAGTAAATTTGGGGAATGCTGCCCTAGGCTGTGTCTATTGAAAATCAATAGACAATTTCAGTACCTGAAGACACTTTCCTGCTTACTCAACTTCTGTATTGCCACAGGGAGTTACTTACATTCATTAGCAAGTAAGAGTAACACCACCTGGTTGCTGTATAATTCTAAAGTGAGTTATTCATTAGAATGCAGGAGAAAGAATCATGTCTCTAAAAAGCCTCAAGTCAATTTGATTTTTTTCACTTTTTTTTTTTTTTTTTTTTTTTTTTTTTTTTGAGACTGAGGCTCGCTCTATCACCCAGGCTGGAGTGCAGTGGTGAGATTTCGGCTCACTGTAACCTCCGCCTCCCGGGTTCAAGCAATTCTCGTGCCTCAGCTTCCCAAGTAGGTAGGATAACAGGCGCCCACCACCACACCCAGCTAATTTTTGTATTTTTAGTAGAGACAGGGTTTCACCACGTTGGCCAGGCTGGTCTCGAACTCCTGACCTCAAGTTATCCACCTGCCTCCCAAAGTGCTGGGATTACAGGTGGGAGCCACCACACCAGGCCTTTTTTCACTTTTATCTGTTTTAATTTCAAAAATCATTTTGCCTTTCATAATCTTCCAACACTTTGTACCTATCTCACCTTTGGTGCCTATCACATTGCCTCATAGCTGTTTTTTAAGTACTTATCTCCCGGGCCCTCAGTTCACCCATACCCATTCACACATCACTTCTGGTAATAGGCACACATTGTATTCTGAGATCCTGGGAACAAAAACAGGTTTGTTTCAATACACCCGCCCAAGCAAAGTATCAGACATATCTTGGGCACTCATTAGACCATGGCTATAGGGGTAATGGATGGACACACACCAACTCTTCTACCTCCTATGATATTAGAATAGAGTTAAATTGTACACATCTCTGAAGAGGCAAGCCACTATACTTTGAGAGGCAGGAAGAGTAATGGTAATATAAAGGGGTCAAAATCCTAGCTCCTTTTACAAGCTATGTGTCCTTAGGCAAATTACTCAACCCTTCCAGGTCTCCATTTGGCAAATTACTCAACCCTTCCAGGTCTCCATTTCTTTACCTATAAGTTAAAAATCACATTTACCTCTTCAGGTTGTGATGAGAAAATGTGTGAGAATTACCAGCATATTCTTGGCACCTAGATGCACTTTATTGATCCCTTACTATTTGTTGCTTGATATGGAGGATGTCAATAGAAAAAAAAAAATTCATTACAAGTCCCACCAATTAGAGACTCATTTTAATGAGTAAGCTCCAGGGAAGGCTAAGTGATGGCACCTTAGTGGGAATTATTTTAATCAGCTAATCAGATTGTTTTCTTCTTGACTCTTAGCTGAAATCAAGGAGAGAATGAGAATTTTCATGGCAGAATCAGGAGACAAGAAAAGAGGATAGCCAGAATGGGATGACAGGCCATTGGGGGCCTGGAAGCCAGAGAACAGCTTGAGGGCTTTGTCCTTTGGGGGCTAAGCAGGAGGGGTATTAAATAAAACTGTCTGTGTACTTTCACCAACCCCAAAGGCAGCACTTACCACTGTCTCTTGCACTATTCTTTGAACCCTGGGATAGAGGCAATCAGGAGAGTGTCTCTTTCCCTAGAAAGGAGATGATATGGTCTGTCACACAAAAATCCCTGAGGAACACCTGGTTTTCTTCTTTCCCCTAGTATCTACCCACTTCCATCCCTTTTCCAACAACTATCCCTCCTCACCTAACACTTCCCTATAGCAGGGTGTGTAACAACCTACATTCCAATGCTCTGTCTCCCTGTACTAGCCCTGTGACCTTGGACAAAGTGCTTATTCTTTCTAAGCTTTTAGATTCTTCCTCTGCAATGAAGATAATAATCCTCTGTCATAGAATTATAATCGGCAATAGAGGCCACGTATGTAAAGTGCTTTGCAGAACACCAGGCACTTAGTAAGCGTTCAATAAATGTTAGCTATTATTATGACAGATTATGTCAGAGGTCATTTATTATTTCAGAATATATTTTCATGGTTGGGCCCTGCTCTGGGAGCTGGGGGTGCAGCAGCAAACAAGTAAATCTTCCTGCTCCTGTTGGTGTTGGTTAAGTAACAATAACTCCATCCCCTATCAAGTAAATGTATAACTTGTCTTCAAAAAGCTTTAAGAACACATACAATAAAAACAAATTCAGTTTTCAAAGTCTGAAGTTTCAAAGTTATAGAAATTCCTGGAATGGGTCATGTGGGTTGGTAACACATGTACAGTGAATTCTCAATAAATGTTAATTCCTATTAACAATATTAGGATATCATGATGATCTCTAGTATTTTATTGATGAATGCCTTACTTCTCCAGTTATCTTGTAAATTCTTTAAGGATAGGCCCTGTAGTACATTTTGTAAAACCTCTCAACACACATGACATACACTGCTGCAAACCAAGTACTAAGAGCTTCACAAGTATTTGCTCTACAAGTGCATGAATGAATGAATATCCAGCAAACACTGAAGTTTGCTGTTATCCTAACTATCCTTTCTCACCTACTCTAGCCCAAAACACAAACAAACATGTGCTCACAATTATGCCAAAAAGTGTTTTTTTACCCAATTTAAAACATTAACTGCAGAGTAGATATAATATTGAAATAAAATTTAGTATACAAAATCAGCTTTTGCAAGACGCTTTTACAGTATGCAACTGTCCTATGTAATGAAGAAAACCTTCTTTTATTCTCTTGGTTCCCCTAAATCATTGTGTTATTATGACTCTTTAGATCGGAATTCTTATGTCTCAATCTTTTAAAAGCTTTTTATTCTCAGAATTCCTATAAATTCATATTCAGCCTTTATTTATATAGAGCCAATTGGTCAAACTAAAAGAGAGACAGTAAATCCATAACTGGATTTGACTTCTTCACTAGTTTTAATTTTCATTGTTGCTTTTAAACAAAAAATCATTGGTCAGGGTTTCTCAAAACAGTCTGGAGATGACCAAGCACAGGAATAAAATGAGATGCAAAAAAAGAAATAAATCCAATGGGAAGAAGTTATCAGGGACAGGGAAGGAAAGACGGCCTTTTAGGACCTTATTTTATTGGGATAAAACAGAAATGAACACTAAAGTGACCTGGTCATATAAGAAGATCCTTGGATGAGAAAATCCAGATGAAGGAATAGCACTATCTTTATGCACAGTCATTTGGTCAGTATCTGTTTTCTTATTGGGAAGCTACTTCAGAGGCTACTGTACCATTTTTCACTCTTTCTTCCTCTTAAATGGCCATTGGGCCTGTTCAGGAGCGGTATTGTGAATACTCAGCTACAGCCAGAGGCACAAAGCCTGGCAGGTTTCTCCCCGAGAACTAGGGTCCCCAAGAATGACAGCCCACCCCCCCAGGAAAGAAGCTGGTAACTGCACAAAGCCTCGCGGTCCATGAGTGGCCTTTGGTGGACATTTTAAAAGTGTCAATCTCCCTGACACATCTTCCTGATTCAATTAGGGTATGTAAAGGTTTCAAAAATAAATAGAAATATACTAGAGTATAAATGATATTATATAAATTCCTGACTGTAAGCATTACTCAGAGGATGTTATGGAGCTTGAAATACATGTATAGATAGATGCATGAGGTTGAAACCATCCTCATGAATTCTGAGTAGTGGAGAGAATCCAGCCCTTTTCCCCACTTTTGGTTTTTGGGATGTGGGTGGGGAGGGAGAGTGTTGAAGGCAGTCACATTGGCACAGACTTATTTTACATAGATTCCCATAAATGTTGTTTCAGAATGTTTCCAAGCTTTACAAGCTGAAGCCAGATAGATTTTTACTTTGGAGGTAAATTTTATGAAAAATGTGTTCTTAGCTTATTTCTTGAGTGCATGATGAGCTCTCTACTGGGTGAAGGACTTCAGAGAGACAGTTTTGGCACAATGTACACATCGGGTAGTCACCGAAGTCCTTTTACCACCAGCTGAGCATCTATGAGGAAGTTATCACTTAACCACAAGGAGCATTAGTTGCCTCCTGAGTTTGAATTTCAACAGTGATTCTCAAACCTTGGTATGTATAGGAGTGTTTATTTAAAAATGAAGATTTTAGCCCAGCTTGGTGGCGCATGCCTGTATTCCCAACTACTTGGGAGGCTGAGGCAGGAGAATCACTTGAACTGGGGAGGTGGAGGTTGTGGTGAGCCGAGATCGCACCATTGCACTCCAACCTGGGCAACAAGAGCAAAACTCCATCTCAAAAAATAAAATAAATTTAAAAAAAATAAAAAAGAAGATTTACAGACCAAAGAGCCAAAGATTCTGACTCAGTAGGTATAGGAAGGATTCAGAAATCTACATCTTTAATAAACACCCCACTGTGGACCACACTTTGAGAATCACTGGACTAACTGACTTGGAAGATCACTTCCAGCATTAGCATTCTAACATTCTGTGAACTTGTCCTTTCTTTAGGCAACCAGTTTTGGATAGCCTGGCACTCCCTTGATGTCCATCTGCCCTGTGGGAACAACGGTACACAGGGAGTAGGAGTGCCAACATCTACACTAGGCAGCAAAGCAAAGAAAATAGGGCCAACTGGGTTGTCGTTCCTTCACTGGGGTAAACACTAACATCCTTGTCTCTGATACCCAGGTGACAGGTGGAGTCTGGAATTTCAGCCGCATTTGCTGTGATGTTTTTGTCACCCTGGATGTCATGATGTGTACAGCCAGCATCCTTAATCTCTGTGCCATCAGCATAGACAGGTAGGGCTGCAATTCCCCTTCCAGGTGGCCCAAAAGCTGGGGAAGTGGGGAGAGACAGATTGTGCACTTGAGGGTACTGGGGTCACCTCCAAGTAGAACTTGACACTGGAACATTTTCTTTCCTCTCTTTTTCTTTTAAAGTATGGTTTGCAGGTGAGAAGAAACCCCTGCGACAGGTGGGAAATAACGACCCTATAAGCTTTCCTGGCCTTTCTTCTCCTCCAGCTCCCTGAAGAGGATTCTGGTTTTGCTTTTCCACCATCCTTTGGGGTTTTTTTTTTCTTCCTAATAGGAAGGAAAGCTTCCCATTAGGGAGGGGGAGAAGGAGGAAAGGTGAGCTGACTGGGGTTGGTAGGAAATTCTGTTGTTGTTTTGTTTGTTTTTGTTGAAGGGAGAGATGGAGAGAAGGTGGGAGAGAGAAAGAGAAAGAAAGAGGGGCAGGTGTAGGGATAATTTTTGAGGGGGAGAGAGGAGAGAAGTGGGGGAGAAAGGCAATTTTAGAAAGCATGGCTGTGATCTATATGTTTCTCTCATAGAGCTTAGAGAAGCAAGTATAGTATGTTTTTTAAAATTACATTTTGGTTGCTGGGGTGAATTGCTGTGATTTTGACTCCTCTCTCTGTGTGTTCTGCCTGAGTAACATTGCTTTCTATCCCTGAGAGCACCTGGACTCACCACCCTTGCTCTGGGTCCCTCTGTTTCTCCCTTCCCCTCTCCTTTTGTCTTCCTCTCTTCTTTCCCCTTTCCTCTGCCTGAGCCTGAGATTTGCCTGGCTCCCCTGGGACATCACCAGCCTCACTGAGAGCCCTGGGGGAAAGGAGGTCACTTTCAAGCCTATGGCCCTTGCTGCCAGTCAAAAGCCTCCTCCCATTCCTGCTCTGAGTTCTCTCCCTCCCACTTTCCATTCCGCTTCTTCTCCTTCTCCCAGTAATATCATCCATCCACCTCATAGCTCCAACAGGTGACCCCAAATAAGATCTGCCATTTATTGAGAATTTATCACATTGTGCTAAGCTTTGACACACATTAACTCATTTCATCTTCACAATTCTTAGGTACTGTTATTATCTTATGTATTATCTTAGGTACTGTTATTTTATGGTATAAACATTGGCTACCTTCAAACAGGGACCACTGAATTCAGCTGAATACTCTTTGTTCAAGACTCTGTAATGGGCACAGCAGGGAAGGTCACAGGTGATCAGGAGCTAGGTCTTGTAGAAGAGTTTGGGGTAATGATAATAAAGCAAACCAGCTGCAGTCCTCTATGTCTGCAAATAATGCACTCCTGAAAATGTGTACTAAATGTCTAGAAATTACACAAAAGACTTAGATATTAGAGCTAAAAATATTCTAAAATCCCCAACTCTTCACTTTTTAAAACAGCTTTATGAAGATATAACTCACATACCACACAATTCATCCACTCAAAGTGTGTAATTCAATGTTATATTGGTATGTTTACAGACTTATGCAATTATATTCCTTTTTTTTTTTTTCTTTTTTGCAGAGATGAGGTCCTGCTATGTTGTCCAGGCTGGTCTCAAACTCCTGGACTCAAGCAACCCTCCCATCTTAGCCTCCCAAGTAGCTGGGATTACTGGCACATACTACTGCATCTGGACCCCTCTTTTTTTCTTTTTTCTTTTTTTGAGATGGAGTTTCACTTTTGTTGTCCAGGCTGGAGTGCAATGGCACGATCTTGGCTCACTGTAACCTCCACCTCCCGGGTTCAAGTGATTCTTCTGCCTCAGCCTCCCAAATAGCTGGGATTACAGGCATGAGCCACCACATCTGGCTAATTTTGCATTTTTAGTAGAGATGAGGTTTCTCCATGTTGGTCAGGCTGGTCTCGAACTCCCAACCTCAGGTGATCCACCCGCCTCAAACTCCCAAAGTGCTGGGATTACACGTGTGAGCCACTGTGCCTGGCCTACCCCTCTTTTTTAAACACACTCTTTAATGGTATTATTTTCAGCATTGTGGACATGTTCTTTAGCTTTCTTCTCAGTTGGCTAGCCAACCAAGTGATATAAATAAAAAATCATCCAATTAGCTGATTGGTTTGCAGGATCACCAGAGCAAAGTGTGTTCATATTCATTTTTTTGGTTATTGTTCAAAATTCCCACTTCAGCATGTAAAAGGAAATGTGAGGCTGTTGCTACAGAGGGCACAACACTGGGCCAATTGAGGGGGCCTGTGCTATGACCTCTAGAAAAAGCAGGCTGGAGATGCCACAACATAGTGACAGAGAAAGCATTGTGAAGTTCAAGGGTGACTGAATCAGACTGTGGGAATGTGAAAGGGCTTTATGGAAAAGAGGATCATTGTGATAGACTTTGGAGCATGAGAAGGGTATGGGGCAACCTGGGAAGAGATGAAATTGAAAAGGGGGATTGAGGCCAGGCACGGTGGCTTACTCCTGTAATCCCAGCAATTTGGGAGGCCGAGGCAAGAGGATCGTTTGAGGTCAGGAGTTCGAGACCAGGCTGGCCAATATGATGAAAACCCATCTCTACTAAAAATGCAAAAATTAGCCGGACATGGTGGTGGGTGCCTGTAATTCCAGCTACTCAGGAGGCAGAGGCTGGAGAACCGCTTGAACCCGGGAGGTGGAGTTTGCAGTGAGCTGAGACTGCACCATTGCACTCCAGCCTGGGCAACAGAGCAAGAGTCTGACTCAAAACAACAAGAAAGAAAGAAAAAAAAAGGAGAGAAAGAAAAAAAGAAAGAAAGAAAGAAAGAGAGAGAGAGAGAGAAAGAAAGGAAGAAAGAAAGAAGGAAGGAAGGAAGGAAAGAAGAAAGGAAGAAAGAAAGAAAGAGAAGGAAGGAAGGAAGGAAAGAAGGAAGGAAGAAAAGAGAAGAAAAGAAAGAGAAAGAAAAAGAAAGAAAGGAAGAAAGAAAGAAAAGAAAGAAAGGAAAGAAAGAAAGAAAAAAGAAAGAAAAAGAAAAGAGAAAGAAAGAAAGAAAGAAAGAAAGAAAGAAAGAAAGAAAGAAAGAAAGAAAGAAAAAGAAAGAAAGAAAGAAAGAAAGAAAGACAGGCAAGCCATATTGTGGAAAACATTGAATGCCAGGCAGTGGAGGTAATTCTAACTTTTATTCAATAGGCCAAGGAGGCACTGAGGGATTTTGAGTAAGGCTTTACTTCTAAGGGAATGATTTTGATAGTGCTATGAAGGACCAGTTAGAAAGTGCAGCAGAATTTCAGGTAAGGGATCATAGGATCCTAAAATAAATAGGAGGAAACAAGAAAGGAAAAGTAGGGGAAATTTTGAAAAAAAAAACGGCAAAAGGTCTGTAAACACCAACCTCTTGAATATGAAAGATTAGGAAGAGAAAGGAGTCAAACAGAACACAAGATTCCAGGAGAAAGATGCTGTCAAGAAGAGATCACCATGTCGAGACGATTTGGTGCTTTAATGGTTTGGTTTTTAACATCTGGCATAATAGGAACAAGTGGACTATCCAGGAAGTAATGTGATCTGGAACTCAGGGGAGAAGGCAGGGATGTAGTTGGAGATTTAGGGAGGTTAGCACAAAGTTTAAGATTACTAACTTGGAGTCAAATAGACATGAATTCTAATCCTGGCACCGCCCAGTACTAATGGTGTGGCTTTGGCAAATTCCTTAAATACTCTAAGAAGTTGGAAATTGAAGATAACAACAGTACCTAAGAATTGTGAAGATGAAATGAGTTAATGTGTGTCAAAGCTTAGCACAATGTGATAAATTCTCAATAAATGGCAGATCTTATTTGGGTCACCTGCTGGAGCTATGAGATGGATGGATGATATTATTGGGAGAAGGAGAAGAGGCGGAAGGGGAAGTGGGAGGGAGAGAACTCCAAGGAGGAAAGGGAGGAGGCTTTTGACTTTTGGGAGGAGGCTTTCGGAAAGGACGTCAGAGAATGGGAGAGGGTTCGCTTTGTGAAGAGGGAGAACTGTGTAAAGAGAGCCCCCTCAGCCCTCGTAGTTCCTGAGCCTCCTCTCTTCCCTCTTGAGAGTGTGCCTATACACTCCACCCACCTATATTCTTATGCACTTAGGGCTGTGGGTGAGGTTGTGCAGGTTGTTCCCTGCGCAAGGGTGTGGAAATGAAATTCAGCTATCACTCCCTTTTCCAAGCCTAGAGTTGGCCAGAAGAGGGTGCTTTTCTACGATTTGCCAGCCAGGAGAGGGCGCCTTTCTTTAATTTGCACAAGAGCACCATTTTGCGGCCAGCAGCCATGCCTAAAACACACCTCTAGTTTTTACCACTTAAAACGCAACCAACAAGAGTAACTTTGAATTGGCTTCTGTCCCATATAGGAAAACTCCGAGAATACACAGCACTTACCTACCTGAAGGGACCAGCCATGCCTTAGATCCCAAGCGAAAACGAAGCTCCCTTCTTGGCTCATAGTTCTATATGGGCCAATGAATTCTCACCAAGCCTCAAAATGGAGCCCCCTCCTATTCTAGAAATGAAAACAGGCCTTGGAAAAGCTGGGTTCATTATTCTTCACAGCAGTTTGCATTACATTCTGTTCATGTGATGACAAATAGCTGGTCAATTCATTAAAAATGCAGTCATTCACGCAGACCTTTGGTCTTCACACAATGCCAGTCACCAATCTGACAAACTTAACCAAATGGATTCAGTATTTTTTGGTCATGAAGCCCTGATCTATAATAATGCTGTGGAAAGAGATATGAAAGAAAAGGAAATGATAAAAGGGTTTTTGAAAGCAAGTAATACTATTGTCATTAGATTCTTAGGCATAGCTCTGATGCTTGGATTAATGCTGCCATTTCGTTTTTAAAAAGCAGAGTGGGAAGTCCTCGGAGCACAAGCCCCCACTCCTTTAGCTCCTTGCCTCCCCAGGGAGCCAGCCCTCCTCCCATCACATCCTGGGTCCAAACTAACTCAGGGAGAGGGCTGAGAATGTGTCAGAAGAGGAGGACACGACCAAGTGGTGAGAATTAGAGTCCTCCGAGAGGAGCCCAGGAATAATGCAGCCAAATTCATTCACCAGGGAGTTCTTTAAGTGGCTCTCAAATGGCACCCATCACACAGGCAAGCCTCCGCGTCTTTGCAGCGAGCACAATAGGTACCAGATGAGTCACAGGCACCTTGGATTTTTAGTTTGCATCTAAATAAGCACTTTATATTTGCAAAAGGCTTTCCAGTCATTTGCAAAAAGCTTTCTCCTTCAACAACTCCAGGAGGGGAGTCCACAGAACTAAAGATATATTGAGCCCCCTGTCTGACCAAATAAAAGATGGTGAAAAGCAGCCCTCACAGAACTCTGGGGCTCATTAAACCCAGGCGGGGAGTTAGAGTCAGGCCTTCCCACCCAGGCTGGCCTCTTTCCTCCTGGACTGCTAGCTTCCTAAAGAGCAACCCTTGTCAGCACACACACACACATACACACACACACACACACACATCTCCCACCCTGGGACAGGGCTCTGAGATTGAAATCAAATTCTGCAAGGTACTGAGACCTTCAGTAAGTGACCAACCATATAGATCCTGCTCATAGGACCGGAAGTCAGAAGGGGCAACATCCTGCTCATAGAACCAGAAGTCAGAAGGGGCATCACAGTTATCTCATTTAAGTGGAAATGCTAAATGCTTGCATGAAGTGCTGCAGCCTCTTAGCACAGGTGTGGGACTAGAAATGGAATCTCCTGACTTTCCACCAGCACTCTATTACAATAAGTGACACCTTCATTGGTGAAGGTGAGGATGGGGCACCTATGTCTTCAATGCCCTGGCTACCTCTATGCTAATGCTAACTTACATGAGTCTGGAAGCAACAATAATAAAAATAGTTAACATTTATTTAGCATGTACTATGTGCCAGACACTAAGAACTCTTCATTCATTATTGCTAACCTTCACGACAACCCAGAGAGAGAGATGTAATACCCTCACTATATAAATAAAGGTGCTGAGACTAGAATGGGTAGGTGAGCTTGCCGAGATCACACAACTGGGTGGTGCAAGAGTAAGGATTCAGGCAGCCTCTGTCTATTACAGCACACTCCCTTACTCAGAGATGCTGAGGTGCGAGTCTGGCTCTGGGCTCCCTAGCTATAGAGTCACACTGCCTGGCTAAAAATCCAGGCTCTACAGTTTAATAGCAATGTGACCTTGGGCAAGTCAATTAACCTGTCAGAGCCTCAGTTCTCTTATCTGTTTAGTGGAGATAATAACAACTACCTCAAAGGGTTGTTAGGAGGATTAAATGAATTAATATTCGTAAAGCACTTCAAATAGTGCCTGTCACATAGAAAGTGTCATGTACATTTTTGGTGGATAAATAAACAAATTTAATATTACCTGATATCAGGAGGAAGGGGAAGACAACCATAAACTCACTGATATGAACAATCACTGATCCCTTGAGCTAGCACAATAATTATGACAACAATAACAATAATAATACCGTCTTTTGAATGTTTAGTATTAATCACTGGGCACTGTGACTTAAAAAAAAAAAAGGTTTACAGAGAAAATATCATTCAATATTCATTACAGCCTTTTCGGGCAGAAATTATTATCCCCATTGTACAGATGAGAAAATTGGATCTTAGAAAAAACAAACCACTGGCCCATGGCTACACAGTTCAGTGGCAGAGCCGGGATTCAGAGCTGATCAGTCCGTTTCTCATGCCCGCGGACTTAATCACCAAGCACACTGCCAGTGCTGGGGTCAGCGGAGTCATCCACACCAGAAACGGCCCAGGGAGCTAAGAGCTCAGACACAAGGGGAGGGTCCCTGGCTCAGGGTCTGCAGGGGCGGCGCGCACAGTGCGAGGCTGGCAGGTCCGGACCTGGGAATACCGCCGCGAGCGCAGCGGCCAGATGTTCAGAGGTGGCCCTGGGCCAAGCCTCTCTCTCCCGGCCAAGCCCAGCCCAGCCCTCCGGGTGCTTTGGCGCGGCCCTCGCCTGCAGTCGGTCACGTGCAATCGCTCCGAGAGGAAGTCAGAGGCTAAGCGGTCGGCCTGGGTGGGAATGCAGGGTCCCTGCAGGGTTCCAGGAAGCAGGGCGCCGGGCTTTCCCTCTCTGCCTCCCCACAGAGCCTGGAGAGCCCCCAGGTGAGCAGTGAACTTCTCACCCCAGCCGTGCTGGCAGAGTTCTTGCTGCATTATAGTGCCCTCCGATGGCCAATTCCGGTACAGCCTCCCTGTCGCAGTCGGCTTATGACAAGCGGGGGCCTCATTTATTCTAACAGTTTAATCATGTTTAAAAAAGAGCAAGAAAAAAATTACTGTAACAGTGTTAAATTGTAGTCTTGTCTCTTACTTCTTATCCAAGTGAACAAAAATCTTTGTCACAGAAGTTTTCCCTAATGCAGACTTTCTCAAAACCTGTCTAATCATAAGATGCACTTGCTTGTTAAAAATACACATTTCTGTTCTCACTGATATGTGGGAGCTAAGCTATGAGGATGCAAAGGCATAAGAATGATACAATGGACTTTTGGGACTTGGGGGAAGAATCCCCAAGGAGGGGGATTCGAGAGAGGACTTGCATCAGATGAAGGGGAGTGGGGTGAGGGATAAAAGACTACAAATATGGTACAGTGTATACTGCTTGGGTGATGGGTGCACCAGGATCTCGCGAATCACCACGAAGAACTTATGTAACCAAATACTACCTGTACCCCAATAACTTATCGAAAAATAAAATAATTTCAAAAAAGAAGAAACAAAAATGCACATTTCTGGGTTCCACTTCAGAAGTACTAAATCAAAATCTCCAGAAACTAAGCCTGATATTCTGCATTTTAACAGGACCCCCAGGCAATTAACAGAATCGAGCGAATTGAGGAAACTCAGTTGTGGGCGCACGCAGTGCTCTGCAAGCGGTAACCACCCTTGCCATGCTGACTTCACTGAGGAAGCCCTTGTCCCCCACAAGAACTCAGAGAGCTGTCGATGCCCTCGAGAGGGAGGAGGGCACTCAGGAGAAACACACCTCAGAGGTGGGAGACATGGCTCTGCCACAATTTGCTGCAGAACCTTGGGCTCATAACTGACATCCTTGCATCTCTGCTTCCTCCTTTATGGGATAGAGCCAGGGTTCCCTACACTTGTTGGCCCACTTCATTAATGGAGCCTCCAGGGAGTTGCTGAACATTATAGCATATTTAGGAAAGTATATAACTCTCAGTGGTCTGCTGAAGCCGGCTTATCATGGCTAGCGAGAGCTGATTGGCAAAATTTTAGAAACTTTTTGCATCAGTTATTAAAGCTTTGGTGGTAGCTTAAAATAGGCCATGGTGGGAGTATTGACACCACAGAAATTGGCAAATAATACAAATTAGGGCTTTTTGTAAACTACAGAGCCTGTTGTTAGCCATTTACCAGCACACCACTGAATACACAGAAGGGTCAGGCTCTTTTACATCAAAGGACATTATGCAAGTGGAAGGCCTGGAGAAAGTGAGTTACAGTATTCCTTCCCCTCGCTGTTCAGTCATGGCAGCAGCAGGACTCAAGGCTCAGCCCCTCCTCCAAGGTGCCTCATAGTTACCACTAACAGCGAGGCCCTTGTAGACATATTGTACTAGAAGCCCCCGGCAGAGTCTAAAGCTCTGAGGAGAGTCAGAGGCCTAGAGAAACACCAGCTGCTACTTGACCTGCTCTTGTATAAACCAAGGAGGGGATTTAAGAGAGGACTTGCATCAGATGAAGGGAACTAGGTTGTTGTAGCCTCCCAAGAAGTGGGTAGCAGGATCTTAATTTGACTTTATCAAATTTTTCCCTTTTGAGAAAGAAGCCACCTTTGTCATACAGCATGGTGTCAAGGCCAAGTCCTGCACAGTTTACCTTCATCTCAGAACTCACAGCTAACTGTAATCTGCCCTTCTGGGAATGCAAATGTTACTACTCTACAACAAGATGCACAAGAGGCAGATTCGGGCAGTGCTGGCGCATAGGAGCAGGGGAAACACACAGGAGGAGCCTCAGGAAGCCTTGCCCGATCCCTTCGAGCCCAGCATCTGTCCTTCCTTTCCTTAATCCCAGGCCTTGAGGTGCACAACAAGGGTTAAGGAGGCTCCAGGTTCCTTGGAAACTGACAAGACAAAAAATGTTGAGCCATTGGTAGATCCAGCTTATACCTTAGATCCCTGAGCCTGGCCAGGATTAGAAGGGAAGGAAGCCTTCCCCTCTTACAGGAAAGGAGGCCTTCGTGACCCATGAGGCAGACAGTTAACAGTTTCTTATTACTTTCTTTGTACAAGGACCTATGGAAAATATCAAGGTTGTAAGAAGATTTGATCCTGAAGTAACTAAAATTATATGGAGCTCTCTCTCTCCAGCCACGAGGCAAATTCAGTCATGAGGCAAGACAGCTGCATGCAGGAGGGCATTGTAATTGATTTGCATAGAAGTGCTAAGAGTTCATAGTTAGAAGTCTCTGTACATGATGGAAAGAAGTGGGAAGGTGGCTGGAAAGTTCATCTGAGATTAATGGAGGGCAAGATTGAGTTGCCCAGGGAGGAAGAAGGAATGATTAATTGAACAAAGACACCAGTCTCTGACTATTGAAGAGTACTCATTACCAGGCCAGTGTGGCTGGAGCTGTGAGTGTCAGGATCAGTGGGAGGTCAGATTGGCAACGTAAGTTGAGGTCATGTTGGAGAAGGCTGAGCTTGGTTTATAGGTGAAAGAGGAGCCATCAACAGTGTATTCATTTTCTATTGCTGTGGAACAAATTATCACATATTTAGAGGCTTGAACTGTACCCATTTTTATCTTGCAGAGTCTGTAAGTCAGCACTGTGTACACAGTGTAGGTAGGTTCTCTTCTCAGGATCTCACAGGGCTGAAATCAAGGTGTAGACTGGGTTGTGTTCTCATCTGGAGCCTGAGGTCCTCATCCACACTCACTCAGGTTGTTAGGAGTATTCAGTTCCTTGCAGTTGCAGGACTGAGGTCTCTACTTTCTAGCTGACTGTCAACCAGTGCTGTTCTCAGCTCCTGTAAGCCTTTTGCCATCTCCTAAAAAATGACCCTCTCCAAAACATAGCAGTTTGCTCCTTCAAGGCCAAAAGGATAATTTCTCAGTCCCCTTTAAGGGCTCACCTAATTAGGTCAGGCCCACTCAAGATAATCTCCCTTTTGATTAACTTAACCTCAACTGATCAGTAATCTGATCACAGGAGTGATATTGCATTATAGTCACAGGTTCAGCCTACACTCAACGGAGGGGATTATACGTGGCAGAAATCTTGGGGCCATCCTAGAGTCCTGCCTATCTCAGATAATTTTCAGGTGGGGAGATGGGGAGACGTGATGAAATTTATTTTTGGAACCTGGCAGCAGGAGACCAACGAGGAGGCTGTAGCCATCATAGAAATCAGGTAGCAGGAAAGGGATAGGTGGATAAATAAATGGGGAAGATATTGCAATGGATAAATTTACAGGACCTGGAATGTTCCTCCCCCGTCTGACCTCATGGCTGGCTCCCTCTCGTATCACTCACTTCCCTGCTCACTCTGTGTTAGTTTTACCTCCTCCCTGGTTCTCTAACACATCACCCAGTGTATTTCTTTCATGGTACTCTTCATTTTATATTAACATATTTGTTTCCTTTTTTATTGTTCATTCACTCCACTTAACTCTAAGCTCAAAGAGAACAGGGACAATGTGCCTTTTGCACACCTCTGAATACCTGGAATGAGGCCTGGCGTATAGTTGGGACTCAATAAATATTGAATAAAGATTAAATGAATAAATGACCAAGGCTGAGCACAGTGCCTCACACCTATAATCCTAGCACTTTGGGAGGCCGAGGCAGGTGGATTGCCTGAGTTCAGGAGTTCGAGACCAGCCTGGGCAACATGATGAAACCCCATCTCTGCTAAAATACAAAAAATTAGCCAGGCATGTTGGCAGGCGCCTGTAGTCCCAGCTACTCGGGAGGCTGAGGCAGGAGAATTGCTTGAACCTGGGAGACAGAGGTTGCAGTGAGTTGAGATCGCGCCACTGCACTCCAGCCTGGGCGACAGACTGAGATTCCATCTCAAAATAAATAAATAAATAAGCAAGCAAGCAACTTATATGAAAGGGTCCAGGGAGAGTCAAAAGGTCTAAGTACTGGGTCTGGATGTCTTCAAGAAAGGCAGTCAGTGAAACCAGATTGAGAGGTTTGGGGAGTTGGGGAGATCAGTTTTAGACATCTTGAGTTTGAGTTGACTGTGGAACATTTGTCCAGCTAAGTCCTACGGGCAGCTGGAAATGCTGGTGAAGAATTGTCACAAAAAAAACACAAAGATGTCCAATAATAGTAAGGAACTGGGCTTTGGTTATGTAAAAGAATGAAAACTGGATTTTAAAATAAGCCTTCACTGGACATTCCTCATTTCTATTTTTAAAACATCTACTACTTAGAGGAGCTGTCACAATGAAGGTTATAATTTATATTAGGATACAAGCAGGAGGTAAATATCCTCTTTAGGTATGTTCTATCATTGTCTGAAAACCTGCAGGAGACGGTAAAGGCACACAGACCAGCACCCAGAGTGTTCAGAGTGAAGGGTGTGTGACAGTAAGGCCGGTTATGCTGGGTGATCAGGTAGAACCGATAAAGAAGCTCTCCAGCAATCCAGTGATCCTGTGTTAACTTTTTTATTCTTCCCTTTCTGAGTTCATCTCCCTCAGTAAGTTCTTCATTTATCTTATCTCAACCTTTCTGCTATTTTTGACCTTTCTGCTTTTCTCTCTTCCTCTAACTAAATTATATTTCTCATGCTATATGTATCAACCTGATTATTTCTCTACGAACTTCTTTCATCTGGTCTTTTGAAAAGTTCCCCTCACTGGACTTGGTGGCTCACGCCTGTAATCCCAACACTTTGGGAGGCTGAGGCCAGAGACTTGCTTGAAGCCAGAGAGTTGCTTGAGCCCAAGACTTTGAGACTAGCCTGGGCAACAAAGTAAGACCCCATCTCTACAAAAAAATAAAATAATTAGGCAGGCGTGGTGGCGGCACAGGCATATCCTAGATACTCAGGAAGCTGAGGTAGGAGGATCTGATCCCAGGAGTTGAACTGCAGTGAACAGTAATCATGCCACTGCACTTCTGCCTGGGTGACAGAGTGAGACCCTGTCTCCAAAAACAACAACAACAACAACGCAGAAAGAAAAGTACCCCATTCCATCTCACCATGCCTATCCCCTCTCCCCTTGCTTTTTCAGGTACACTGCAGTGGTCATGCCCGTTCACTACCAGCATGGCACGGGACAGAGCTCCTGTCGGCGCGTGGCCCTCATGATCACGGCCGTCTGGGTACTGGCCTTTGCTGTGTCCTGCCCTCTTCTGTTTGGCTTTAATACCACAGGTAACAGTGATGGCTTCATTTCTAGCATCCATGTGATTCACAGCACAGCTGAATGACTGGCTGTGAGTTGTGCTCAGCCCTGCAATTTCTGACCCCCGGTCAGTGTACTTTGCAATTAAATGAGAATGCCACAGAATGCAAAGCTTTGGCCTTTGTGGGTTATAAATAAAATATAAAGCAAAACCTCATCAATTATTGGCACAGGGGGTAAAGTTCTGCCCCAATTAATGAAAAGTCTGGCTCATCTTTATTTTGAAAGAAATGTCATTGTATTCATTTGCAGAAATGTACCAGTTAAAAAAACCAAGATATATATTAATAATTCAGGCAAGGTTTGCTAATAAAAAGATAACAATTCATAACAGACCTACAATGCAAAATAACACATTGTAAAAGTCTTATAGTAGGATATATACTTCTAACTTTTTACTCAATAAGAATAATTTCCAATTCTTCAGAACTAACCAGTATAGATTCCCAAATTCCTGGAGAGTATATTTTCTATTTTTAATATAAAAATTCTGGGTATGATGGTTGGCACATGGTACATCTCCTGGGTGGATGGATGGATGGACAATATATATGTCTGAAATGCTCGGGATTTTAAGCATGACACCAATACCTCAGATGAATCAGTGCCTTCTGTGTTTGTACCATGTCCATCTTTTAGCCTCACTAATTTTTTTTCTTTTTCTTTTTCTTTTTTTTTTTTTTTTGAGACCAAGTCTCATTCTGTCACCCAGGCTGGAGTCCAATGGCACAATCTAGGCTCACTGCAACTTCTGCCTCCTGGGTTCAAGCAATTCTCCTGCCTCAGACTCCCAAGTAGCTGGGATTACAGGCACCCACCACCACGCCCCACTAATTTTATATTTTACCCTGTTGGCCAGGCTGGTCTCAAACTCCTGACCTCAAGTGATCAGCCCGCCTCGGCCTCCCAAAATGCTGGGATTACAAGTGTGAGCCACCGCGTTCGGCCAGCCTCAGTAATTTAACGTGTCGAATGAAAGGTATTAAACCACATAGTAACATGATGGGTATTGACAATATACACTGCGTGCTAAGGAAAAGCTGCTTGATTAGTGTTCCAGTGGTCATCTGGATTTCTTATTTTGTCCATTTGAATTGATTCATTCAATGCCTATATTCCAGGTTTGTAAATGTCTAGTATATATGTACCAGTCACATAGCCATGTGCTTGTGTGTATGCAGATATTATATGTAACATATTACATATAAATACAGGCAAATTCTAACTTTAAGTAATCTTCCAAGTGTCATTTGCTGGACAATGATTTAGAAATCAAAATATATTTTGGAAGATAGGTATAGGCTCTGGAGTAAGTAAAATCTAAGTCCAAACTCCAAATCAAAGTCCAGACTTACTAGCTGTCTCTCCTTAAACAAGTTACTTAACTTCTCTGAGTTCCTCATTGGTAAATGTGGGATAAAATTACAGTGGAGCATACACTTGAGTGAATTAAAATAAGTAAACTTGATCTACATATTTAGTTAAGACATTTTTAATATTTATTTTTATATATGACCCCCTACAAATGAGCCCAGCAATTTCATCTCTAAAATTATATGTTCCATAGGAACTCTACAATATATGATATATTACTATATGTACCATACAACTTATTACTCTGCAGGGTTATAATAAAACCATGTATATCTTTACATGTGATTCAGATTTTCAAGGCAAATTTGGAGTCTATATAATTTTCACTTTATTTATTGACTTTAGAATCTAAGACTACATATAACTCCACTCCAACTTCTTCAGAGAGATTTTTGCCATTAAATGAGGATTAAATTGGGATAACATATGTAAATATGCCAAGCACGTACCGCCTACTCAAGGCTGGCTTGTTTCTCTGCCACAGTAAAGGGTAACTAGCCAACTTATCAACAAATATTTGCCTGTTCAACCCAGGCTATTCTCAAAATATGGTGATGTTATCTTTGCGTTACTGTTTACCTTTCATTACTTTGTTATTTTAACTGAATGACACTTTATACACACAAACATGCACACATTGCCCAGTACAAAGCAACATCCCTTAACACAGCTACAGAGGCTGACTCTGTGGCACTAAAATATCATTTTTCGTGAATGCTAAATGTGCTTTATGAGTTAGTCTGATAACTAAGTCACCTTCTGTAACCTTGTTTCTATATGAAAATGCATTCTTAGTTGGAAATTCTAGTGTGGGAAACTCACCACTGCTAGACCAAGGCACTTCTTACCCTCTAGCCAAAAGCAAATCCCTGCCAACATCTGCTGGGCTGACTGTGGTTCCCCTGACTCATTCTTGGTGGAGGCGGTCTTATTCACTCTCACAGACACACCACACTGGAAACAGTTGAAACAATCTCAAAAGCTGACATTAGACTGAGTTCTCGGTTAATGTCGACATCCAGAGTGAAGAAGAATGATGAATTTGCAGTGTTGTTGCCCCCAGTGAGATCATTATTGTTCCAGAAACAAAATTCAGGAAAGTTTTTTCCAAAAGGATTTTTAAGTATAGAATTGAGAAGGCAGAAAAGGCCTGTGACTTAGTATGTGCGCTCTCACTTCTCTCTCGTCTCTCACAATCGCTCTGTCTTTTACATTTAAGTTTATTAATAGCACTCTAGCAAGCCTTCCAATTATTCATATATTGTGTTAAAGTGTCAGGTTCCATTGTAAGAGCTCAGTAGATATTAGCTGGTGTTATGGTTGTTATTATTTATTGGAAAAGTTTATACATCAAAATGTAACTATACATCTGCAGTCGTAAGAGTTCTGCTGATGGTTTTAGAGATCAGTCGCCCCTTCCTAGAACACAGTTAGGGGATTTAGTAAGTGAAGCTCAGGCCCAGCTGTCCTCCTCTGCCTCAAGCTGACCTTCACTGTACAGCTTCATTATCTTGATAGATGTGGGTTCCTGCAGCAATTCTCTCATCTATAAGGAAGTTCCCAACTTCATTTGAAAGCCCAATATAAAGGACTCTTCTCAGTCATTTTTTCTACACCTTCTGTGGAAAATCAAGGGGGAGAGGGCAGGATCCTGCCAATAACACCTGATATTGGAAGCAGCTGGACTTTCACTAATAAGTGCAACACAAAAAAAGAACTTTCTGGCAGAGCTCTTCTTTTAATGCCATGGGCTGCCACACGAAATTGTGAATTATTAGAGAACATAAGATACAGAAAAGTTGAACTTCAGTCTCTTCCAACTTGGAGTTGCTCCTGTTCTCAGATGAAAGGTCAATATGAGGCAGGGTTTTGGGTGAGAGAGTTCCGAGGCAGGGGCCTGGCTGGCCAGGGTTGCCTTAACTCCCAGCAGAGGCCCAGCAGTCTAGGCAAATATCACATCATCAACAGACCCTGATACAGCAGAGCATGGTGTGCTGGTGCCAAAGGAAACTCTGAAGATGCCTGAATGAGCAGCCCAACCCTTTCATTGCATAGATAAGAAAAATAACTAGTATTTAAATTCCTGCTAAATCAGAAAGCTATTGTGTTATTTTTAAAAATCTAGAATGAATAAGCAAAGAGTGAATAAGCTGATGATAAGAGTTTAAGAAATCTTCAAGGGAGGAGAAACTTAAAGTTAAGAAAACTCTATCAGCTGGCTTGATTTTCCTTTGAAAGAAGGAAATGGAGGAGTGCTATTTATTTGATTTCATCAATAGAACATCTCACCTAGTTTTCAGAGCACTGGAGCTAGGTTGGGGGAGGGGGAGCTTAGTTGCACAAAAAGTTAAGAGAATAGTAGAAGCACAAAATTAAAAGAATAACAGGCCCATCCTAAAATCAGATTCATTGGCACCGCATGTCTTTGGAATCAAGCTGGGGTCAAATCCATCAATGAATTTGAAGTTCATGAATCTTTCAAGTAAACCTGCTCTGAGCCAAGCTGTCCACATCATGGTGGGTCTCAGTTTCCCAAGACAGCCTGCAAAAGCCTCATAGATGCCTTTGTCTTTTTCACCCAGCACAGTGCTTTAAACATAGTACGTACTCCACAAAATTTGTAGAATGAGTAAATAGATGACTCTTCATCATCATCCTTTCTTCCTGAAATGTTGAGATTAGTTGGGATAAGCATCTCTAATCTCAGAGGAGGAGTAACCTCCCCTCCCCCGGCACAGGCCTTCTCCATTATCCTCTGGTCAGTGAGTGCTCATGTGTTTATATAAAATGCTCATTTGTACATTTTGCTCATTTATTTATTATTTATGCACTTGCTCAATAACTATTGTGCTAACAAAACAACACTCTTGCAGTTAAATCATCAAAACAAGGCACCTCATCTCCTGGGGAAGTGTCAGCTTCTGGGGGGCATTACAGCTTTCCTTACCTCTTTGGTACACAGCAGAGAAGGTTTCAGAACTGCTGCTGTGTGGTGCATCACTCTGCCCTGCCAACAGGACACACACCCAGGGCCAGGCCTGCTGGGGGCTGGGGCAGGCCCTACTCATTGGCCACCCACCTCCAGTGTCACTCTGCCTGCAATGGGGACATTCTGGAAGAGGCTGCAATGCTTGATCTAAGAAAGGGAAGCTGTTTGCTTAGATAGGGGAGGAAGGAAGAGATGGCAATGCAGGTTCTGTGATTATATGTGAGAGCC
Source organism: Homo sapiens (assembly GCF_000001405.40). Classification (NCBI taxonomy): domain Eukaryota; kingdom Metazoa; phylum Chordata; class Mammalia; order Primates; family Hominidae; genus Homo; species Homo sapiens. The sequence goes on along the minus strand of NC_000003.12, from coordinate 114,142,792 downwards.
TTCGTTGACTAGGGACCCTGAAATAGCTATATGCCCTCTCAACTCTCTCTTTCAATATTTTTAATGGAGAAATAAATGCTTGCACATAAAACATTCATAAGGTGCCCATGAGATACATACATACTTATATGTAGGTCTCCCTTCTACCCCAGATTACTACATTCTCCCATCTCCCTCCCTAGAAACAAACATTAATATTCTTGCAAGATAATGCTTGCAACAGTGTGCATGTCCATACACAAATATGTTTATGTATGTGTATGTGTATTCATTATTACACAAATAGAAGCATACCATACCCCTATCTGACCCTGACTTTTTAAAAGAAGTAGCTCATATATAAAATTTAGAGGTCAGCCTCCCAGAACCCAGAGTGGGTAGGAAAAGGTAGAAAGTTAGGTGGAGGGACCAACAGGGAATATCCGGGACACCAAGGATGACAACAAGATGGGCAGTGCCACCCCACTGGCCTCTTCTCACACGTGAGACATGTGAAACGCCTCCTTATCACAGGCAGGTTTTAAAACCATAGTCAGATGCTGACAACAGAAAAGCTGACTTCAGAGAAGGAGCAGATCACCACCAACGTGGCTCCCTAGAGATTCTGAAAGACCACGCACTGCCACCCTATCCCTCTCCCCAACTCCATCACCCCCAAATACCAGCAGATGCCAATTTGGTGAACTACACAGAGCCTATGAGCCATTTTCTTTTCTTTTCTTTTTTTTTTTTTTTTTTTTTTTTTGAGAGAGAGTCTCGCTCTATCGCCCAGGCTGGAGTGCAATGGCGCGATCTCAGCTCACTGCAACTCTGCCTCCTGGGTTCAAGCGGTTCTCCTGCCTCAGCCTCCTGAGTAGCTGGGATTACAGGTGTGTGCTACCACACCGGCTAACTTTTGTATTTTTAGTAGAGACGTGGTTTCACCATGTTGGTCAGGCTCGTCTCGAACTCCTGACCTTGTGATCCACCTGCCTCGGCCTCTCAAAGTGCTGGGATTACAGGCGTGAGCCACCATGCCTGGCCCCTATAAGCCATTTTCTAAAGGATGATGACATAGGCTTTGGTGAAACAACATGAAATTTACCTGAATTTTACCTCCTCTTCAGAGAACCAGAGAATTTAGGAGTAGCTTGTAAAGATTCTAGTGGCAAAGATGTCAGTAAAATGCATCACTGGTCACTGAGCACACTCTTTTCGTTTTAGTTCTTAGCTGTTATTTCCTTCCTTCTCCCACAAATATTGCTCCCTATAAGTCTGTCTCCAAATTCCCATTTCAGATGTTACCTTCCCTTTCAGTTCAAAAGGCTCAGGGGAGAGAAATAATAAATAATAAATAAATAAATATTAAGAATAGCTACCATTTATTCTCATTAATTCTCACAACTACTATACAATATTTCTAGGCTTTTTCTTTTAACAGGTAATAAAACTGAAGCTTTGCATATTTAAGAAATGTGTCAGCTGGGTGCAGTGGTTCACGCCTGTAATCCCAGCACTTTGGGAGGCCAAGGAGGGTGGATCACCTGAGGTGGGGAGTTTGAGACCAGCCTGACCATCATGGAGAAACCCCTTCTCTACTAAAAATACAAAAAAATTAGCTGGGCATGGCGGCCCATGCCTGTAATCCCAGCTACTTGGGAGGCTGAGGCAGGAGAATCGCTTGAACCTGGGAGATGGAGGTTGCGGTGAGCCGAGATCGAGCCATTGGATTCCAGCCTGGGCAACAAGGGCAAAATTCCGTCTCAAAAAATAAATAAATTAATTAATTGATTAATTAAAGAAACGTGTCCAAGATCACACAGTTAATAAATAGCAGACCTGAATCTCACACTGAAGGCTCTCTGGCTTCCACCTACCTCAGAAGACCAAGAAGCAGAATAAGGGTCCTACATGGCCACTGCCCTCTCCCCACCAGCCCACACCTGAGGCTTCATCTTCCAAGGCCAACTTTGAGGTTGGAGAATCCCCAACCCTTTATGAAGACTGGCCGGGTGTACCAACAGTTGTTGCTCACAGTGCTGGATGAAGCACAGATGTTCCATGTCACAATGGTAAAGAGGGATGGGGAGTTAAAATTATAGAAAGAACATTGGCTTGGGCATAAAACTGGCTGCAAGAACATATTTTTCAGGTGCAGCCTTGGGCTACTTACTGAACCTCTCTGAGCTTTAATCTGCTCATCCGAAAAGAGAGACAGTAATAATGGCACCTGTCTCATATAACGTTGCCTTAATTATTAGGTGGGATAAGGGGTACAAAGCTCTTGGCTCATCGCCTGGCAGATATTAGTTTGCTTTTCTTTTCTTTTTCAAGATGGGGCACGTTTCAGGCCCATCTTGGGCCTTGGAGGAATCTCAGCATCTGCTATGAAGAAGGCAAAGCTAGAGGGACCTCCCAAGGAGAAATGGCAGGAACATTTCAGGATATAAAGCAGGGACAAGGACCCTTCTAAGTGCACATTCTCCATGTCACAATATCATTACCTGCCTTTTTCCCATCCCACCTCTGACAAGTGCTGGGATTCCCTGAAAAATCAAATCTCTGTCTTGTATTCAGCCGCCATCTGCCCTCCATCCCAGATTCAAAATTGGAGAACTGGCATTCTCAGCAAATAAGGCTTCTTCCTTTCATTGCATTCAAACAATTCTCCAATGCCTCCGCACCAGCAGGCCCTTTTCTGAGGGCTGCATCCCTCCTGGGAGCCTCTGCCCTGTTGCCCTGTAATGCTCTCCCCAGCCTCCCAGGCTGCATGTCTCTGTGTGACACTTGTGACATCCTATGAAAGGGATCATCTGTCTATCTAGACTGTTTGCTCCCTTGAGAGAAGACATGGTGTCTCATTCATCTTTGTAGCCCCAGTGTCTGGCGTATGATTGTTGGTAACTTTTTATTTTAAGCAAGCTGTAAGAAACTCAAAGATGAATTAGACCTTCTACCCTCAAGGACCTGACAGTATACGTATCTGAGACTGCATCCTTCCCACCCCCTGTGCAGCAGAAAGTGCAGGCACCACACGTGACATGGAGCCGTGTTTTATGCTCCTTACTGAGTTCTGATACTTGCTAACTGCTTTACCTTCCCCCTTCTCATCCACAGGGGACCCCACTGTCTGCTCCATCTCCAACCCTGATTTTGTCATCTACTCTTCAGTGGTGTCCTTCTACCTGCCCTTTGGAGTGACTGTCCTTGTCTATGCCAGAATCTATGTGGTGCTGAAACAAAGGAGACGGAAAAGGATCCTCACTCGACAGAACAGTCAGTGCAACAGTGTCAGGCCTGGCTTCCCCCAGCAAGTAAGTACCCTGGAGGGGGTAGAGGGAAGACAACACCCAATCTCCTGACTTCCCAGCCTGTGTCCAGCAGTGCATGATTTTGCCGTTTAGCTAAATTGGAGACACAAATCTGACACCGACTTTGGAATCTGCTAATTTTGGCTGCGCTTTGAAGGTAGGAAATCCAATCTCAAGAAAACATTGATAGTTGCCTCTAGAGCCTGCCTTACCTGGCAAAGTGATTGGAGAGCTCCTGGGCTTGTTCTGCTTCCCTTCAAAGTCTTTCATTTTCCCCAAATGGGCAGCAGCTCAGATGTCCCACAGGTTTTGAAGTTTAAGTGCAGCAGTTGTACCTTGCACTGCTGGTGGGTTCCCAGAACTGACTTTTTGTCTAAACCACTCATGCCAAGAATCACTGGGGTCCATCAAAGCCTTTTTTCCTTACTGGATCTGTCCGTGTGTCAAGGAACTGACAAGCTGGTGGGATAGGGTGCTGATAAAGCATTTTATTGGATCTTTCTAGGCTCTGAAAAGAAATGTCATTGCCTCTGCAATGATCTTCTAATTGCTAGGGCTTTAATTTCTCCTTACCCCATTGTCTGGCACTTAGTAGTTTTCCCACGATGTACTTGAAGCATGAATGGATATATACCGATCACTTGAAATCTACTAGGGAAGGGACAGTGGTAACATTAAACAGCATCTGCCTTCATGGAGCTTAGAATCTAGAAAAGCAAATAAAGCACCCCTCCACTCAATGTTAATGAAGATCCCAGAGCTGAATAGGATGTTTGCCAAATGTGAGGTGAAGACAATTAAGCACTCAATTATGAAGTGCTCTGGAGGTTATAGAAGAGAAAACCCAATATGCTCAGTGATATGGTTTGGCTGTGTCCCCACCCAAATCTCATCTTGAATTGTAGCTCCCACAATTCCCATGTGTCATGGGAGGGACCCAGTGGGAGGTAACTGAATGATGGGGGTGGGTCTTTCCCTTGCTGTTCTCATGATAGTGAATAAGTCTCACGAGATCTGATGGTTTTATGAGGGGGAGTTTCCCTGCACAAATTTTCTCTTGTCTGCTGCCATGTAAGACGTGCCTTTCACCTTCCACCATGATTGTGAGGCCTCCCCAGCCACATGGAACTGTGAATCCATTAAACTTCTTTTTCTTTATAAATTACCCAGTCTCAGGTATGTCTTTATTAGCAGCATGAAAACAGGCTAATACACTCAGGAAAGGGCTCCATAGACAGAGTAAGAATTGAGTTTGATCTTGAAGACAGATCCAATTTGGGTGTCTAGATTAATCTTTGATGACCTAGATAATCTTTTTTTTTTTTTTTTTTTTTGAGACAGAGTCTCGCTCTGTCACCCAGACTGGAGTGCAGTGACATGATCTCAGCTCACTGCAGCCTGTACCTCCTGGGTTCAAGCGATTCTCGTGCCTCTGCCTCCCGAATAGCTGGGATTACAGGTGCCCACCAACACATCTGGCTAATTTTTTTTTTTTTTTTTTTTTTGAGACGGAGTCTCGCTCTGTGGCCCAGGCGGGAGTGCAGTGGCGCAATCTCAGCTCACTGCAAGCTCCGCCTCCCGGGTTCACGCCATTCTCCTGCCTCAGCCTCCCGAGTAGCTGGGACTACAGGCGCCCACCATCACGCCCGGCTAATTTTTTTTTTTTTGTATTTTTAGTAGAGACGGGGTTTCACTGTGTTAGCCAGGATGGTCTCGATCTCCTGACCTCGTGATCCGCACGCTTCGGCCTCCCAAAGTGCTGGGATTACAAGCGTGAGCCACCGCGCCCGGCCACATCTGGCTAATTTTTGTATTTTTAGTAGAGACAGGGTTTTTCCTTGTTGGCTAGGCTGGTCTATAATGCCTGGCCTCAAATGATCTGCCCACCTCAACCTCTCCAAGTGCTGGGATTACAGGCATAAGTGCCCAGCCTGATGACCTACATTATCTCTGATGACCTGTTAAGGTCTTTGATGATGTCAAAAGTATGAATGAAGGTCAGACTCTTAAGTTGAAGTCCCAAGGCTTGAGTGAAACAAGACTATTAATCCCCATGAAAGAGGAGATCAAGACCCAAGGCTGAGGATATGAAAGTATTGCATTCAAAATATTATCATGTCCCATGGCTATCAATGACATGGCTAGACCCACAACTAACTGTTCCTTCTTCTACACCCCCTGCCCAGTCTTCTTGTCTGCACCTGCACCCCATTCAGCAGTTGTCAGTAAGGGCCTGATTTCCATCACATGCCACAGGAAAAATGGTAAGTGGGCCATGTCTGATCATAGAGAAAGAATAAGAGACCTTTTCCCACAATACTGGCTTATCTTGATTCTACTCTCACCCCAGAATGAAACCTTACCCTGATTCCCACACATATATCTATAAGACAAGATCTGAAATTCTTCCTAATTTAAGCTTCAGAATAGAATTCATCAGAAGATATTGAGAAAGCATATGACTATTGGACTTGACCTTAGTGACTGGAGCCAATGACTCTTGCACACGGTGTGACAATGCCATCCAAGGCCACCTGCATTAGAGGAAACAGACGTCAAGGGAACACACATGGACAGAGCAAAAACCAGGCAGAGAAAGGAAAATTTCAAGTGCCATATTTACCACTGAATGTGGGAAAAACCAAGACAACTTCATGGTCACCATTAGCCTTGTTCTTCCAATTCAAGCCAGGCCTGCCTCGCCCAGCTAGCAGAGTGCAGAGTGGAGTCTGGAGGTGTTAGATATGAGAACAGTATTCCTCTCTGAATTCCACATTAGAAATAAAACTTCAAAAATTTGTAATAATTAAGGTCTGAGCTTTGTTCAATCTCAGTATAGTTAATGACTTTCTACACAGGCCTGGTGTGGTAATTGGAGATAATCATTTTAAACGATAATAGCTATGCAGCTCAAAGTTGCCTATGGCTGATCCAAGGTCTAAGGAGGCTTCAAGGCCAAGAGGAGGAAAAATATTGAATACAAAAGAGAGATCAGACAGCCAAGAGACTGGCATTTCCAAGAGTGTGGAGAATTAGGTTCTGTCCTGCCATCTGGGAGTGGAGGGCTCTGCCAGCCAGACCCAGAGGAATCCAGTGTTTCCTCATGTCAGTCATGGAAGTAGTGATCAGGTTTTGCAGACAGAGCTGAAAAATACACTCACCAATATATAATCTTGGAAGAATCATTTTCCTACTATAGGACTGAATTTCCATATCTGTAAAATGGAAACAGGGTATACTAGATCAATGTTTTCAAATATGAGGTTTTTTTGTTTTTGTTTTTGTTTTTGAGACAGAGTCTCACTCTGTTCCCCAGGCTGGAGTGCAGTGGTGTGATCACAGCTCATGGCAGCCTTGAACTCTTGGGCTGCACCCAGCTAATATGAGATTTCTTAGGCAATCCCAAGAATTTGTTTCCCATCCCCTAGTTTTAGAAATAATGCGTTAGAAGTCAAATATTGTCACTTTAAGAAGATCAGTAGGTGCCAGTTTAATTGTAAACATAATCTTGGGGCCGCGTGTGGTGGCTCACGCCTGTAATCCCAGCAATTTGAGAGGCCAGGATGGGCAGATCACCAGGTCAGGAGTTCGAGACCAGCCTGACCAACATGGTGAAACCCCATCTCTACTTAAAAAAATACAAAAATTAGCCGGGCATGGTGGCATGCACCTATAATCCCAGCTACTCAGGAGGCTGAGGCACAAGAATCACTCTAACCCAGGAAGCAAAGGTTGCAGTGAGCAGAGATTTCACCACTACACTCCAGCCTGGGCGACAGAGGGAAACTCCATCTCAAAAACAAACAAACAACAACAAAAAAAAACAAACAAAAAAACACACCATAATCTCTGTTGTAAATAGGCATTCAGATAAAATGAAATATGCTTATTTTAATTATTAGAAAATGCCATCAAACTAAAAACCAAAAAATGTTAAATATGTATTCTCTTAACTTGACGTCATGTTAAGTGAAATAAGCCAGACATAGTAAGACAAATATCGGCCGGGCGCGGTGGCTCACGCCTGTAATCCCAGCACTTTGGGAGGCCGAGGCGGGTGGATCATGAGGTCAAGAGATCGAGACCATCCTGGCTAACAAGGTGAAACCCCGTCTCTACTAAAAATACAAAAAATTAGCCGGGCGCGGTGGCGGGCGCCTGTAGTCCCAGCTACTCGGGAGGCTGAGGCAGGAGAATGGCGCGAACCCGGGAAGCGGAGCTTGCAGTGAGCCGAGATTGCGCCACTGCAGTCCGCAGTCCGGCCCGGGCGACAGAGCGAGACTCCGTCTCAAAAAAAAAAAAAAAAAAAAAAAAAAAAGACAAATATCACATGTTCTCAATCACATATGGAAGCTAAAAAAGTGGTTATCGTGAAAATAGAGAGTAGGTTCATGGTTACCAGAGGCTAGGAAGGAGATGGGGGAGGGGGCGAGAAAGAGAGGTGGATTCAGGGGTACAAACATACAATTAAATAGAAGGAACAAGTTCTAGTGTCTAATAGCACAGTAGGGTGACTACGCTTAACAACAGTTTTTATATATTTCAGAATACCTAGAAGAAAAGATTTGAAATGCTCCCAACACAAAGAAATGATAATTGTTTGAAGTGATGACTAGCCTGATTTGATCATTACACATTGTATGCATGTATCAAAATATTGCATTTGCCCCACAAATATGTAAAATTATTATATATGAATTTTTAAAATCTTCAAGAAAAAAATGTATATTATTCTAGAATTCCTAAGAATACCTCTGTGGACCACCATTTAAAAAAAACTCTAGGCCAGATGCTGTGGCTCATGCTTGTAATCCCAGCACTTTGGGAGGCTGAGGTAGGTGGATCACTTGGGGTCAGGAGTTCGAGACCAGCCTGGCCAAAATAGTGAAACCCCATCACTATTAAAAATACAAAAATTAGCCAGGTGTGATGGTGGGCGCCTGTAATCCCAGCTACTCAGGAGTCTGAGGCAGGAAAATTGCTTGAACCTGGGAGGCAGAGGTTGCAATGAGCCGAGATCATGCCACTTCACTCCAGCCTGGTGACAGAGTGAGACTTTGTCTTAAAGAATAAATAAATAAATAAAAATTTTAAAAACTTAAATTGGCTGGGCATGTTGGCTCACACCTGTAATCCCAACACTTTTGGAGGCCAAGACAGGAGGATCACTTGAGCCCAGGAATTTGAGACCAGCCTGGCCAACATAGCAAGACCTCATTTCTACTAAAAATAATAAATAAATAAATAACACTAAATAGTCTTGAAGACCGCTTGCATTCATTCATTCATTCTGAGTATGTACAATGTGCCAGTTCTGTGTACCTAGAAGACTGCTTCCTTGAACTAAGGAAACCAAAGCGAGGGGTTTTTGTTGCTGACACTGAATAACTTACGTAGAAAACAAATTTACTGGAAAGCTGTCAGGTGGCTCACAGGCTCAATGAGAAGGCTGAAGAACAGCTTCAGAAAGATGCTATTCATGCCTAAGAAATAATCTAGTTAGAAAACCTAACACACTGGACATTGAATGCCACCACTACTAGAGGAGTTCTGAAGTCTCCCTGCTTCACAAGTTCCAGTTCAAAGTCTCAGGTGTGAATCTGCAATTGACTGGGCTTGGTGCATGTGCCTGAGCTCTAGCTGCATGGGAATGGAGGTATGAAGTGAATATCTGGCTTTTATGCCATCAGTAATGGGAGTTGAAGAGTTGAGTTCTGCCTCCTGTTCAAGACTGACACAATAGTCTGATTCTTCAAACATGAAAAGAAGTTCAAGTTGGGCACACACACACCTCCCCCTCCATACCAGAAAAGTTAACATATTTCAGTATTCCATTCTCAGAGGCTACTCATCCCAAACCCATTTTTCCCTATTTCTTTTCTGTTTTACAAAGGAAGCTCAGAGATATTAAATTAACTTGCCTAAAGATACATCTACTAAGTAAGAGAGCTGAGAAGAAAATCCTGGGTTTTCTTTTTTTTTTTTTAATTTCTATTATGGAAGTTTTCAAAAATAAAAAAGTAGACAAATATAACAACCCCCCAGTAGCCATCAGGCAGCCTCAGTCGTGATCAATTCGTGGTCAGTCTTATTTCATCTACAATCCCACCTACGTTCACACATCCCCACTGGATTGCTATGAAGCAAATACTAAACACCGTATTATTTCAACCCAAAATATTTCTGCAAGATCCTCTAAAGAATACAGACTGTTGGCCAGGCACGGTGGCTCACGCCTGTAATCCCAGCACTTTGGGAGGCCAAGGTGGGCAGATCACATGAGGTCAGGAGTTTGCGACCAGCCTGACCAACATGGAGAAACCCATCTCTACTAAAAATACAAAATTAGGCAGGCGTGGTGGCACATGCCTGTAATCCCAGCTACTTGGGAGGCTGAGGCAGGAGAATCTCTTGAACCCGGGAGGCAGAGGTTGCAGTGAACCGAGATCACACCACTGCACTCCAGCCTGGGCAACAAGAGCGAAAGTCTGTCTCAAAAAAAAAAAAGAATACGGACTGTTTTATAAGACACATAACCACAATACCACATCACACTAAAAAATTAATAGTTTTCTAATATCATTAAATGTCCAATTGATGTTCAAATTTCCCCAATTGTCTTGTAAATTATTTTACAGTTGGTTTGTTTGAATCAAAATTCAAATAAGGCACATATTTTGCAACTGGTAAGTATTGTCATTGTTGTTGTTAAAATTTATTTGTTGAAGAAACTGAGTCATTTGTCTTGTGGAGTTTCCCACACTCCACATTTCGGGGCTTATGTCATAGTGGTGTCACTTAATGTGTTTCTCTGTATCACCAGGTCATTCTAACTCAAAAAGGCCAGACTACAATTCTGTGCTACCCTGCTCAAGAGGTTGTTGTGATTATCAAATGTTCTATATGTGGTGGGTGCTGCTTTTTTTTTTTTTTTACTTTAAGTTCTGGGGTACGTGTGCTGAACGTGCAGGTTTGTTACATAGGTATACATGTGCCATTGTGGTTTGCTGAATCTATCAACCTATCATCTAGGTTTTAAGCTCTGCATGGATTAGGTATTTGTCCTAATGCTCTTCCTCCCCTTGCCCCCCATCCCTTGACAGGCCCTGGTGTGTGATGTTCCCCTCCCTTTGTCCATGTGTTCTCACCGTTCAGCTCCCACTTATGAGTGAGAACATGTGGTGTTTGGTTTTCTCTTCCTATGTTAGTTTGCTGAGGATGATGGTTTCCAGCTTCATCCATGTCCCTGCAAAAGATATGAACTCATTCTTTTTTATGGCTGCATAGTATTCTATAGTGTATATGTGTCACATTTTCTTTATACAGTCTATCATTGATGGGCATTTCACTTGGTTCCAAGTCTTTGCTATTGTAAATATTGCTGCAGTAAACATACATGTGTATGTGTCTTTACAGTAGAATGATTTATAATCTTTTGGATATATACCCAGTAATGGGATTGCTGGGTCAAATGGTATTTCTGGTTCTAGATCCATGAGGAATCGCCACAGTCTTCCACAATGGTTGAACTAACTTACACTCCCACCAACAGTGTAAAAGCGTGCCTATTCTCATCCTCACCAACATCTGTTGTTTTCCAGACTTTTTAATGATTGCCATTCTAACTGGCCTGAGATGTTATCTCATTGTCATTTTGATTGCATTTCTCTAATGACCAGTGATGACAAGCTTTCTTTTATATGTTTGTTGGCTGCATAAATGTCTTCTTTTGAGAAGTGTCTATTCATATCCTTTGCCCACTTTTTAATGGGGTTATTTTCTTGTAAATTTGTTTAAGTTTCTTGTAGATTCTGGATATTAGACCTTTGTCAGATGGATAGATTGCAAAAATTTTCTCCCATTCTGTAGGCTGCCTGTTCACTCTGATGATATGGTGGGTGCTTTTTAGTTGTAAAGTCTAAAGCAAATTTCATTTCCCTTAACTTCTCATGGTCCCACCACTCCCTCAGATGTTCCCTTTGTAGGTTTCCCACAACTGTGTTGCCGTCTTCCTTCTTTGAATTCTCTGGCCCTTTCAGGAACATTCAGAAGATAAACAATACCCCCAGAAATGTCAAGATTCCCTCTTGTCACACCTGCAGACCCTCTCTCCTGACCCGGCACATCTGGAGCTGAAGCGTTACTACAGCATCTGCCAGGACACTGCCTTGGGTGGACCAGGCTTCCAAGAAAGAGGAGGAGAGTTGAAAAGAGAGGAGAAGACTCGGAATTCCCTGAGTCCCACCATAGCGCCCAAGCTCAGCTTAGAAGTTCGAAAACTCAGCAATGGCAGATTATCGACATCTTTGAAGCTGGGGCCCCTGCAACCTCGGGGAGTGCCACTTCGGGAGAAGAAGGCAACCCAAATGGTGGCCATTGTGCTTGGTAAGTTTGGGTTGGCTTGAGCTGTGTTGGGTTGGGTTAGGTTGTGTTAAGTTAAGTGGAGCTGGTAGAAGATGCTATCGGAAATTTGATGACAGTAATACTTATCAAATGTTCACAATATAATTGAAAAGTATTTGTGTATAAATGCTAACTCTGGTGGAAATTCAAAAGACCTAGGCTGAAATTTATGAAGCTGAACAAGCCACTTAACTGCGCTGTCCATTATATGGAGCTACAACACATAAATCAAACAATAAGTAAGATAATGATTCAATAAAACTGTCTGGTACATATTGGATATTTAACAAATGCTTAGTTATTTAAAATATTAAGTGATAAAAATAAGAATGCAAAACACTATTGTGATATGGTATGATAAAATCTAGATTACTTTAGGCCGGGCATGATGGCTCAAGCCTGTAATTCCAGCACTTTGGGAGGCCGAGGTGGGCAGATCACGAGGTCAGGAGATCGAGACCATCCTGGCTAACACGGTAAACCCCGTCTCTACTAAAAATGCAAAAAATTAGCCAGGCGTGGTGGTGGGCGCCTGTAGTCCCAGCTACTCAGGAGGCTGAGGCAGGAGAATGGCCTGAACCTGGGAGGCAGAGCTTGCAGTGAGCCAAGATCACGCCACTGCACTCCAGCCTGGGCGACAGAGCAAGACTCCATCTCAAAAAAAAAAAAAAAATCTAGATTATTTTAAATACAGAGTAAAAAAGACTGGAAAGAAATTCACCAATATATCAAAAGTGATTGTCTTTGAGTGGTGGGTGCTTATTCCTTTTTTCCTACTTGTCTGTATTTACCAAGCTTTCCATAATGCATACAATCAAGATTTTTTGTTTTTTGTTTTTTTGAGACATGGTCTGACTCTGTTGCCTAGGCTGGAGTGCAGTGGCACAATCATAGCTCACTGCAGCCTTGAACTCCTGGGCTCAAGCAATCCTCCTGCCTGAGCCTCCCGAGTAGCTAGAACTACAGGCGTATGCCCCCATGACCAGCTAATTTTTTTAATTTTTATTTGTTTTTTGTAGTGACAGGGTCTCATTACGTTGCCCAGGCTGGTCTCAAACTCATGGCATCAAGCAATCCTCCCATCTCAGCCTCCTGAGTTCTGGGTTCTCTGCCTCCTGGGTTCAAGTGATTCTCCTGCCTCAGCCTCCCAAGTAGCTGAGATTACAGGCATGCGCTACCACACCCGGCTAATTTTTGTATTTTTAGTAAAGACAAGGTTTCGCCATGTTAGTCAGGCTGGTCTTGAATTCCTGACCTCAGGTGATCCACCCACCTTGGCCTCCCAAACTGCTGGGATTACAGGTGTGAGCCACTGTGCCCAGCCTGAACTTTATTTAAATAAAGAAATTAAAAATGAATAAATCACAGGTATGCTATAGAGTTAGTGAAGGCAGTTCATCCTGTTCAGTGTCACTGACAAACCCCAACTCTCTCCTGTATCAGGGAGTTTACTAGAACTCCTAGATGTAATCTCCTCAACAGCAGGAACGATGTCAGTCACATCTTTAAGGTCTTCATACCTATCAGTGCCTAGGATCATGTTTTGCATAGGTAGGCATTAAATAAACGTCTGAATTGAATTGAAAAAGAAAAAGACTAGTAAAGAACTACCTAGAGACCCAACTAGAAAACTGATTTAGTAACAAAGGCCAAAGTGAATGAAAGACATTAGCATGCAGTTTTCTCACCTAAAAAAGTTTGGCTAATCACACCTATTTCATAGGGTTGGGTTTTTTTTGTTTTGTTTTGTTTTTTTTGAGATGGAGTATTACTCTGTCACCCAGGCCGGAGTGCAATGGCGCAATCTTGGCTCACCACAACCTCTGCCTCCCGGGCTCAAGCAACTCTCCTGCCCCAGCTTCCCGAGTAGCTGGGCTTATAGGCACGCACCACCACGCCCAGCTAATTTTTGTATTTTTAGTAGACATAGGGTTTCACCTTGTTGCCCAGACTGGTCTTGTACTCCTGACCTCAGGTGATCCACCCGCCTCGGCCTCCCAAAGTGTTGAGATTACAAGCGTGAGCCACCACACCCGGCCTAGGGTTGTTATAAAAAAAAGTAAGTGGGTATGCAAAACTTCCAGCTTAGTGGCTGGCATAAAGTAGACAACCGTGAGTCATTCTCATGTTATAACAAAAGGAGTAAGCAAATCCCTTACCCAGTTTCTCTCTTATTTGGCAACTTAGGGGCCTTCATTGTCTGCTGGCTGCCCTTCTTCTTGACCCATGTTCTCAATACCCACTGCCAGACATGCCACGTGTCCCCAGAGCTTTACAGTGCCACGACATGGCTGGGCTACGTGAATAGCGCCCTCAACCCTGTGATCTATACCACCTTCAATATCGAGTTCCGGAAAGCCTTCCTCAAGATCCTGTCTTGCTGAGGGAGCAGAAGAGGGAACACTCTTTGTACCCATTTCTAGCTGCCAGGCTGTTGGCCCACTCAGAAAGACTGTGCAGTGTCCTCCGGCATGCAGTAGGAAGAAGATTCCTGGAGCCAGGATGTCCCTGCTTGTCAGGTATAACCAGATGTGTCCTCCAAAACAGAATATTCTACCTCCCCAGCTAAAATCTGACTTCATTCTGACAATCTTCAAATGACTGGGGAGCTTCCAAGTGATAAGCAATAATTCAGAAAGAAGCTGATAAAACATGACTCACACAAAATTGTCATCAGAGGCATGATTCATTACACTGAAGGAAAATGAACAGATCTCATCATTCTCAACTTGCAGGGGTCCTTGAAATCAGCCAGTAAACCACCTTCTAGAACAGCCAGTCTGTCTTCCTTCAAACCTCTAATTAACTGTCAGGCTAACCTTGTACTTTTACGGGCCCATTCCTCTTGGTCATTTCTTTCCTTCACTGTATCTGGAACTGTGAATGGCAAGGCCAGTGCTTCTACCTCTCTGTAGAATCCGATGGGCTACATTTGGTGAGGTGAATTTCTCACACCAAGAGAAACACTGTCCCACATTGGGATGGGGGCTTCATTTCAAACTTTGCTACCCTTGTATTTTAGCTTTAGCTAAGAAGGCTTTCTGATTCCATTCCTTTACTCTCTAGAGGAAATCTCAGAGTCTCAACTTCCAGAATCATTCAAGATGGGGATATTTTCTGAAGACGGAATGACACATCCCATTGTAGTTTCACTGTTGAAACTTATGGTTCAGAACATACCTTAGATATGCTTTTCATAACACTACCAAATTTTCCTACCCAGGGCATCTCCATTTCTGCTTAACAGGGACCCAATATAGTGGACCACATCATGACATTTTGGGCAACAGTGGACCACATATACAACGGTGGTCTCATAAGATAATAATGGAGCTGAAGAATTTCTATCACTTAATGATGTCATAGCTGTTGCAACATCATAGCTCAATGCATTATTTACATGTCTGTGGTGATGCTGGTATAAACAAAATGATGCTGCCAGTCGTGTAAAAGTATACAATTGTGTACAGTACGTAATACTTAATATTGATAATAAATGACTATGTTACTGGTTTATGTATTTACTATACTAAACTTTTCACCATTTTAGAGTATGCTTCTACTTATTTCAAAAAAGTTAATCATAAAACTGCCTCAGGCAGGTCCTTCAGGAGGTATTTCAGAAGAAGGCATTGTTATAAGGGATGACAGCTCCCTGTGTGTTATCGCCCTTGAAGACCTTCTAATGGGACAAGGTGTGGAGGTGGGAGACAGTGATATTGATGATCCTGACCCGGTTTAGGCCTAGGCTAATGTGTGTGATTATGTCTTAATTTTTAACAAAGCAGTTTGAAAAGCAAAAAATAGTTTTGAAAATAGAAAAAAATATATAGAGTAAGTACATAAAGAAAGAAAATATTCTTGTCCAGCTATCCAGTGTGTTTGTGTTTTAAGCTAAGTGTTATTACAAAAGAGTCAAAAATGTCAAAAAAAATTTAAGTTTATAGGTAAAAAAGGGACTGTAAGCCAAGATTAATTTATTATTGAAGAAAGAAAAACTTTTAAAATAAATTTAGTGTAGTCTGGGTGTACAGTGTTGATAAAGTCTATAGTAGCATACAGTAATATCCCAGGCCTGCCCATCCACTCACCGCTCACTCACTGACTAACCCAGTCTTAACAGCTGAACTCAGCTTCCAGTCTGCAAGCTCCATTTATGGTAAGAATCCTATATAGGTGCACCGTTTTTTGTCTTTTATATCATATTTTTACTGTATCTTTTCTACGCGAGTTATACAAATACTCCCCATTGTGTTACAATTGCCCACAATATTCAGCACAGTTACATGCTGTCTGGATTTATAGCCTAGAAGCAATAGACTACACCATATAGCCTAAATTGTGTAGTAGGCCATATGATCTGGGTTTGTATAAGTATACTACATGACGTTTGCACAGCAATGAGATCACCTAATGATGCATTTCTCAGAACATATCCCTGTAGTTAAACAATGTGTGACTGTACTCTCAGACTCTGAGACTCACTAAGTAGTGTCCACAAAGTGCCAGCCACTTCCCCAGGTTCTAGATATACAACAATGAATAACACAGCTCCTGCCCTCAGGGAGCTCATTTCCTGCTTTTATATTTGCCCATTTACTTGTCTAAGGGGGGTAGGAACTCACCTGGACTGCCAGAGGACCTCAGGACTGATGGGTGGCACCAGGCGGGGTGGCTGTCCAAAGCCATCACATGGACAGTCTTTGCAAAGTCCTGGTGCAGATCCTAAACGTCACCCCTCCAACAACTGAGATTAAAGGTATAGCAGAAATAATTTGTAAATGTTATTCAAAACCACATTTAGAAGGAACCTGAATATTCTCGCCATTTAACTTCTCACCTACAGAAGCTATTTTTATTGATTGCAGAATCAAGATACAATTTATAGATAATTTATGAAACATCCTGAACTTCAGTAAATTTACTTTTAAGAGCTGTTAGTGTGTAGCCATGACAGATACCTGCTGCAATGCTGTTAAAACTTTATTTATTTATTTTTTTATTTTGAGATGGAGTCTCCCTCTGTCACCCAGGTTGGAGTGCCGTGGCACAATCTCAGCTCACTGCAACCCCCGCCTCCCGGGTTCTAGCGACTCTCCTTCCTCAGCCTCCCGAGTAGCTGGGATTAGAGGTGCGTGCCACCAAACCTGGCTAATTGTTTATATTTTTGGTAGAGACAGGGTTTCACCATGTTGGCCAGACTGGCCTTGAATTCCTGACCTCAAGTGATCCTCTCGCCTCGGCCTCCCAAAGTGCTGGGATTACAGGCGTGAGCCACCACGCCCAGCCTGCTGTTAAAACTTTAAAGTATACTAGGACTTTACAAGGAATCCAAGGCCTCCCTTGCCCTGTCTTTATTCCTCTTGTCCTTAAATATATAATAAGGAAATACACACACTCTCAGTGAGTTGCTTACCTGTTACTCGTGAATGCTTTTAATGCCAGCATTTTTTTTTTTTTTTCGAGACAGAGTTTCGCTCTTATTGCTCAGGCTGGAGTGCAATGGCACGATCTCGGCTTACTGCAACTTCTGCCTCCTGGGTTCAAGCGATTCTCCTGCTTCAGCCTCCCGAGTAGCTGGGATTACAGGCGCCCACCATCACGTCCAGCTAATTTTTTGTATTTTCAGTGGAGACGGGGTTTCGTCATGTTGGCCAGGCTGGTCTTGAACTCCTGACCTCAGGTGAACCACCAGCCTTGGCCTCCCAAAGTGCTGGGATTACAGGTGTGAGTCACCATGCCCGGCCAATGCCAGCATTTTTTAAATGCCTATAATAATGTTTATATTGTAACTTGGTGGGAAAATTCTGTCTGCCCATTAGTTCTTGTACCTTGTGCCACCCAGCTCATCCAGGTTTATGGTGTGAGCTAAGCTGAGACTTGAGATGATTAAAATCTGCAAAAGTAAAAATAGATGATTTCCAGGTTTTTCCATGCAAAATAAACAGAAAATGGATGAGACGGTGGAGTAAAAGATCATAGAATTCCATGTCAAAACCAGAGTTCTAAAGGCATAAACATAAACAACGGGCTGGGCATAGTGGTTTATGCCTGTAATCCGAGCACTTTGGGAGGCCAAGGCAGGAGGATTGCTTGAGCCTAGTAGTTTGAGACCAGCATGGACAAGATGGCAAGATGCTGTCTCTACAAAAAAATATAAAGTTAGCTGGTCATGGTGGCATGCACCAGTGGTCCCAGCTACTTGGGAGGCTGAGGCAGGAGTATTGCTTGAACCCAGTAGATCAAGGCTACGGTGATCCATGATTGCACAACTGCACTCCAGCCTGGGCAACACAGTGAGACCTGTCTCAAAAAACAACAACAAAAAAAACCATAAACAACATCAGTATTGGTATATTTGTGAGGAAGAATAATAACGAACCTCCTGTGTCCTTTTTTCACATCAAATATTCAACCCTTATGATAGCCTTCAGGAAGACAAACTCCATGTTATAGATGAGGAAACTGAAGCAGAGGGAGGTTAAGAAATTTGCCCCAGGTCACACACAGTCAGTAAGTGGCAGAGCATGGATTAAAATGTGTCTCTGTTTGATTTCCAAGTCCAGGCGATTTGCCACTACAGCACATTGCCTCCCACCAGAGAGGTAAAGGGGAACGGAGAAAGAGTGGGGAAGAAAAAGATGGAACAAAGATCCCTGGGGCAGCCTCATCCTACCCCATCCACTTGCACCCCAAACTTTCCTAAGAACCCAACCCAAGACATTAATTTACTTTCCTGCCACATCCAGTTTCTAAAATGGTAGCACGGGAAACTCATCTATTTTTATAGAATCATGGAACAGTTTTTAGAGCGTATTTGGGTCTGCCCTCTCCTTCATTTACAGAAAAGGGAACTGAGGCCCAGAAGTGTTGTCCCCTAGCTGGTTAATGACAGCCTGGCACTCAAATGTGCTGAATCCTAGTTCTGTACTCTTTCTATTTTGCTGCATTCCTAAGGGCCCTATAAAAACGGTAAACTTCATGCAGATACAAAGTAAAAGTTATATTGTCACCTCCACCATTAAACTGCGAGCCACCCCTTTTCTAGATAGTGTCTATTATCCCTAATTCTAGACAACATCTTTTTTCCCGCATTTTCTTCTGATCCAGGAAGAGCTTCCTACAGGAATCCCAAACGAATCTCCAAGCTAGCACTTCAGCCTCTTCATCCTGAGACTCCTCATTCTACCTCCTCTGCCTCTACAGTCCCCACATGAACCCACACACTTACTCTCAGAGCTCACTACCTTCAGAGCCAGCATGGCCAAAAATCCCAGGAGAGAGGTTGGCCTGAATGAAGCAGAGCGGAATTCTTGGGGCAGATCTATTCTGGATCCCAAAGAAGTCTCATAGTTGCTCACACTATTTGGGTAAAATGCAAATAGCATGGAAATCCACGTAGATTACAACAAACATTGAACCCTAGACCTTACATAAATATGTTCTTCTTCCAGGACACAATCCTCTAATACTCTATCCATTACTCATTTTCTAAATCCATCACTTATTCAATAAATATTGATTGATCACCTTCTATGTGTCAGGCATTGTGCTTAGTACTGGGAAACATCATCAAAAAAGACATGGCTGGCTGGGCGCAGTGGCTCACTCCTGTAATCCCAGCACTTTGGGAGGCCGAGGAGGGTGGATCACCTGAGGCCAGGTGTTCGAGACCAGCCTAGCCAACATGGTGAAACCTTGTCTATACTAAAATTACAAAAATTAGCCGAGCGTGGTGGCAAGCACCTGTAATCCCAGCTACTCGGGAGGCTGACAGAGGAGAATCGCTTGAGCCTGCGAGGTGGAGGTTGCAGTGAGCCATGGTCGCACCATTGTACTCCAGCCTGGGCAACAACAGTGAAATTCCATCTCAAAAAAAAAAGAAGACATGGTTCCTGCCCCCAGAAGCTTCTAGCCCACAGTAGAATTTAGGCGTACAGTGATGAACTCCTTGTTGTCTATAAAAAAGAGAATTCATGGTGTTTGGAAACCCACGAATTCTTGAAATTCATGAACTTGGAAGCCCCATATTCAGCCTTGAGAAGGCTTCTTGGACAAGTATTGCCAGGGTTGAGATGTAATAAAAAAGTAGGAAAGGCATTCTAGACAGAGCAGACCTCTGAAGAGCTAAAGATAAGTAGAAGCAAGGACCATGAAAGGAATTTCAAATAATTCCATCTTGCTGTAGAGAAGAGACCCTACGGAAAGGACAGGGAAGGAAAGGGTGTGATCTTGGCAGATCTTTTCCTGCTCTGCTCAAGTGGCAGCTGAGCCTATGGGGGCCCTACTCACAAATGACCTCTAGGTCTTGCCTCCTTACCATCCATGCGGACAATACACACCACAAAACGTCCATCACTGATTTATTTAACTACATCTCTCTGAGTTACACTGGATTTCCACAAATGTAGAATTTAATTTGAATTCCTCCCTTTTTCTCTAAAGGAAGAGGAATGACTAGCTGAATGCATGTGGAGCCAGAGATGGTTAAAATTAAGTCAGTTCAGAGACTTTCGGTCAGAAGCCAAGGGAGGTCAGGCAAAGAGATTTGTTTTCCTGAATGCTTGGGTCAGGACTAAACAAAGAGGCAGGAAGGGCAAGTGATTCATGCAGTACTGGCTGTTTCCTGGAGGTCCTGGCTCCCAAGCCTGTGCTCCGATCATTGGTATCTGCTGACACTAGAAAACTGAAAAAGCTTAATTTGAATAAATACACAGAGAGCAGAGAGGGGATGACAAGCAATTAACTCGATTTCTCATTTCTACCTAATTGTCTCCTCATTACCTTAGGAAGGAGTGAGTTTCCATGACTACCTCATGACACAGAGACTCAGTGCAGGTGATGCCAGTGTCAGCTTAGCTGTCTGCAGCACACATTGGCAGAGGCAGAACCAGAGAGTTCGTGCCAAGCACAAGACCTGGGACCTCTTGTTCCACCCACCCTCACCTCAATTAATCACCCCATCTCCATTATTGTGCATTGACTCCTGCTTTGTGTATAGTCTGCAGGGCACTGAGAGGAGTGAGTGGTGGCTACAGGCCTCCAAGGATACATGTGTCCCAGAGAGGGAGCTGGGCTGAACCCAGGGTGGTTCTGACCACCCTGTGGGAAAGAAAATGAACAGAAATGAGTCAAAGACTGGCATTCTAGTGCTAGCACAGACAAGTTACTTTGGGCAAGTGGTTTAACCTCCATGAGCTTCAGTTTCCTCGTGAGTAAAACAGTGACCTGAAGGCCCGATCTTCCTTTTTTTTTTTTTGTATTTTTAGTAGAGATGGGGTTTCACCTTGTTGGTCAGACTGATCTTGAACTCCTGTCCTCAGGTGATCCACCCACCTCATCCTCCCAAAGTGGTGGGATTACAGGCCTGAGCCACCGCGCCCAGCCACAGCCCGATCTTCCTTACTAGTATATTTGAAGATTAGATAAAAATCACATATTAAAAGCTGTCTTAGTCTATTCTTGCTGCTGTAACAAAATACTACAGACTGGGAAATTTATAAATAATGGAAGTTTATTTTCTCACAGTTCTGGAGGCTGGGAAATCTAAGATCAAGGTGCTGGCAGGTTCAGTGTCTGGTGAGGGCCTGGTCTCGGCTTTTAAGATGGCACCTTGTTACTGAGTCCTCCTGAGGGGGTAAACACTGTGTCCTCGTGTGGTAAAATGGCAGAGGGCAAAAGGCACAGGTAGATCCCTGTAGCCCTTTTATAAGAAGCTAATCCCACCCATGAGGGCAAAGCCCTCATGGCCTAATCACTTCCTGAAGGTCCCACCTCTTAATACTGTTGCATTGGAGATTAAGTTTCAGCATGAATTTTGGAGGCAACACAAACATTCAAACCATAGCAGAAGTGTTTTGTCAACTGTAAAGCCCTACCAAATGTAAGAGATTATTATTATCATTGGTACTCTTGTGATTATTATTTTCACCCTAAGCAACTACTCCTATCATATCTGTCTAGTTCACAGCCCACCCAGAGCCTATTTACTTGGCATAGTGTTTTCAATCTCTCACAGAAAATCTGATTTTTCTGTTGTCTTTTATTCCCTATACGTGCCCAGGATACTTGGCTGACTTTGTAGTCTGATTGTTAGAAAAATGGATAGTACCTAACAGGGCACCTTCTCCTGCTTACACAGTGCAGTGCACAAGTATGTTATGCTCTAATACCCAGGCTGATGGTGGCAGATACTTGCTTGCTAAAGACTAACTTGGGTACTGTGTTCCTCTTCCGGCCAGAAAATGAGGAGCAGAACACATCTATTCTTTAAGACTTTCTGTCTTTGTCCCTTGTGAAATCTGAGCCTGACACCCCTTCCTCTTATTCCATCTCTTCCTGCCTGGGTGCAATGCCTTGGATATGGTGTTATTAGTTTCCTAGGGTTGCCATAACAAAATGCCACAAACTGGATGTCTTAAAACAACAGAAACTGATTCTCTCACCGTTCTGGAGGCTAATCACAAGGGCCTACCCTAACGCAATATTACATTATCTTAACTCGATTATATCTGCAAAGTCCCTTTTTCAACACAGGATCAAAGACCAGGCATTCGGACCTCAGCAAATCTTTTTGCCAGATACAATTCAATCCATAAAATATAGTGAGAGTGGTATGACAGGCAAGAGAACTTGGAATTTGGATGACTAGGGGAAATGTGCAAAGGCTGTTTCATTCAGAATACAAGATGTCAGCTTCCAGCATTGGCGTGTAGTCTGTTTGATGGCCTGGGTCAAGTCTATAAACTTACTAAAGCTCAACTTTCTTATCAGTAAATATGGTAAGTCTGGATTCCTAAGGCTATGATAAGACAGGCTAAAAATAATTCTAGAAGGACATGAATTATCTTCTGAGCCCTAAAAACCTGTAAATATGTTTACTAATAAAAAGTAAACCTGTACAAAGACAATCTGTTGCTTCTGTGTCTTAAAAAAAGGAATTTAATAGCAAACTCATTGGAGTTGGGGAAAGTGAAAAAGGAAAATCCTGTATTTATCCTATTTCATGCAGCACCAGTCCAGACTGACTAATAGTGATGGGGGTATTTTTTCTCTTTAAGAAAAACTGATATAATTGAGTCTTTTATTATGCTTGGACAGATTCCCTAAGACTCCATATGAAAGACTTTCAAGAAGCCTGTAATTTATCACAACCTACAATCGTTGGATTTGAAAGTTGGAAGAGACTTGAGCCCAGTCTGCTAGTAATTGCAGAAATTCTCTCTAGAACATCTCTGACCCATGATCATCTAGCTGTATTAAGAAGCTGGCTCACTTCTTCCTAAGACACATGACAGGTCATCCTTTAGAAAATTCCTCTCTTCATTAAACCCAAATCTGCTGCCTTATAAAATCCACCTTTTGGTTCCTATTCTCTCCTCTAGCACAGAAATCTCTATTCTTTCCTCCTCATCGCAGTCTTTGTGGGATTAAAACAGTTCTCCAAAGCTTCCATTGCTTTACCTCTACTTGATGTAATATTTTCTTACACTATCCATCTTGGTTGCTTTTCTTTGGGTGTAACCATGTTATTAGTATGTCTTAAAATACTAGACCCCAGGCCAGGTGCGGTGGCTCACGCCTGTAATCCCAGCACTTTGGAAGGCCAAGGCGGGTGGATCATGAGGTCGGAAGATCGAGACCATCCTGGCTAACATGGTGAAACCCCATCTCTACTAAAAATACAAAAAATTAGTTGGGCGTGGTGGCAGGCACCTGTAGTCCCAGCTACTTGGGAGGCTGAGGCAGGAGAATGGCATGAACTCGGGAGGCGGAGCTGGTAGTGAGCCAAGATAGCGCCATTGCACTCCAGCCGGGGTGACAGAGTGAGACTCCGTCTTAAAATAAAAATACTAGACCTCAAATAGGACACAATCCTCTAAATGTTGTGTAACCAGTTCAGAGTGCCATGAACTCATTATTTCCCATGATTAGAATATTCAGTTTTTAATGACCCAACTCAAATTGCATTGACTTTTTAGGGCTCATTGAAACTCTGAGAAGGAGATTTGCATGGAGAATGGATAAGTTTAATGAGGTACGCCTTAGGGATCAACACCTATAGGAGACTGAAGGAAGTAGATTTCAGCACAGGAAAGAGTTGTACTATAATGCAGTCACACAGAGAACTCAGACAATCCCACAGGGAGCTCTGTAGAGGGCAGGGCATTTATGGCCCCAGACAGTTATTAAATGGGGGCTGCCTCTGGCAGAAGGCATGCTTAGACAAAGAAGCTCTCTTCAATTGAAAACATTTGGCTGTCAACACTCCCAACAACTGGGGGAACAAATTCCTCAGTAAGATCTTGGTAGCACATCACAGCATCCACTGTAGTCTACACTATATGCCACTTGGCTCTAGTTTCTTCAAATAATAAATGCTAGAAACAGCTTTATCAGGAATCTAGCTGGTATCTCTTCCTGGAGAAGGTTAGTGGGACAAACTGTAGTCTCTGTCACAGCAGCTGGTCTTAGAGCCAAAGTAATTCTCATCATCACCCTTTTCTACGATCTATTCCAGATTCTCCTCACTATTGACTAGCACTCTACTGGTCTAGGTGGTTGTATTAGTCAGGGTTTTCCAGAGAAACAGAACTAATAGGATATGTGTAGATATAGATACATGAAAGGAGATTTATAATGGAAATTGGTTCACACAATTATGGAGGCTAAGAAGTCCCACAATACACCATTTGTAAACTGTAAAACCAGAGAAGCTGGTAGCTTAGCTCAGTCCAAGTTCAAAGGCCTGAGAACCAAGAGAGCTGATGGTATAACTCTGGGCCTAAGGCCCAAGGCCGAGAACCTAGGAAACCACGGCTGCAATCCCATAGTTCGAAGGCCAGAGAACCTGGAGTTCTGATGTCCAAGGACAGGAGAATATGAGTGTCCCAGCTCCAGAAGAGAAAGCAAGCAAATTCACCCTTCTTCTGCCTTTTTGTTCTATCTGGATCCCCAGTTGATTGGCTGGTTCCTGCCCATGTTGGGTAAAAAGGAATCTTCCTTACTACTGATTCAAATGCCAATCTCTTCCGGAAATACCTTCACAGACATACCAGAAATAATACTTTACCAGCTATCTGGGTGTCCCTTAATTCAGTCTAGTTGATAACTAAAATTAGCCATCACAGTGGTGGAGTGGCTCTGAGAGACATGGTGACTTTCTCAAGTTATGGTTGCTGCATTTTATCCATTTACCATCAAAATTAGGCAAAGAGATGTAAAGAGACACCTCAGTGAATCACCCAAGTACGAAATGCATTCTTCCATTTTCCCACTGTACAACATTCCTACCTTCTCCTGAAGATCAAGATTTAATTATCCTTTCCATGATGTTGGTTGTTTGTCTCCTGGCATGAGGAGCTCCAAATGACTAGGTGGAAACCATAATTTAGAGCTTAATGGGATTTTTATGCCCTAGAGGACATATGGGAACAAGGATCTTTACCTCAAAAGGTTAAACATAGCATTACTATATGACCCAGCAATTCAATTTCTAGTTATATACCACAAATAATTAAAAAAAGTATTCAAATGAGTACTTATACACAAATATTCATAGAAGCACTATTCACAATAGCCAAAAGGTAGAAAGAATTCAAATATTCATCAATGAATAAACAAACTGTGGTATATACATATAATAGGATATCATTTGGTCATCAAAAGGAATGAAGTTGATACATGCTACAATGTGAATGAACCTTGAAGACACTCACTGTGCTAACGAAAGAAGTCAGACACAAAGGTCACATGTTGTATGACTTCATTTATATGAAATATTCAGAGTAACAGGTAAATCCATAGAGACAGAAAGAAGACTGTGGTGTCCGAGGTTGGGAGAAAAAGGAAAGAGGAGTAACTGTTTGATGGGTACACAGTTTTCTTTTGTGGTGATGAAAATATTTTGGAACTAGATAGAGGTAGTTGTTGTACGATATTGTGAATGTAATAAATGCCACTTAATTGTTCACTTTAAAATAGTTAATTTTATCTATATGAATTTTACCTCAATAGAAAAAATGTTTAAATTATGAAAAGAAATTTAAAATTAAAAAAGAACAGGGACCTCTAACATTCTATGTTCTGAGATTTGAAAACTCAATATGTTAAGATGGCAACTTTCTACAAATTGATATATAGACAACACAATCCCTCTCAAAATTCCACCAGCCTTTTTCATCACGAACTGACAAGCAGATTGTAAAATTTACATAGATGTACAAAAGACCTAGAATAGCCAAAAGACACTGTTTAAAAAGAAAAGTACCTAGAATAGGTAAATCT
Organism: Homo sapiens; assembly: GCF_000001405.40. NCBI lineage: Eukaryota > Metazoa > Chordata > Mammalia > Primates > Hominidae > Homo > Homo sapiens. Next base: position 114,116,813 of record NC_000003.12, on the reverse strand, counting down.
GTAGAGACAGAAAAGAGATCAGTGATTTTCCATGCGTGGGAAGAAAGGAGTTGGAGAATGTTTAATCCTTGATTTCAAAACTAACTATAAAGCTGCAGTTATCAACAGTATGGTATTTGCAGTAAGAAGACATATAGACCAATGGAACAGAATTGACAGTCCAGAAATAAATCGTTATATTTATGGTCAATTGATTTTCAGCAAAGACAATTCTGGGAAAAGAAGAGCCTTCCAAAATTCATATGTTGAATCTATAACCCCCAATGTGACTGTATTTGGAGTTAAGGCCTATAAGGAAGTAATTAAGGTTAAACTTCCATTAACATAAGCAGTTACTTTAGTCCAATGCAATGTTTGGCAGGATCCTGTTTCAGTGGATCAAATGCTACATAGGCACTGTCTAGCTGAAGTTGTATGAATAGGATAAGTGTCCATTCGTATCAAAATCACAGGGTGGAATCACATGGTGGAAAGGACCCATTTTGTCATTAAGAAGAATAATTTGCCATTAAGAAGCTGGTTGGTCTTCTTGAGGGATGGAGCCATACTGGAGACTCAGTGATGGTATCTGTTGCTGTCAGGCTGGATCTTCAGCAGTGGCAGTAACTAGATCAGCCTTAGCAAGTGAGAGCACGTGTTGTTGGGCCTATAAATAGCTTCCATCACCACCACTGTTTCTCAGTCATGGTTGTTGTACTTATCCATTTATCATCAAAATTAGGCAAGGGAGTATTCTTTTCTGTCGCCATCATGTAAGAGAAGAGCTATCTTCTCCTGATTAAGAAAGTCAATTAGGCCAGTCACTGCGGCTCACACCTGTAATCCCAGCACTTTTGGAGGCCGAGGCCAGCAGATCACCTGAGGTCAGGAGTTAGAGACCAGCCTGGCCAACATGGTGAAACCCCATGTCTACTAAAAATACAAAAATTAGCAGGGCTTGGTGGCAGGTGCCTGTAATCCCAGCTACTTGGGAGGCTGACAGAGGAGAATCACTTGAACCTGGGAGGCAGAGGTTGCAGTGAGCCGAGATGGTGCCATTGCACTCCAGCCTGGGTGACAAGAGTGAAACTCCGTCTCAAAAAAAATAAAAATAAAGTCAATTAGTCTTGTTAGGATGGTGTCTCCATTCCTTACCCATGGTCCATTAATGTGCCTATTGTGCCAGCACTGATAGGAGCTGGCTGACATCAACTGGCTAAGACATTCTACTTCCCAGGTTGTATAGAGTCAACTGTCCAAATAATTCACTACTGCCTATAAGTGATACATATCTTATCTCAGAGTATTTCTCTCGACAAAGGCACCATCTGATGCTTTATCCATTAGGAAGAATTTCTCTCATCCCTAATTTTCTGGGACACGCTAAGGATGTGGTCCTGTTATATAGCAATAGTCTATTTTTAGCTTGCTACTACATTCCAATCTTACCCGTACATAAATCAAACTCAGCTTTTGCCCTCACTTTATGCTGCCGTAAGTGTGAGCTAAGGGTGAGGCATCAGTGCAAATGTGATGGATGACCTAGTAGTCTGGGCCACATATGCGTGCAACTTATTTGTGCTCTCTGGCTCTGCTAATGCCTGATCCCAAACGTATCATTTCCTTCCTTACAATTGTTGGTAGGCCTGCCTGCCTTCATGATTTGGGGGTCTGTCAGAATTCGCAATGGGCAGTCCTTGCTGTGTGGACCCTTGGCATCCCATAGTTGGGTGCTGTGTTCCTACTAGGAACCAGTAGGGCACCAGGAATATTTATCTAAACGTATAGTTCTCTGCTGCAAATTGCTTGTCTTGCTTCTGAATCCTAGGGGTCTATTTGTGTTTGCCTATTGAGGCCTGCCATAAAATGTACACAGCCTTTTTCTATCAATGATACCTCCTATACTGTAGGCTCTACCACATCATGTGACCAAAATCATCATATGACAGAGCAGCTTGCACTACTGCCTGGTCCTGCTGCAGAGCCCTTTCCTGCTCTGGGCTCTCTCCAAATCTGGTAGACTCATGTTTCAGCTGGCGTATGTGCTAGAGTAGTGTCTCTGAGTGTGAAATGTGCTGCTTTCAGAACCAGAAGACGCTTATTGGTGCTGGGTTTCCTTCTTAGTTATGGGAAATGCAAGTTACAATAATTTGTCCTTTACTTTGAAGTGCATGTCTCAGCATTCCCCAGCCTACTGGACCTCTAAAAATTTTACTAATGTGGAAAGTCTCTGAATCTTTATAGTATTTTTTAAAATCTCCCACCCTTTGGAGTATATGTGTCTAGCCAAGGCTTCCAAAGCCCTTGCCAGTTGTTCACTTGGTCTGATTAATATGATGTTACAGATGTAGCAAACTAATGAAAAGTTGTGCAAAATGTCCATGTGGTCCAGCTTCCTTTGGACAGTATTATATCCACAGATGGGAGAATCTGTATAGTCATGAGGCAAGGCAGTAAATGTAAACTTTTGTTCTTCCCAAGTGAATGAATTTCTGATCTTCCTTACTGATAGGGATGGAAATGAACACATAAACACACCAGATTGATGGCCTCATAGTATATACTTGAGGCCATGTTAAAGACATCACATCTGGCACCACAGCTGCAATTAGGGGCTACCACTTAGTTGGCTGTGTGGCAGTCTACTGTCATCCTCCAGGGTCTGGAGGGGACAGACTGATGCATTAGTGGAGACCATCAGCCCTGAATTCTCTAGATCTTCAATGGTCACCCTAATTTCTGTCATGCCATCTACCGTCATTTTTAAAATTTATTATCTTGCCTTGAGGGGAAGTTTCAGAAGCTCCCACTTGGCCTTCCCCGTTACACTAGTTCTCCAGGGTCAAGCACACAACGATGTTCAGCCAACTGCTACATATGTCCATCCCAATTACAAATTGGAATTTACACATTTGGGAACTAAGAAAACGACCCACCATGAGTCACACTTAAGCCAATGTTACATGTACTACCTGGCTCCCATATGACCTCACTTCAACAGGAGGTCCATGATGACATGGGTCCCTAACAAACACAAACTCTGAGTTGGAGATTCACATGCAGAAAGTTTATCGGAACTTGAGGATCAACACTCACGTAGGATAAAGGAAGACTGGGCAGAAGAGGAGTGGGACTCTGAGTCAGTTGTAACAAGGACTTTGGCAGTCCCATAGGGGTCTCTGGATCTGGGATAGCCCTTCAAACTTGTCCTGGCTTTAGGCATACAAAACAGGCTTTTATATGCCCATATTACTGAGTTATAAGAAGTATCTGTCTCCAGGGAGGAGGCACAACCTAAGAGGGATGGTTCTCTTCAGCTGAGAACCAGTCCTGGACAGGGACTTAGCTGAGAGCCACTGGCCATAAGCCACCAACACTCCCCTCAGCTGGGGGAATAACTGCCTTAGTTTTGATGTAAGACTATAGGCAGTAGACTATAACATCTGCTACATGTGCTCAGCTAAAATTCTCAGATGTTTTCCACTAAAGTTATATTAAACCAAGTCTTGAACTTTTGTATTTTTGTTTGTTTGTTTGTTTTGAGACGTAGTCTCGCTCTGTCATGAAGACTGAAATGCAGTGGCGTGTTCTCAGCTCACTGCAACCTCCTCCACCCAGGTTCAAGTGATTCTCCTGCCTCAGCCTCCTGAGTAGCTGGGATTACAGGTGGGTGCCACCACGCCTGGCTAATTTTTGTATTCTTTAGTAGAGACAGGGTTTCACTATGTTAGCCAGGCTGGTCTCGAACTCCTGGCCTCAAGATGATCCCCCCGGCCTCAGCCTCCTAAAGTGCTGAGATTACAGGCATGAGCCACCGTGCCTGGTCTTGAACTTTGGATGTAGATTTTTGGAACCAATGCTGGATCTTGTATTCATCATCTATTCGACTTGTTGGTTTTATCCTAGCATTCCAGCCTGCTTAGTCACTGAATTTTAATTACAATAGCTACTGTCTTAGACTTCCCTTGAGATTTGAATTATCTCCAAATGGAAGAATATATTAAAGGGAATGTTGTCATGTTATTGAAAAAACACTGAGGCCTAAATCCTAAGGGTCAGAGTCAGTGTCATACGCTATTTGTAGGACTTGCACAGAATATCACATACTCTTTCAGCTAAATATATCGTTGTATCAGTTAGAATATGTCTTTGCCCCAAATATCAGAAAACCCTGACTCAGATTTTCTTCAACAATGAGGTTTATTTTACTCACTCATGAAGAAGTCTATATGAAGTATGAGCTTCAGACTGGCAGATTCAGTGGCTTAGCAGAGTCATCATGGATTCAAGCTCTTTCCATCTCCCGTCTGCTAACTCCAGAGGTTTGCTTTGCTCTCGAGCTGGCTCCCCACCCTTCACCTCCATAAGTAATGATGGAGCCATTCTAGGAGTCATATCTGTCACAACAATGCTCAGTAACTGCAGAACCACTCTTCTCCTCATGTAATTTCTTTGCCCAATACTCCCAAAACTCCCCCTTTTATCTTATTAACCAGGTTTAAATCACAGCAGCAATCCATCCTAGCAAGGTGAATGGAATACCATGATTGGCTTAGTCTTGAATTAATCATTTGCAGTGGAATAGATGTCAATGCTTGTTTATTGCTCTCTAGTTGATAGAATCTATTCTGTTCCCCTTTGTGAAAAGTTTTCAGCCTTCAGGCACCTCTCCCATTTGCTGTAATTCCCAACAGATTATCGCTTTTCTTTGGATGTAGCCATGTTATTCGTTTGTCCTAAAATACCAGACCCCAGGCCAGGTGCGGTGGCTCACACCTGTAATCCCAACACTTTGGGAGGCTGAGACGGGTGGATTGCTTGAGGTCAGGAGTTCGAGACCAGCCTGGCCAACATGGTGAAACCCCATCTTTACTAAAAATACAAAAATTAGCCAGGCGCAGTGGTATGTGTGTATAGTCCCAGCTACTCAGGAGGCTGAGGCAGGAGAATCACTTGAACCCGAGAGGCAGAGGTTGCAGTAAGCCAAGATTGCACCCTGCACTCCAGTCTGGGTGACAGAGCAAGACTGTCTCAAAACAAACAAACAAAGAAAAAATTGAAGGTTGTATATCCTTACGTCTCTTTCCTTTGGCTCCTTAATCTGAAAGTTGGCTGTCATTTTCACCATGTGCCCTAGGGAGCCAAGCTGAGTTTCATCTTCTGTTTCCATGGGAAATTCACTCACACAAAGCAATTAACAAGTTTTAGAAGAATTACACAAGATTTGAGCAGAGCAGGGAAGGGGGGTGTGGTAGATCACTGTCTTCCTGGTTTTGTTGCTCCTATACTTGCTTTTCACCATCTTTCTCTCAAATGTGGCCAGGGAGCTCCTAAGTCTTCTCCTATCTTTGAGGCTGAGACTCTGGGGATCTCTGTCCCTTTCCCTAGTGGGATAATATCAGTGTGCTCCTTCTGCGCAAATACAGTCTCTCTCTAAGAGAAATGTCAGTTACAACTACTTTTTGCACCTAGGAGAAGACAGAAGCAAAATGAACACTAAAAAAAAGTAAGCACTGCTGAACTTCTGTTGACATTACACAACCTTACTTCCTCAAAGAGCAGGTTGCTCCATGTTTGTGCTTCTCTTTACTCTAAGTAATGCAGCCTTTAGCGCTTTTTTGTAAAGCTCAGCTTTAGCCTCCTTTATTCTGTTCTTGAAGGTTCATGATAGTCTTTTGTGTTCAAGCTTATCTATAATCCCCTCCCTTTGCTTTCTGTTCATGTCCTTTTCAAAGCCTGAGCTCTGCAGAGAGCTCCCTGTATAACCACCTCCTTCTTTAGCTGTCTCCCCCTTTATCACTGGAATTATTTCCTATTATATTATAATCAGGATTTTATTGTTTAAATCTCCCACCTCTCCCAAGTCATGTTCTTTTAAAGTCTCACATTGCAGAATCACACCTGTGGTAACTACTCTTTTGAAGTGAAGAGTTAATTTGTGATGCAAATAATTACTTCTTTATCTCATTTTCAAAGAGGAATTTTCATAAACTAGGAGCAAATTGTTTCACACCTTTTCCTCCTTTGTCACTTACTCTCCTTCCCCCTTCACTTTCCTTCTGTCCTTTTCCCCTCTGCTTGTTTCCTGCCTCCTTCCAGAATTGGTGTAAACCCCCTGGGTTTCTCTCCCAGGCTCTGCTTTTGTTGAACTGAAATACTTTCTGTTCATGTATTGGAGTGAACCTTTATCATACCAGGCATACTCACCCACCCGCTGCCTCAAGGAAATCTGGTGAGTGAAGGCAAGTGAAGAAAGCACTTTCATAGGGAATTGCCTGTGTCCGTAACCCCTGGCAGCCGGGCTTTTCCGTTTCCTAACTGTCCTGCTTCTATCGCCTTCAATTAAAGTCTACCTTTTTCAGCTGACAAACTCTAAGGAGTAAATGTCTCTATGCCTCTGCTTCCTCAGGAGTAAAATGAGGGCAATTCTCTCTGTCCTGTCTACTTCACAGAACTATTGGGGAAAAAATTAATGTGCAAAGAAATATACATTGGAAAGCATGATTCATATGTAAAAGGATATTCACTGTGTATGCTTAATCATAGGTATGCTGCCTAAAAAATCAAGGACAGGATTTTTGAACATAAAACTGGGCAGGAATGAATTAACTTTAGGGAGGATTTTGAGCTGGGAACTCTGAGTTTTTTAAATCAAAAATTGTCCTATTCCCACCCAAACAAAGAGAAAGGAAAGGCCAAGGAAATGGGTTTTCGAGAGACAGAAATATCACTGTCTTCTTAACTGATTTGTTTCACTTTTGAAAATATAATAAAGACAAAGACATCTGGGAGACCAAGATGGAGGGCGTGGAGACAAGGGCGGGGCTTGCTCAAGAGTTGCAGAGGAAGGTAAAATGAGGACGCAAAGGTTCTGTAGGATAAGCAAAGTTGTTCTATGTGGAGTAGACATAGAAGGGAAGTTTAAAAAATGCCTTATCAGATAAAAATAAATTAAATTGTGCTTTAGGAAAAGAGAGAGAAAAGCTGTGAGATACTTGTTAGAAAGAAACGATTCAATGAGAAGCTAAAAAGAGGAGTAAATCCTTTCAATCAAGAAGAAAACAAAAGCTTGCCTGGTAATCCCACCTCACTGTCTTTCCACTCACAATTATCGCCACGCCCTGAGGAATTGGAAGAGAAATTTCAAAGTTCTTGAAGTATTTGCTTAATAATGTCAATTGATGAGCAACGTCATGGGGATAGAAACCAGAACACGAGTTTTAATTCATGTTAGGGGGAAAAAAAAAAAGAAAAGCCATAGGGAGAACAAATAAATAGCTGGCTTTTGTTGTGCTTCCCTGGTGATTACACAGGTTTGACCAAACTAACTCCCAAAGGGGAGATAGAGAACTAAGAGAGAATTGGAGTACTCACTGGGCAGAAACCCTAAGTTCTGCAACACTAGATGTGGTCCATGAGATAAAAAATGTCAGCTTCCTGGAAGATCATCTCACTTTTGAAAATATTATAAAATATATCAAAAGCTCAGAATACTTAAAAGAATACCTGTATCTAATAGCTTTATCAAACATTAACATTTGGTCATTTCAAATCTTTTAAAAGAAGGGATACTTTACAAATATATGTAAACTCCTATAACATTTTCCTCCTCCCATGCCCATAAGAAATCCCTTTCTGGCATTAAATGTTTACCCCTTTTTTTTTTTTTAAGATGGAGTCTCACTCTGTTGCCCAGGCTGGAGTGCAGTGGCATGATCTTGGCTCACAGCAACCTCTGCCACCAGGGTTCAAGCGATTCTCCTGCCTCAGCCTCCTGAGTAGCTGGGATTACAGGCACCTGCCACCGCGCCCAGCCAATTTTTGTAGTTTTTTTTGTTTTTTTGTTTTTTTGTTTTTTTGTTTTTTCAGTAGAGATGGCATTTCACTATGTTGGTCAGGCTGGTCTCAAACTCCTGATTTCATGATCCACCTGCCTTGGCCTCCCAAAGTGCTGGGATTACAGGTGTGAGCCACTGCGCCCGGCCAAATGTTTACCCCTTTTCATCGTACTTTATGTTTTGTTACATACACATGTATCTCTATAATATTGGATTTCATGCTTTTAAACTTTATATTAAGCACTATTCTTTTTTATGTGAAACTTGCTTTTATCACATAAATTGATATACGTAAGTGTAGTTCATTTATTTATTTTATTTGCTACACAACCATAGTATTTTCCTGTGATATTCATTTACTTTGTTATCAAATCTTTATTGTTTTGAAAAGCTACAATGAATATTTTTGCATAAGTATCCTTGAGCATGTGTGCTGAACATTCTGTAGAACAGGGGTCCCCAGTCCCTCGGCCACGGACCCCTACTGGTCCATGGCCTGTTAGGAATGGGTCTGCACAGCAGGAGGTGAGCAGCAGGCTAGTAAGCATTACTGCCTATCAGATCAGCAAAGGTATTAGATTCTCATAGGAGCACCAACCCTATTGTGAACTGTGCACATGGGGGTGGATCCCTCATGAATGGCTTAGTGCCAAACCCTTGGTGATCAGTGAGTTCCCCTCTCTGAGTTCTGGTTGTTTAAAAGAGTGTGGTACTTCCCCCCATCTCTCTCTGGAGAGGGAGAATCGCTCTGTCACCCAGGTTGCAGTGCAGTGGCGCGATCTCAGCTCACTGCAACCTCTGCCTCCTGCTCAAGCGATTCTCCCGCCTCAGCCACCCAAGCAGGTGGGATTACAAGCGTGCGCCGTCACACCTGGCTAATTTTTGTATTTAGTAGAGACCGGGTTTCATCATGTTGGACAGGCTGGTCTGGAACTCCAGGCCTCAAGTGATCCGCCCTCCTTGGCCTCCCAAAGTGTTGGGATTACAGGCGTAAGCCACCGTGCTGGGCTGTCCCCCCATCTCTCTTGCTCCCTCTCTCACCATATGATGCACTGACTCTGCCTTTACCTTCTTCCATGATTGAAAGATTCCTGAGGCTGTCCCCAGAAGCAGATGCTGGCACCACACTTCTTGTACAGCCTGCGGAAACATGAGCCAAATAAAATCTCTTTTATAAAAAAAAAATTACCCAATCTCAGGTATTCCTTTATAGCAACACGAAAATGGACTAATGCATTCTCCAAAGCAGTTGCATTAATTTACTTTCCCATTCCCAGTATATGAAAGTTCCCATTTATCCACATTGTATTCAATCTTTTAAATTAACTACTTAATTTGCTAATCTAAAGGGTATGATTTGTTCCTAAACACTTTACAGTTTTATTGCCATTGTTGATGATATACCATTATCTATTACAGTTGCAATTTGCTTATTACTGGTATATAGAAATACAATTTTTTTATATTGATCTTGGATCTAGCAGCATTCAATGACTTTCTGATTAACTCATGTAGATTCTCTTAGATTTCCTATGTAGTCAAATATGTTGACTGCAAATAAGGTCTGCTTTGGAATGTCTTTGTAAGTTTTATACCTTCCATTATTTCTCATCTTATTGCATTGTCTCGTAGGTCCAGTAGAATGTAGAATGGTTGTGACAATATAGTGTAATAAAGTTTCATCATTAATGTTTGTAAGATTTTGATAGATACTTTTTGTGCAGTTAAGAGTATTGTCTTCTATCCATAGGTGCTAAGAGTTTGGTTGGTTGTTTCTACATAAATTGAAAAGCCTTACCCATGCTTCCATCTTAAAGTCTATATTCCTAACATTCTTCCCCCAGATATCAGCATGCCTGGCTTTCTTCCTTCACCTCTTCTACTCAAATGTCATCTATAAAAGGAACACTTTATATAATAGCAACTTGCTCCTCCTAACACTAATTCTGCTAATTTTTCCCCTTAAATGAGTAAGTATGAGAATGCATAAGGTTTATCAAACGTGCTTTCTATTTTCTGTATCTATTACATTGACCATATTTTTTCCTCTTAATTGATTGTATGTTATTCTTAGGATCAATTAATCTTGGCCATGGGGTGAGGGGGAAATATATATATATAAATAATGTATGTATATATATATAATATACATATGTATACACACACACAACATTTTATTTAGAATGTTTAAATCTGTATTTATGAGAAATACTGGTCTTTTTTTAATAGCTTTGTTACAAAAGTATAATAACCTCATAAAATGAATTGAGTGCTTTTCCTCACTATTTTTCTTTTTCTTTTTTTTTTTTATTATACTTTAAGTTCTAGGGTACATGTGCACAATATGCAGGTTTGTTACGTATGTATACATGTGCCATGTTGGTGTGCTGCACCCATTAACTCGTCATTTACATTAGGTATATCTCCTAATCCTATCCCTCCCCGCTCCCCTCACCCCACAACAGGCCCCGGTGTGTGATGTTCCCCTTCCTGTGTCCACGTGTTCTCATTGTTCAATTTCCACCTATGAGTGAGAACACCCTCACTATTTTTTGAAAGGTAGAGATTATCTGTTTGTTGAAGGTTTGTTAAATTATTCTATAAAAATCAACTGGGACTTCTGTCTTAAGGTCAGGGGCAGTGGGCAAAGCACTATGGGGTGAAGCACTTTCTCCTAATGGGACTTTGACTTTGTACTAAGAAAAGAATGGTCAGCCTAGGAACTTCTGCTGCTACCTCACTGTCCAGAACTGGTCACATGACTATCTTTGTTGCAAGAGAGGCTGAGAAATTAAGTATTTTTAGTTAGGCACATTGTCTTCCTGAAAAGAAAAATCAAGATTCTGCTATTAAGGATGACGAAAAAGCAATGGCAACTGGGTAGGCAGCCACCAATGCCTTCTACAATAAAACTATTAGATATGCTGGAATGTTGGGACCTTTCAATCTATCCTTCATGTATCTTAACTGAAGTAAATAGATAAATAAACAAATACACATCTATGTATTCAGAATAAATACACACAAACACACACACACACCTTTGTCTCTCTGGGGTATATTTTGGGTGAATTTCTCAATACTCTCTTCATCTTTCTAATTCAGTCTTCAATTTTATATAGATTAGAGTTTGTTTCATCATTATGAGTTAAATTCTATCCCCTCTCCTAAAAAAATATCTTGAAGCCCTAACCCCCAATACCTCAGAATATGGCATTATTTGGAGACAGAGGTTATCAAGTTAAAATGAGGTCATTAGAGTAGGCATTAATATAATCTGACTGGTGTTCTTATAAAAAGGGGAAGTTTGCAGACAGACACACATGCACACACAGAGACAGAGAAAGAGAGAAGAGAGAGAATGCCACAAGAAGATGAGGGCAGAGATCAGTGTGAAATGTGCATGGTGGTGCGTGCCTGTAGTCCCAGCTACTAGGGAGGCTGAGGCAGGAGAATGGCGTGAACCCAGGAGGCAGAGGTTGCAGTGAGCCAAGATCGTGCCACTGCACTCCAGCCTGGTGACAGAGGGAGACTCTGTCTCAAAAAAAAAAAAAAAAAAAAAAATCATATTAGTGTCCTAAAAACCTTTTATCCTATATTTTTACTGTACCTTTTAAAATGCTACACCTGTTTAGGGCACTTACTATGAATGGAGTTTGCAGGACTGGAAGTTGCTGTTAGTCAATGAGTGAATGATAAATGAATATGAAGGCCTAGGACACTACTGTATACTACTGTAGACTGTAGGCTGTGGACTTTATAAACACTGCACATTTAGGCTACACTAAATTTACAAAAACATTTTTATGTTTATGTCTTCAATGATAAGTTAACCTTAGCTTACTGATACTTTTTAACACATTGGACAGCTGGACAAAAATATTTTCTTTCTTTATATACTTATTCTATAAGCTTTTTTCTATTTAAATTTTTTTTAGTTTAGTTATTACTTGTTAAATCTTTTTTGTTAAAAACTAAGACACAAACACATACATTAGCCTTGGCCTACACAGGGTCAGGATCATCCATATCACTGTCTTTCCCCTCCACAGCTTGTCCCACTGGAAGGTCTTCAGGGGCAATTACATGCATGGAGCTGTCATCTCATGTGATAACAGTGCCTTCTTCTGAAATACCTCCTGAAGGACTTGCCTGAGGCTGTTTTACAGTTAACACTTTTTTTATCAGTCAAATTAGCACACTCTAAAATAACAAAAAGTATAGTACAGTCAATACATAAATCAGTAACATAGTCATTTATAATCGTTATCAAGTATTATGTACTGTTCATATTGCATGTGCTATACTTTTATATGACTAGCAGTGCAGTAGGTTTGTTTACACTAGCATCACCACAAACACATGAGTAATGAGTAATGTGTTGTACTAGAATGTTATGATAGCTATGACATAACTAGGCAATAGGAATTTTTCAGCTCCATTATAATCTTATGAGACCACTGCCATATACGCAGTCTGTCATTGACTGAAACATTGTTATGCAGTGCATGCGTGTACTAAAACTCTGCTGTTGTAGTGCAAAAGCAGCCATAGACAATATGTAAAAGAATGAAAGTAGCTGTGTTCTGGCCAGATGTAGAGGCTCATGTCTGTAATCTCAGCACTTTGGAAGGCCGAGGTGGGCGGATCACCTGAAGTTGGGAGTTCGAGATCAGCCCAGCCAACATTGTGAAACCCCGTCTCCATTAAAAATACGAAAATTATCCAGGTGTGGTGGCACACACCTGTAATTCCAGCTACTCGGGAGGCTGAGGCACGAGAATCACTTGAACTGGGAAGGCAGAGGTTGCAGTGAGCCGAGATCATGCCATTGCACTCTAGCCTGGGCAACAGAAAGAAACTCTGTCTCAAAAAAAAAAAAAAAAAAAAAAAGTATGTAACTGTGTTCCAATAAAACTTTATTTACCAAAACAGGCAGAGGGCTGGATTTGGGCTGGGGTGCATAGTTTGCCCGCCTCTGCCTAGGAAGATAGTCAAGGCCATTTTTCCCAACCTCCTCTAACAAGTCAGGGAGTCACACTCTAGTCCCTGGCTCTGGTTCCCTATCTGTCATAGAATACATTTTGTCTTCTTTAAGGGATATGAAGTGTCAGATGCCACTGCCTGCTCCCAGACCCAGAGCCCAGGAGATCTGTGGCTGCAGCCCCATGCGCTACTTTGCATTTGTTTATTGAAGTCCTAATATGTACTAGGCATTGTGCTGGGTCCCAGAGACATAATAATGAATGATGCAAATATGGTCCTAATCTCACGAAACTTACAGTTTGGTAGTAAAGACAAACATTAAATTAATTCCCGTTTTCTCGAGCTGCTGTTAGTTCACCTCGACCTGTAGTGCGCCCTCGACATGCCAGAGCCAACAAAGTCCGCTCCTGATCCCAATTAGGGCTCCAAGAGGTGGGTGACTACGGCGCAGAAGAAGGACGGCAAGAAACCAAGCGCAGCCGCAAGGCGAGCTACTCCGTGTACTTGCACAAGGTGCTGAAGCAGGTCCACTCTGACACCGGCATCTCCTCTAAGGCCATGGGGATCATGAACTCCTTCGTCAACGACATCTTTGAGCACGTCGCGGGCGAGGCTTCCCGCCTGGCGCATTACAACAAGCGCTCGACCATCACCTCCAGGGAGATCCAGACGGCCGAGCGCCTGCTGCTGCCCGAGGAGGTGGCCAAGCACGCCGTGTCCGAGGGCACCAAGGCCATCACCAAGTATACCAGCGCTAAGTAAACTTGCCAAGGCGGGACTTTCTCTGGAATTTCCTGATCTGACAAAAAAAAGCTTCTTACCAAAAGAAGCACAATGGCCTTCTGTTACCCCATTATCTACTGCAGAGACTGAAGAATGCAACCACACCTGGATGGACTCTTCCACAAGATAAAGCTGGCCTCTTGGTCTCATTCAGATTCCAAAGAGAATCATTTACAAGTTAATTTCTGTCTCTCTGGTCCATTCCTTCTCCCTAATAATCATTTACTGTTCCTCAAAGAATTGTCTACATTACCCATCTCCTCTTTTGCCTCTGAGAAAGGATATATAATCTTCTGTAACCCACTGAGGGGTTGGGGTAATCATTCTGTGGTCCCCAGCCCTGTATATTAATAAATTTGTATGCCTTTTCTCTTAAAAAAAAAAAAAAGACAAACATTAAATAAATATGCACACACATAAGTGTATAACTATGATTACAAATTGGGTCAATATTAAACAAGGAGGCTTTTATGAGAAAAAAATAACAGGAAACACTAAGTTACTGTAGATTGAAGAGCCAGGGAAGATCACTCTGAGAAAGTAAGAAACAAATCTGAGGAAGTAAAAGAGGCCTCTAGGATAGAAATGAGATTTCCTTGAAATTAGTCTGGGGAATATTGTTCCATGCAAAGCAGAGAATATGTATGAAGCTTCCAAGAAGGGAAAAAAGTATGTTAGTTCGAGCTTTTAATGAAAGTCTGAAGGCTAGTGAGTTTAGAGCTGTTGTCCAATACAGTGGCCATTGGCCACATATGGTTATTCAAATCTAGATTTAATTAATTAAAATTAAAATCTGCTCCTCAGTTGCTCTAGACACATTTTAAGTACTCAGTAGTTACATATGGCTACTATATTGAACAGTGCACATGTGGAACATTTCCTTCATCACAGAAAGTTCTGTTGGAGAGCATTAGTCCAAAGCATATATAGAGATCTATAGTATATTTGAAATAATATTCATATGGAATTTTCATTAAATGGAAAATTATAAATGGAAGGCTTTTAAGTATCAGTATACAAACCAGGAAATAGAATGATATCAAATATATTAAAAATAAATGTTCAATCATTGGATTTAAAGTTGATGATGTACTTAACATGGATGTATCCAGCTGTAATACCTGGACCACTGATCAATCTTAGCACAAAAAAGATGGCCCACCATTGTGTACTTCCAGATGGAATAACACATCATCACCTATGAAACAGTCTTGCAAAAAAAATCAAACCTGAACCTGCTCAATCCTTTAGATTAGCACTATCCAACAGAAATATAATGCAAACCACATGTATAATTTTAAGTTTTCTACTAGCCTCATTAAAAAAGTAAAAATGAATAGGTGAAAACAATTTTAACATATTTTTATTGAATCTAACATATTCAAAAATCATTGAAATTATGATTGAAGCATTGAAATTACAATTGATTGATTGATTATAATCAATGTAAAAATAATTAATATTTTATATCTTTTTCTGTTAAGTTTTGGAAATGTGTTGTATTTTTACATTATCAGCACATCACAATTGAGACTAGTTGCAATTCAAGCACTGAGTAGCCATATGGATGCTGATTCAAACAAACTAACAGAAAAAAATTATGAGATGATGGAGGAAACGTGAATACCATCAGAATATTTGGTTATAGTGAGAGCTTATTATTTCTTTTCAGGTATAATAACAGTACTGTGTTTAAGTTTTTAAAGAGAGCCCTTATCTTTTAGATGCATATTGAAATATTTATGAATGAGATTATATAACATCTAGGATTTGCATCAAAATAATCCAGTGATGTCTGTATGGGGAGTGAATAAGAATGCAGAAGACACAAGATTGGCTATGAGCTGATTGGTTGAAACTAAGAAAATGACACCAGCTTTCTGTTTAATGTTACTGTTGAAGAATAGAGAGGGTCTTGTTCATTGAACCCACTACAAATGAGATAATGGAATTAGGATTAGCTGTTATTACTGTCAATCACTTCTGACCCAAGGGGAGGTTATAACAATGGCTAGAATGCTTCCTCTGACTGTGAAGCAGACGTCCAATTGTGGATGATATTTCTGCCACCCTACTGCTGAGGAAAAAAAAAAAAAAAGATTGTGGCTCTAAATCTACTCTGTTATATGAAAAAAATGAAGAAATTTCAGCTACTCTCAGGGAAGAAAATAAATGTTTCCAACCCAGCTTGAATCAGAGTGTTCCTAGGGGAGAAGCTAGTATGGTGGAGATGGCGCTAACCCAAATATGAAACCTCCCAATGGGAAGTTAACACTCAGAGTGAGAAGACTGAGCTACTGTGATCAGTTAACCATTCCCTCATGGAATATCACTTTCTTTCTGGTACTAAACTTTGGAAGTCTGCATTTTGTTTTATCAGAGAAGGCAATGATCCTTTCTTTTGTATTACTCCCATAGACTAGTCAGTCAGCGAATTGTGAATAATGGGATGAATGATGGAAAGATAATCAGAGAGGAAAAAGGGCACTGTGGGAAGAACATGGTCAGATCTGGGAGGAATTTTCAGGCCATTTTATTAGTGGCCTGGAATTTTATTCCCTTGGTAAAGCAAAGCTCTATGCATCTTTTTTATTGAGAGCCAGGGTCTCACTCAGTAGCCCAGACTGGAGTACAGTGGCGTGATTATAGCTCACTGTAGCCTTGAATTCCTGGGTTCAAGCAATTCTCCCACCTCAGCCTCCTGAGTAGGTAGGGCTACAAGCATGAGCCTATTTTTTTGTATGGTAGCTGCACTACAAGCATCCAGCTATTTTTTGGGGTGGGGGATGGTAGAAATGGTGTCTTACTTTGTTGCTCAGACTGGTATCAAACTCCTGGTCTCAGGAGATTCTCTGCTTCAGCCTCTCAAAGCTCTGGGATTATAGGCATTGCACCCTATATATTGTGTTTTAAAGTACCAATTCAACTGTTTTTTTTTATTGTCCCCATAAGTACAGTAGATTCATATTTATCAACCAGAATATTCTTATTTTAGTTGAGAAAACAAGGTGAGAAAGACTTTCACCTTTTCATACCATAGTTCTTTGTATATTCCACTAGCAAAGTGATTATTATGCTGTTTTGTAATGAAGTATTTATTTCATCCACTAAGCTGTGATTTCAAAAGCAAAAACCTTGACATTTTCACCTTTGAATCTCCACCATCCAAAAAATGTGGGGCATAGTAAGAGGCAATACATGTTGAATGAATAGACTATCCATTCAACAAATATTGAGCATCCAAATTGGTGAACAGTACAAAATGGCAACTTTGAAAATCTCCAAATGAACATGTCAAATGTGGCTTCTTAGCTAGGATCTTATCACTGACTTCAAAATCACATTTTAAAAAAAAACTCCAGTAAGTTAAGCCTGACCTCCTCATAAAACATGGCTTTTTTTTTAATTTAAAAAAAATTAATAGAGACAAGGTCTTGCTATGTTGCCCAGGCTGGCCTTGAACTTCTGGGCTCAAGCAATCCTCCTGCCTTGGCCTCCCAAAGTGCTGGGATTGCAAGCATGAACCACCATACCTGGCCTCAATTGATTTTTGAGACAGAGTCTTGCTCTGTCACTCTGGCTAGAATGCAATAGTGTGATCATGCTCACTGCAGCCTCCAACTTCTAAGCTCAAGCAATCTTCCCAATTCAGCCTCCCAAGTAGCTGGGACTAGAGGTGCATGCCACATCACCAGGCTAATTTTTAAATTTTTTGTATATATGTGGTTTATCTTTGTTGCCCAGGCTGGTCTCAAACTCCTGGCCTCAAGAGATCCTCCTGCCTCAGCCTTTGCTAAAGTGCTGGGATTACAGGTGTGAGTCACTGCATCCAGCTGAGACATGGATTTAAATGACTTTGTTATTTTCTAAAATTTAAAGCATATATACAATGCTATCATTAGAAATACTCAACCGAATGTACTGCCCAGTCTGAGTTCCTTTCCTGAACTCTATTTCCAAATGTTGCTCCAAAAAGGTTTTTAGTAAATGGGATGTCATTAGGAAAGGTCTCTACTCCCCTGATTATCTTCTTAGATGTCAAGATTAAATCACTTTTCCCAAAATTGTGTTAATAAAATCAGGACATGGCTGGGTGCAGTGGCTCTATTATGCCTGTAATCCCAGTATTTTGGGAGGCTGAGGTGGGTGGATCACTTGAGGTCAGGAGTTCGAAACCAGCCTGGCCAACATGGCAAAACCCCCACCTCTACTAAAAATATAATAACTAGCTGGGCGTGGTGGCATGCACGTGTAGACCCAGCTACCAGGGAGGTCGAGGTGGGAGAATCACTTGAACCTGGGAGACAGAGTTTATAGTGTGCTGAGATTGCACCACTGTACTCCAGCCTGGGCAACAGAACAAGACTGTCTCAAAAAAATAAAATAAAATAAATAAATAAACAAAATCAGGACATGACTTTGTAGAAACACATTTATTAAGAGTGAGGAGGTTATATTGTTTTTATATTCATTGCAGTGTCTTACCCTGGCCCCCAGGCGACAGTGAGTGAGAAGGGAAGGAGAACAGAAATAATAGCACAGGCTCTTCAAGCAGATATTCCTGAAGTCAAAGTGATTTTATTTTATTCATTTTGTTATTTTATCAGGCAGCCTCTTGAGCCAGAGTAGGCGCTGAAACTCCCTATTTTTACTATTATTATTATTATTTTTTTTAATGGAGACATGGTCTCCCCATACTGCCTGGGCTGGTCTCAAACTCCTGGCTATGAGCCACTGTGCCCAGCCCAGAATTATTTAAAACAGTTACTTGACTGTTTCAGCCCTGTTTCCTCAAATATAAAATGGGAACAATCATACTTCTAGGGTGCTTACAGATTTGTTGGGAACCTTAAGATGCAGAACACTCAGGGCGGGGTGCAGTGGCTCACGCCTGTAGTGCCAGCACTTTGGGAGGCTGAGGCAGGTGGATCACTTGAGCTCAGGAGTTCAAAATCAGCCTGGGCAACATGGCAAAACCCCATCTTGTGGTGGCGCATGCCTGTAGTCCCAGCTCCTGGGAAGGTTGGGGCAGGAGGATTACCTTGAGCCCGGGAGATGGAGGTTGCAGTGAGCCAAGATCATTCCACTGCACTCCATTGTGGGCAACAGAGCAAAAACCTGTCTCAAAAAAGAAGAGAAAGAGAGGCCAGGCGTGGTGGCTCACTCCTGTAATCCCAGCACTCTGGGAGGCCGAGGTGGGCAGATCACCTGAGGTCAGGAGTTCAAGACCAGCCTGACCAACATGGAGAAACCCCATCTCTACTAAAAATACAAAAAAAAAAAAATTAGCCAGGTGTGATGGCGCATGCTACTCGGGAGGCTGAGGCAGGAGAATTGCTTGAACCTGGGAGGCGGAGGTTGCGGTGAGCCGAGATCATGCCATTGCACTCCAGCCTGGGCAACAAGAGCAAAACTCTGTCTCAAAAGAAAAGAAAAGAAAAGAAAGAGAGAGAGGAAGGGAGGAAGGAAGGGAGGAAGGAAGGGAGGGAGGGAAGGAAAAAGAACACTCAAACAGAATTAATGTTGAGCTAATCAAGGCAGCTAAGAGGCAAATTCAACTCATTAATTTGGTCTGTAGTTCTTTCCTTAATAATGAGTAGATAATGAAATGTAAACCACTAACATTTTGATTTTCTTTACCCATAGATACTGTCATGTGGTGATTTTCCACCTTCTGTCATCTCTTAGTGAAACAGCCTTTGCAAAATTATGACAGTGGGAGAATTATGACAGTGCAAGATATCTGACCTAACTGACTCCATCTTGCTTCTAACCACCAAGCTGCCCCTGTTCATTCTTGGGCATGAGGCTGAACTAACTTTGGGAGAAACTTAGTTTATAGTTTAACTTTAAAACAAAGATAATAACAGCCCTTTCCCAAAACAAACCCTCTTCTCGCTTGGGGACCAGGCTGCCTTTGTAAGACTAACTAGCCACAAGATTAGAAATTATGGTTTAGGAGTCATGCGGCTAGACACCACAAGATTCTAAACCTCCCCAGTTGCTCCTAGGGATAACATCACTATCATAAAACGTAAGACTGGTGCTCATGATATTTTGCAGACCTTGTGCTCTGATGCACCAACTGGTGCCACCCAGACCAGTAATCTGGCTCAACCAGCACTGCAATCCCACCTAGGAGCAGGAGACAGTAAGACGAATCCACTTTGACCCCATATGATTTCATCTCTGACCCAACCAATCAGCGACCCCCACTCCCTGGTCCCCTACCTGCCAGATTATCCTTTAAAAACCCGAGTCTCCAAATTTTGGGGGAGACTGATTTGAGTAACAGAACTCTGGTCTCCATTTAGCAGGCTCTGCATGAATTAAACTCTTTCTCTATTCCAATTCCCCTGTCTTAAATCAGCTCTCTCTGGGCAGTGGGCAAGGAGAACCCATTGGGTGGTTACATTAGGTTGGACTTTGATTTGACAGACTACATGAGTAAAGTGAAGCTTTCTAACTCTATGTAGAATATACGTAATTTTGGAGTTTGCTCCTGGTCTATAAATTGCGAGAAGGCAAGTAGGGTTTTTGTCATTTAATCCAGTGTCTGGAGAGCACTTGACACTTAGTTGGCAGTGGATTAATCTTTCTTGACTAGGTGAATAAATGAATTCTAAGTATCAGAGAATTAGGATGGGGAAGACATACACAAATGAGCAAAATCCTTGGTACCAATATATTGGGAAGTCCCTGATTAAGATTGGGTTGTATGTGCTTATCGGCTGGGACAAATTCCATAGACTATCAAGGACCTGTGAGAAAAAGACAGGATCTCCTGATGAGGCCCTGGAAGATGCTCACTTCCTCCCCTCTTCTGATAAAAACCAGCAACCAACAAAAATTATTAAAGTATAATTATAGGAGGGGCATAGGCCAGGGAGGGAATTATAAATGGCATAATATATTGGAAAGGGCTTGGTCTATATATCTTTCTGAGCTGGGTTTGAGACATCTTTTTCCAAATTCCATTATATCCACAGTCATAATAACGAAGTCTCCTAAAATGTATCTACAAACAGAATGGTCTCTGTGTTCAAGAATCACTGTTATCCCAGCAGCCAGAAAGGCTATAGTCACTGTCAGAGTAGCAATAATAATGTCTGTACCACACCTAGTTTGTGAGGTACAAGTTACCAACGAGGCTGAATAGAGGCAGAACAAGAGATAAGGACTCAGAGAAGAATTGGGGTGGAAAAGGAAACCTAGACTCTAGTTCTAGCCTTGCCTCTCATTTCCTGTTGGACCTTGGGTTAGTCACACACTGTCTGGGCCTGGGTTCTGCCTCTGTCAAATGAAGGGGTTGGATAGATAATTTGTAACATTCCTTCTGGCTCTAAAATCATACACTATGTGTTACCAAAGAAGCTTCTTTCTGACAAAGAGAAAGACTAAGCTATTTTTTTCCCTTTCTACGATTTAAACGTCCTTTTGCTTTTCATTTATATGCGAATGTATGAGATTTTAACCAAAACAAAATTAGCATCTCTGGGTCACTCCTCAGCCCTCTTATCATTAAAATGTAGTTCAGATTTCTGAGACCACAAATAGAAAGAGGAATAGTTAATAAGTTATCCCAACTTACCAGTCCTTAATACCACGGAGTAATTATGGGGGTAGCCCAGAGGGCAAATAGGAGAGGTTCAGAGTACACAAAAGTTCAGTTTGGGATAGGCCTCCACCTATTTTTTTTTTTTTTTTTTTTTTGAGGCGGAGTCTCACTCTGTCGCCCAGGCTGGAGTGCAGTGGCGCAATCTTGGCTCACTGCAAGCTCCACCTCCCGGGTTCATGCCATTCTCCCGGCTCAGCCTCCAAAGTAGCTGGGACTACAGGCGCCCGCCACCACGCCCGGCTAATTTTGTTTTTGTATTTTTAGTAGAGATGGGGTTTCACCGTGTTAGCCAGGATGGTCTCGATCTCCTGACCTTGCGATCCGCCCGCTTCGGCCTCCCAAAGTGCTGGGATTACAGGCGTGAGCCACCGCGCCCAGCTGCCTCCACCTACTTTTGGTCGTTGTTCTTGAAGGAGAGCAGATGCTCTGCATAAGAAAAACACAATTTAGGAAGGTCCGGGGTAAAATGGGGAAAATCCTGGGCTTTTGAGTCATAGTGCTGAGTTCAGAGTTCAAATCCTGGATCCCTTGCTTTGTGTCTTTTTTTTTTTGAGACAGTCTTGCTCTGTTACTGAGGCTGGGGTTCATTGCTCACTGCAGCCTCAAACTCCTTGGCTCGAGTGATCGTCCCTCCTTGGTTTCCAGAGTAGCCAGGACTACAGGTGTGTACCACCATGCCCAGCTAGTTATTTTTTATTTTTTGTAGAGATAGGGGTCTTGCTTTGTTGCCCAGGCTTGTCTCACACTCCTGGCCCCAAGTGATCCTCCCACTTTGGCCTCTCAAAGTGCTGGAACTAAGGCATGAGCCATCACACCCAGCCCAATTTCTCCTCTGTAAATTGGAAAAGATAATGTCAACCTCAGAGGGTTGCCATGAGCAATAAAGAAGGTAATGGATGGATCACGAAGTCAGGAGATCGAGAGCATCGTGGTTAACACGGTGAAACCCTGTCTCTACTAAAAAAAAAAAAAATACAAAAAATTAGCCGGGCATGGTATCATGCACCTGTGGTTCCAGCTACTCGGGAGGCTGAGGCAGGAGAATCACTTGAATCTAGGAGGCGGAGGTTCCAGTGAGCCGGGAACACCACTGCACTCCAGCCTGGCAACAGAGCGAGACTCCATCTTAAAAAAATAAAAATAAAAATAAAAAAGAAGGTAATGGATAAGGCACAGACAGAATTGAACAAATTATAATGAAAAAAGAAACGGATAAAGTGATGTGTTAAAGATGGAGAAGTAGAGAACATACTACAGACACATGATGAGAAGAAAATTAATCACACATTCTCCCTTAATTTCAGTGGGGCAGGGGTGAGGGTGCAGACACGGCAAATGCTGAGGGATTATCTTTCCCTTACAGAGCTGATAGTCTGGTTGGAAGATGAGGCTCACAGAACTGAAGCACTGATTAAATCAGATGCCTAGAGCACTGGTTGCTGGTGCCTTTATGAACAAAGGAAATCAGAATAGAAGCCTCTCCTCTTCCAATCTTGAGACTCTAGAATTCTAGAAAAGCAAGTTTTTATGGAAGGTTTGGTTCTTGGGCTGGACCTTGAGAATGGGTAGGATTAGGATATAACCACTTAGGAAAAGTGGAAAAGTCCACGGCAATTGGTTAGGTTCAGATTATGGCGGCCCTAGAAATTCAGGCTGCCAGTTTAGCCTTGGTACAGCAGGAAGAGAGTGGAGTTGAGGAGGACAAGGAGGAGGTGAGGGGCAGGATGGGTGGTAATCTTCCTTGAGTCAGGCTTTAACTGCCTCCTCTGAGTCAGTCACCAAGTCTTGCTGATCCTCCTTGAAATGCCTTATACCCATCCCTTCTATGTATTACTTCATTCATCCAAGGAGTAAGGTTTCCAGCTGATTTGGCTGGAAGCCAGGTGCAAGGAAGTTGAAGTGCAGAACTAGTCTGACTGAAGGAAGATAGTAAATTTGGTTTTAGACACGTTGGATTTGTGGCAACAGGTGAATGTTTAGGTGGAAAAAATATAAAGTGGAACTGACTTTTTCAACATGACTGAACTTTCTACAAAAAACAATGTAAAACTGGAGAGTCTAACCAAAATCAGTTCAAGTGTAAAAAAGAAAAAATTGGACATACTTTGTCACTCTCTTGTCTTTTGAAGTGCAGTTACTATGTGGGAATGGAGTACATTTCCAGTTGGTATTTTCAGCTAGCATTGTGGGGGAACAATAAATAGAATTGTGATGGAAATGTTATTTAAGTTTTGTTGAACTAAAAAATAAATGAGTAGAAAATGGAAAATGCTGGAAAATGTGAGTAAATATTTTAGCTTTTTGGGGGTGTGGAAAACTCATATCCGTTATGTAATTGGATTCTGTGAATGGATTTATGACAAAAATAAATGATTCTGGGAGAGTTCAAAGAAAATATTTTAACTATTTGGAAGGAAAACAGAGCCTCGGAGGGGAGAACAGCTTCCCATCTGTCCATAAAAATTAGAGGAAAATTTCACCAGACCACTGAGCTTGCTATGGTCAGTCTCGAGGGCTAATCAACAAAGGAGAATTCTGAAGATGCACACACACCCTGTTTCTCAATTATTGGAGTATCCCTCACCTCCTCTCCTTTTGATTTCTCTCCCCTTACTTTTATGTCCTTCTTCTTGTGCCTTTTTGATAGCAACTCTAAAGCAGTGGTTATGAAATGGTTATACAACTTTTATTTGAGGCTGAAAGAGATGATTACGTGGTTTGGGAGGGAAAAGGAAAAGGACTGAATAAAAGGAAGTGACTGTAAGCTGTTAAGAAAGAGAAGACTGTTAATAGCAACATCTTGATGTTAAGAGACAAGCTGAAACCATCCAAGGCAGGCAGAGAACAAGGTGATAATAAGAGAAAATGTGTTTCGCAGACAAAGGAGCCGACAGCAGGCGAGAGCAGTTCAGGGAGAGAGGTGAGCATTAGGAATAGTGTGCGGAAAGGAGGCACGGATCCCTCTGAATCACACTGGGAAGCATCGGCCGTTTGAACTCCTTGGCAACTCCGACCTGATCTCAAAGTAGATTGTGAGGAATGAGAACAAAAGGAAAGTTCACTCTGAGTTCCTCTTGTCAGAGCAGGGGAAATTGCTTTGAGGCCAGCACTGAAAGATGATAATGGTACCAAGTAACAGAAAAAAAAAATCCGAAAAACCAAAAATGTGTCAGGTCACCGGGAGCTTGCCTAGCATAAAGTGACATAAAACCACCACTGACATTCTCATAGGTCCTACCACATAGTGTTGTGCAAGTCACTTCTAACCAGCACTCAGTTGGCCAAAATAAGGAAGAGAATGCCTCAACTACTCAGAATATTCGTTCACTTGACAAACAGTAATTGAGATTTCACGGTGTCATCCAGGACTATTGCTATTAATGCTGGAAGGTGCAATAGGAGCTCTTATCTTATGTCCTGTACCAGCTGGTCCTGTGAGGCCAGAAGGAACCACTGGAAAGTGAATACTGGGAAATCGATGCTGACCCTAGAAGGGCACAGGCCCGGCAGAAAATAGGTGGTGAGATTTAGGAGTGCCAAAATGCTAACTAGAAAGAACTGTGTGCATGTTTAAATTCCTTGTTATGGACTGAATGTTTGTGTCCCCACAAAATGTTTACGTTGAAGGCTGGGCGTGGTGGCTCAAGCCTGTAATCCCAGCACTTTGAGAGGCCTCAAGGCGGGTGGATCACGAGGTCAGGAGTTTGAGACCAGCCTGACCAACATGGTGAAACCCCGTCTCTATTAAGAATACAAAAATTAGCTGGACGAGGTGGCGGGCACCTGTAATCCCAGCTATTCAGGAGGCTGAGCCAGGAGAATCGCTTGAACCCAGGAGGCAGAGTTTGCAGTGAACTGAGATCGCGCCACTGCACTCCAGCCAGGGTAACAGAGTGAGACTCCATCTCAAAAAAAAAAAAAGTTTATGTTTAAATCCCAACCCCAATGTGATGGTATTCAGAGGTGGGGCCTTTGGAAGGTAATTTAGATCATGAGGGTGGAGTCCTCATGAGTGGGATTAGTGCCCTTATAAAAGAGACTCCAGGGTGCTCTCTACCCTTCTTTCCACCATGTGGAGACATGGAAAGACAAGAGCAGTCTGCGACCAGGGAGAGGGCCCCTACTAGAATTCAACCATGCTGGCTCCCTCATCTCAGACTTCCAGCCTCCAGAACTGTGAAAAATAAATTTCTTCTGTTTTAAGCCACCCAGTCTATGGTATTTTGTTATAGCAGCTTGAACTAAGACACTCCCAAGAGGAAAGACACAGCCAACTGCTAGTCTTTCTTCTCTAGGCTTAAAATTTCTCATCCATAAAATAGGTTAAATAAGATCCTGAATACCTTCCCTTTCGGCAGAGTTAGAATGGTTCTAGGAGTTATCTGGGGATCCTGCAATGGAGATGGGACAACATGGGCTCTCTTTTTTGTTGTTATTTTTGAGACAGAGTCTCACTCTGTTGCCCAGGCCAGAGTGCAGTGGCACGATGTTGGCTCACTGCAACCTCCACCTCTTGGGTTCAAGTGATTTTCCAACCTCAGCCTCCCGAGTAGCTGGGACTACAAGCACGTGCCATCACACCCGGCTAATTTTTGTATTTTTAGTAGAGACAGGATTTTGCCACATTGGCCAGGCTGGTCTCAAACTCCTGACCTCAGGTGATCCACCCACCTTGGCCTCCCAAAGTGCTGGGATTATAGGCATGAGCCAGCGCACGGGGCGCCAACTGTTAATCTTTCTTCTCCAGGCTTAAAATTCCTCCTGCATAAAATAGGTTGAATAAGATGCTGCATACCTTCCCTTCTGGCAGATTTAGAATGGTTCTGGGAGTTATCTGGTGACCCTGCAAAGGAGATGGGACAACATGGGCTCTCTTAATGTGGGAATCTAAACAGCTGCAGGAACTAGAAACTACAGGTATGTTTTCTGTATATTGCAATCAGTTGTTGAGAAATTTTTAAATGCTAAAGATACCAAAGCCCTTCTTCCAGATTTTAAGCTAGAGGTTGCAAACTAGGCACCCCCATGTTTTGTTTGGCTAGCAGAATATTGTTTAAAAATTGACCCAGCATTTAAAAATTGTGAAATTTCACCTGAAAATCCAGATTTTTGGCTTCTCCTGAAAGACTGAAATATCTGGCAGCACCGGAGCCACAGCAGCAATTAGCTGGAGGTGGGTATCAGCTGTCCCATTTAGCTGGAACACCTGTTCTCTAGTTTGATCATCTCTACCCCTCACATTAGGGTGACCATTTAACTTGGCCAGCACTTTTGAGAATAAAAGGTGGTGGAGGCGGGGGCAGGATGCTGTGTATTTATACCTGAACTAGGGGCATGAAGCAGGATTTTCGGGAGGAAGAGTGCACGATTATGCTAATTCACATTGCTTACACTGGCTTGTTTCATTCTTTGCCCACTGTTATTTGGGTTTTGTGCTCACAAATCAGGGAACCTCGTGAAGAAGCAAGGAAAGAAAAGGTGTAAATTACTAAGAGACACAAAGGTTGAAAAGAAAGTGAAGAGATTAAAAAGGATATTTAAATGAATGCCAATTATACCAAACTTTTAGGTAAAGGCAGAGCCTTGCTGGTGGCTGGCTCAGCATGGAAGTTTGACCTTCCAGGCTCCCTGCCCTACACAGCACTGTCAGTTTTAATAAGCTATAATCCCATAGTTACAAGCAAGACTAATCAAACTGCAGAGAGCAGCCTGTTCCTAATCAGGAAGGCACAGGGTAATCATTTAACTCTGTGGTTTCTTACTGAGCTCCAAGCTGCCTCTACAGAAAAAACACCCTGGATAAGATAGTTGCTTTCCATTCTAGCCTTGACCCTTTGATGGTCTTTGTTTGAAATTTTTATTAAAATGCTGTCATTACTCAAGTATTTGCTTAAAAAATGTTTTAGAATATTTTCCCTTTATTCCAAGGAGTAACAAAATAAACCTCCCCCAAAAGATATAAGAAACCTCAGACTCCAGTTGATTACCTGAATCCACTTGAACTAATCACAGTACCCAAACATTTCAACGCCATTCAGGGTGTGGTTACAGTCCCAAACTGGGAAGGGGGGAGAAATTTGAGGATGTGGAATGGCAACCCATGTTGAGCACCTACAAATACCAGCATGGTACCACGGGACGTGTGCTAGTGCTAGCTATTCCCTACTGGAAAAGCTGAAGCCAAGGCCAAGTTGCAGCAAAGTTCCTAAAGCACCCAATACCCCAAGGCCAGGAGGCCCCTCTCTGCAGTCCCTGATTCTCTTAGCCCCCTCAAACCAGAAGCAAGTCAAAATTAAGAATTTATTTAGTACAGTGGATAACTGTGGAGCTAGAGTCTACCTGGGAGCTGAGTAGTGGTAGGCCCTTAGGCAAACTATTTCTTTCCTGAAATATCTGGTAGGCACTCAGGCAGGCTACTCAACCCTCTTAAAATTCAGTTCTTAAATAGCTGGCTTCAGCTTTTCCTGTAGGGAATAACTAGCACTAGCACATATAGCCCATAGGACAATAGCAACACCTCACAGCCATGCTCTAACAGTCAATAGTTATATATGAAAAGCATTTACCAAGATGCCTGGCACATTTAAAATACTCCATATTGTGATTATTATTTTTATTATGTGCTAGCATGGCCTTAAGGCTCATAATTACATAACTTAAAGAGGTAAGTGATATGGCTTGGATGTTTGTCCCCTCCAAATCTCATGGTGAAATGTAATCCCCAGTGTTGAAGGTGGGGCCTGGTGGGAGGTATCTGGGTACACCCCTCATGAATGGCTTAACACTATCTCCTTGGTGATGAGTGCATTCTCCCTCAGTTCACATGAGATCTGGTTGTTTGAGTCTGGGACCTCCTCATTCTCTCACCATGTGATACACCAGCTTCCCCTTTGCCTGCCACCACAATTGTAAGCTTCCTGAAGCCCTCACCAGGAGCAGATGCTGGTGCCATGCTTCCTATACAGCCTGTAGAACTGTAAGCCAACTAAACCTCTTTCCCTTATAAATTACCCAGCCTCTGGTATTTCTTTATAGAAACACAAGAACAGATTAATAAAGATAGATAAGGGAATCTTCATAATGTATATAATTAAATATCTTTTTGGATTTTACATTTATCATGGAAGCTCTCAAAACAATGAATACAGATAAACATTTTTTTCTTCCAATGAGAAATCTCTACAACATTTCTGGTACTATGGAAATTTAATATTTTGTTTAACAGACCTACTACATTTACAGAAAGCCAAACACAGTAAATTTTTAAAATTAAAAATGTTTTATTGGCTATTGCCTTTAATAGATTT
Organism: Homo sapiens; assembly: GCF_000001405.40. Taxonomy (NCBI): domain Eukaryota; kingdom Metazoa; phylum Chordata; class Mammalia; order Primates; family Hominidae; genus Homo; species Homo sapiens. The sequence goes on along the minus strand of NC_000003.12, from coordinate 114,088,302 downwards.
ACTACAATAAAGGAAAGGAATATTTTTCTCAAATGTGCTAATAAGAAAAAGACCCAGGAAACTGAACGATATTGGACACAGTTTTCAGTGTTTTAGACATAAATAAACTCATGAATTTCATATGGATTCTGGAATATTTACCACTACTCCCCTAACGATGCATTTAGCATAGAACAAAAATATGAACATTTGAACAAGTCCAATCTAACACATTTCAAAACAATCAGATCTTTGGAAAACTGTTTTCCATAAGTACCCCTTGCCATTCATGGAAGAGTTATGAGGATGCCCATGAATTTATTCATGGACACTCCCATACTAAGAAAAAGAAAACCATGTAGATGGGTAATATAATTTGACTATTTGTTCCCGCCCAAACCTCAAGTTGAAATGTAATCCCCAATACTGGAGGTGGGGCCTGGTGGGAGGTGTTTGGAGCACAAAGGTGGATCCCTCATGAATGGCCTGGGCCATCCCCTTGGTGATAAGTGACTTCTTGCTCTGAGTCTTGTTCCTGCTTTTGTCATGTGATGTGCCTGCTCCCCCTTCACCTTCTGTCATGACTATAAGCTTCCGGAGGCCTCCCCAGAAACCAAGCAGATGCCAGTACCATGCTTCCTGTAAAGCCTGCAGAGCCATGAGCCAATTAAACCTCTTTTCTTTACAGATTACCCAGTCTTGTGGATCATGAGGTCAGGAGATCGAGACCATCCTGGCTCATACGGTGAAACCCCATCTCTACTAAAAATATAAAAAATTAGCCAGGCATGGTGGCGGGCGCCTGTAGTCCCAGCTACTCGGGAGGCTGAGGCAGGAGAATGGCATGAACCCAGGAGGTGGAGGTTGCATAGAGCCGAGATCGCGCCACTGCACTCCAGCCTGGGCGACAGAGCAAGGCTCCGTCTCAAAAAAAACCCCAAAAAACCAAAAAACCAAATTACCCAGTCTCAGGTATTTCTTTATAGCAATCCAAGAACGGCCTAATACAATGGGCTCCCAACACATAAAACATACAGCAGCCACAAAATAATTAGAAACAATGTTAAGTAATGCCCACTAAATTTTGAATAGCAAAATATAGCATAGAAGTATAAAACAAATGTATTTCTTATCCCTACAAAAAAAGGGGCATCTTTTTGGTTTTGTTATTGCTGTTTGTATAAAAACTATGGTGTGTGCATGTGGGTGTATGTGTATTCCTTATAGAAAACTTGAAAAATACAGAGGTAACTTAGAAAGAATTACCTTCCCCTACCAGCCTCAGGATCTCCTGATACCAATTCAATAACCACTTAAAAACCCACAGGCCAAACCTCTCTTTAGGCTCTCAAATATCTCTACTGTTGCCTGTCTCCCAGGATGACAACTAGGGCTATTAAGGCTATGACTCTAATCTAAAACTTTTTGTTCTTCCAATTTTAGAGCTAGACAGTATCTTAAAAGTTCATTCATTCCTATCCATTATGCCTGTCCCTATTTATTCAGCAGGAAGCAGCCATGGAGAAGTTAAGTGAATTGCCCAGGAGTCATATCTGAGCAGGATGGAGACTAACCCTCTAATCGTTAGGCCAGGCAGGGCTCTGTCCAAGTGAACACATTGAGAATGAATCTTCACAAGAGATAGGTCTTCAGTTATTACGTAGTTAGACTATTAATGAGCCTGGAAGGCAGACCACAATGGATCTGTACAACCAGAAGAAAGCAGCTGGGCAAACTTCTGGCTCCTAACAGGCAATTACATTGGCTCTAAAAAGAAGTTGCAAATAGGCCATGTGGTCAAATGAAGGAGTGTGACCTGGGACAGATGATCATCACAGGAGCAATGTTCAAGCCCCACATTCCAGGGATATCCAAGCCCAGTTAAGTCACAAGAGCCATTTCTGATTGGCTGCACTGCCAGGGCAGGGTGGAAGACAAAAGTATCCAGAAGAGTCTCCTGAGAGTATGAGGGTGAACTAAAGGAAACCCTCAAACCAGCCAGATTTCTTCTCAAATCAACAGGCATATGTCCAGAGCCCATTCGTCTCACACCATTTCCCCTCAAGCCTCAATCCAATTCATGGGTCCCTCAGAATCTCATCACTCCCACTTCAAGGCTGTGCCCTCACAGTTAAAGCTTTTGTCTTTGACTAAATGAATCTCTATCAACTAAAAGAATTAGTCTAGAAGTCTTAAAGGTCACAGTTCAATTCTCTCTGATCAATCCAGGTCATTTAAGTCTTTTGAGGAAATCTCTTCACCCTCATGTGGGCAGTTTGGTACAAAGATTCTTTATTTAAGCAGACCTTATATCCAAATATAAATAATTAAAGCTCAGATTATTTCTTCTTCACGTCTTCCCATGTTACAACAGTGGTACAGGCTCAGTGTGAAGAGTGAGACTTGTATTTGCAAGATCTCAAGATGCTTGCCTGTGGATGAGCTCTTTCAACTGTGCCAGTTTGTCACTTTTTAGTGCTTCCCGGATGTAATGGAAAAACCCAAAGTAGTGTTCAAAGTTGTGCATCATAAGCAGGACTCCGGCCAGCAGCTCATTGGTCACCAGCAGATGGTGGATGTATGCCCGAGTGTGATTCTTACAGCAGTAACAGGAACATCCTCTCACCAGCGGGTTAAAGTCCTCCTGGTACCTAAGAAAGAAGTCACAGTGACATTCCAGAAAGTACGGAATACAAGAAATCCACAACCTCAGCTATCTATTCTGCTGGTAAAGTTACCAGTGGTTAATAACATCACTGGCAAATGTTCAGTGCTGTGCACCTGCTTAAAATGGCAATATGGTTAAAAGTTAACAAAGGGCCGGGTGTGGTGGCTCATGCCTGTAATCCCAGCATTTTGGGAGGCCGGGGCAGGCGGATCACGAGGTCAGGAGTTCAAGACCAGCCTGGCCAATATGGCGAAACCCCGTCTGTACTAAAAATACAAAAATTAGCCAGGCATGGTGGCGCGTGCCTGTAGTCCCAGCTACTCGGGAGGCTGAGGCAGGAGAATCGCTTGAACCCAGGGGGCAGAGGTTGTGGTGAGCCAAGATCGCACCACTGCACTCCAGCCTGGGCAACAGAGCGAGACTCCATCTCAAAAAAGAAAAAAAAAAGTTAACAAAGAACACAATGAGTCAGGGAGACCCTGGAGTTTTTCTCTGACTGATGCAAACTCCGAGTCTGGGGTTACAAAGGAGCATCAGAAGAAATTCATGTGGTCGCTCACTCATGTTGAGTATTACTAATCACATTGTAAAAGCACATAATGTTAGGAAACACTTCTAAGTGTTGGACACTTAGGAGAGAAGTGAGTGACACTTCCTTCCCACTTACCACCAGAATTATTATCAAAAGACATGGTAGACTTCTACTTACACAGCTTTTTGCAGTTTACCAAATACTTTCACATACACTGTCTCATTTAACCTTCACATTCATTCTTGGAGATAACTATTTTTATTGTCATTCTACAGATGAAGATAACTATGGGGGTTGAGAGGGAGGGTCCTGGAGCTACCCTGCATGAATTTGATTCCTGGCTTCACAACTTACTTGGGCAAGTCACTTAACATCTCTCTGTGACTTGTTTCTCATCCATGAACCAAAGGTAATAACAGTGCCTATCTCAGACAGTTGTTACAAAGATGAAATGTATTAGTACAGTTAAAGGACTTGAACACTGCTGGGCACACACTAGGCCTAAGCACTGCATAGGTGTTAACTTTTTTTGAGGGGGGAACAGGGTCTTGTTCTATCACCCAGGCTGGAGTGCAGTGCAGTGGCACAATCATAGCACACTGCAGCCTCGGACTCCTGGGCTCAAGCAACCTCCCACCTCAGCTTCCCACCACGCCCAGATAATCTGTTTTAGAGACAGGATCTTGCTATGTTGTTCAGGCTGGTCTTGAACTCCTGGGCTCAAGTGATCCTCCATCCTCAGCCTCCCAAAGTGCTAGGATTACAGATGTGAGCTACCATGCCTGGCCAGGTGTTACCTTTAATCAACTATTAAAAATAAGTGGATTGAGGTCAGGAGTTCAAGCCCTGCCTGGCCAACATGGTGAAACCCCGTCTCTACTAAAAATACAAAAATTAGCCAGGCATGGTGGTGCATGCCTGTAATCCCAGCTACTTGGGAGGCTGAGGCAGGAGAATCGCCTGAACCCAGGAGGCGGAGGTTGCAGTGAGCCAAGATCGTGCCACTGCACTCTGGCCTGGGCAACAGAGCTACACTCTGCCCCCCACAAAAAAAAAAAAAAAAGAAAAAAGTGAAGAATTGACCAGACCAAAGTCACACAGTCAAGAGCAGTGCTAGAATTTGTCTACAAATCTCAAAAACTTAAGTCTAGTGCTGATAATAATAGTACAATTTCCAATTAAATCTATAACATAAAGGGAATTTTAGTAGTAACCATTTATATTACCCTAAAATTTTAAAAACATAAATAAATCATTTGAGAGTCAGTGGATGACAGAAAAAAAAGGGTAAAAGAAAGACAAAAACAAATCTATCTCCTTGGCTATTTTTTAAGAAGTCAAATGCGGTAGACATCACCATTTCTGACCTACAATTAAAGGAGTCCCAACAGAATATGGGTAAGAACAAGGATTTTCACATTCTTTCATAAACTCTCAAGTCTGTACTATCACTAGATAGACATAAGTAAGTCACAAGCCATAGGATCTTCTTTTACGTAAGACAAAAAACCCACCCCAGCACTAAAGTGAGTGCATCAGACTCAAAGAAAAATCACTCACTGGTTCACTGATGATTACCACTTTTGGACAAATACAAAAATTACAAGATATAGGTTCCGTATTCCTAATCTGAAAATCTAAAATGTGAAATGCTCCAAAATTCAGAACTTTTTGAGCACTAACATGATGCTCAAAGGAACTGCTCATTGGAGGATTTCAGATTTCAGATGAGGGATGTTCAGCCAGGTAAGTATAATGCAAATGTTCTAAAACACAACAACAACAACAACAACAACAACAACAACAACAGCAGCAGCAACAGCAACAACAACAACAGCAACAACAACAACAACAAAGAAAAGAAATCTGAAACACTTCTGGTTCCAAGCATTCTGAAGAAGGGATATTCAATTCAATCTGTATCTTAATTTGTTCTTTATAGAGATAAATATCTTACGTAAGATTTACAGCCTGTATCTAACAAAGATGGCTTAGGCACCCTACAATTTAAAACTTTGTTGTTTTATCTTGAACTCCTTATTATGCTCTAAAGGAATACAAGACGCCAAACAATGGATTTGGTTTAATCTTTCTGTCAGCTTTTCTAAAGCAATCATTACCTGGCTCCAGTCTTCTGACAAGACGAAGTCTACAAATTCATCTGAAGAAAATAAAGAGTTTTTTTGAAATCGAATTTGAGAAGGCCTAAATAATACCCAACTATTAATATTTTATGAAATCATAAATTGAGAATTGTCCCATAAACTTTTAACACAGACTAAAATTCAGAAGTCAGAAAGCAAAATCCAAACTTTTAAAAATTTCTTACTTTTTTTCCTTCAGATTAATTTCAAATGATGTTATTTCTTGGTTGCAACCAGTTGTTTCAATTTTCTTTATTTGATCCATACATTTTATTTCTTCTTGTGTTCCATTTTGTTGTAGTACTGAAGGACAAACCAATAAAAAGGCTTGAATGATGATCAGATAAGAAGTGGCCATTGGAAACATTTTATTTTAGTTATTATTTCATGATCTTTGACTCTGTAATTTCACTCCTGAGAATTTATCCTAAGGAAATCACACAAGAAAAGGAAAACAGCAATATGCTCCAAGACTGTCACCGTCCTCTTATCTACAACACCAAAACAATTTAGAGATTCAATAATATCTAAGCAAATTATAGTTACAAGTATATAACATATAATCGTATCATCAAGAAATAATTTAAAAACATTGGTGGCCAGGCATGATGGCTCATGCCTATAATCCCAAAACTTTGGGAAGCTAAGGCAGGAGAATTGCCTGAGGTCAGGAGTACACCACCAGCCTGGGCAAAATAAATAAACCAAAAGTTAACTGTTGGTTGCGTGTGTGTGTGTGTGTGTGTGTGTGTGTGTGTGTGTGTGTGTGTGTGTGGTGGGGTTATCACTATCCCTTATCATAATGTACATGCAAATATACTTGGCTTTGAACTACCTATATTCCAAATAGATTGAAGTAGAACATGGTTTTAATGTATGTATTCTATATGGAGACACTGGCCCTCTAGGGAACCCAGACTACACAGAATTAAATGGCAACCTGAATTGTTCCCTTCAACTCTCTGCTTTAAGAAGAAACATTCTTTGCACAGCAAAAGAAACACCAGCTACTCTACAAAAAGCCAACTGCCTGGAACAGGGACAAGTAGTTAAGGGGTATTTTGGGAACAAATGATAACAAATCTCAGTGTTGGTCCCAGGAGAAAGACAGGTGGTCTTAAGAGGGTAATTTTATCAAGGTCAAAGGTATAAGAGAAGCAACCTGAGCACTGGGCACAGAGCTGTTATAATTTTGTTCCCATAAATTTGCATGCTGATGTGGGAAACCATAATGAAGCTCTCAGCTGGCCGCAGTGGCTCATGCCTGTAATCCCAGCACTTTGGGAGGCTAAGGCAGGAGGATCGCCTGAGGTCAGGAGTGCACAACCAGCCTGGGCAACACAGCAAGATCCTGTCTTTGCAAAAAATTTAAAAATTAGCCCAGCATGGTGGCATGCACCTGTAGTCCCAGCTACTCGGGAGGCTGAGGTGGGAGGATGGCTTGTGCCCATTAAAGTTAAACAAATTAAACTTTACCAAGCAGTTCAAAGGTTTTCTTATAATTTTCATCACAACTCACTCTGAATGTTCTTTTTTCAGGAGTTCAAGGCTGCAGTGAGCCATAATCACACCACTACACTCCAGCCTGGGCAACAGAGTGAGACCCTATTTCTGAAAAAGAATTTTTTTTAAGCCCTGACACTTCAGAAAACTCTTGTCATTTGGGAGAACTGCTGCCAAGTAATTTCTTTGGAATTTTCACTATGTAACTGGCAAAGGACTTTAATTTACTACACACACAGAGTTAATAATACTTTGTTTAAACATTCAAACTATTTCCTTTTTCCTAATCATGAAGAAATTTGGCTTTCTCTGGCCAAAAATGATCTTGTTCTTTACAGAGAACTCAAATCAGGTTCTTTTTAGAGCTTTGCATATTCCTGGTACTGAATGACTAACAGTTACCTCTGTTCTGGTGGAAATAATTCAGTTTGTAAATGAAGATGTGAAAATTTATAGTGTTAATGGTATACCTATCCACATACATTATATTCTGGTCTGTCTAAAAGGACAGTAAAATTGACCTCCTATATATTTAAGAATTTGATCAACTTGATTTATTTTGTTTCCAGGAGTAATTCCATTTAGATTAATGGTTAAGTTGCTTCATAAAAGTATAACATCTGAATGAAATTTTAGTTACCTGTGAGGAATAAAATGAACCTTTAAGGAAGTTTCTGGTCCTATTCAAATGTAAGGTTGATGTGGTTAAGGAAAAGTTCCAAGGACAGCAGGAAAAGGAAAGGAAAGGTCATTTCTGAAGGCCAGAGGGAAGACTGGGCAGGCGACACTCTCCTGAAAACCTACTTCAAGCAACTCCAGCCCAAAGTCTGTATCCTAGCTCCTTTTCTACCTCCAGGTAAGTGTTAGAATCCGAAACTGACTTTCTTAACTTCTGGATAACTAAATAATAAAAGAAAATGGCAGTCCTTCAAAGCAACATTAGCAAAGGAAAATAGCTTTCAAAGCCTGGTGTATTAAAAAAAAAATGCAAGAAGTAACACTAGGATCAGAGGATCATGAGTCTCCCTGTATTTTAATAGCATAGGGTTTGCAAAGCAAAGACAAAAACTCTTTTGTGAGAAAACAAGTTAACTTTTACCAAGCAGTTCAAAGGTTTTCTTATGATTTTCATCACAATTCACTCTGAATGTTCTTTTTTCAGGCTGTTAACAGAGGAGGTTTTGTTTTTCTTGGTTCTTTTCACTATAAAATCACATCCTAATATTGATGAGCTACATGTATAGTATTAAGTACCTGGATTTGTGTGCCAACATGCCAGAGCACACAGATAAGAAACAGAGATGTAGTTTTGTAAAAGACTGGCTTTATATATACATATTTCTGTCTTGTGACTCAAGCCAAAAATTAACAGGAAATGGAAGAAACTTAAGGATAAGAGATAAACTTCAAAAGACTTACGTGTCTCTTCAGGATTCGGCTGGTAATCAAAACTGAAAGTCAGGGCACATCCCCGCTCTGTTACTTGATAAGGGAAAAAACTCTCAAATAAGTCCACTCCTCTTTCAATACACTCGAGCACCTCATCTGGCCGACTAACACCAGATATGAGCCTGTAAAAGTAAGAATAAGAACAGTGACATGAGGACAATGCAAGGAAGGAAATCAGAAAGTCCTTTTAATGAACAAGGCACTAAAAAAATAGTAATAATGAAAAACACCAATCATGGTTAGAGTGGCAGGCAGTGGACAGCAACATGCAGCAGAAAGAACATATGGCTTTGGAGCCAGAAAAACTGGGGCTTGAATCCTAGCTCTGTCATTTATGTATCTGCTGTGTCACTTTGGAAAGATTACTTAACTTCTCTGAGTTTTAGTTATCTAATCTTAAAAACAAGAGCAAATAATATATACCCCCACAGAATTGTTGTGAGGATTAATGAGATATTTGAAAAAGCACATAGTTTCTTTTTTTTTTTTGAGAGGGAGTCTTACTCTTGTTGCCCAGGCTGGAGTGCAATGGCGCAAACTCGACTCACTGCAACCTGCACCTTCCGGGAGTAATTCTCCTGCCTCAGCCTCCCTAGCAGCTGGGATTATAGGCGCCCGCCACCACGCCCAGCCAATTTTTATATTTTTAGTAGAGATGGGGTTTCACCATGTTGGCCAGGCTGGTCTTGAACTCCTGACCTCAGGTGATCCGCCCACCTTGGCCTCCCAAAGTGCTGGGATTACAGGTGTGAGCCACCACGCCCAGCCCATAGTATAGTTTCTGATCCCAGAGAGAAGTTCAATAAAGGTTAGCTTCCTCTCAACTATCATCCTTCTGAACAACCTCCCTGGTCATAAACTAAACTTTATAGCCCTTTATAGCCTATCTTCTATACACTATATAGATTTTTTAGGAGTGCAAAGCTGTGTGCTTTATTTCTTGCTGAAATATTTTGCTTGTTTTAACTGTATTTTGCCTATAATTTTTCATAATTGGTGCAATAAAGACATTTTAATCCACTATATCCCTCATAAGTTAATTTACAAAGCAACTCTCGCTGTCAGGATTTCACCTCTGGCCATAGGATCTAAGAATCTAGTTGGCTTTCTTTATATTTTCTCCATTAATAAAAAGTCTGCACTGTGGAATAAGATGGTGGTTTCCAAGGTACAGGTTGAGCATCCTTAATCCGAAAATCTGAAATCCAAAATGCTCCAAAATCTGAAACTTTTTGAGCACCAACATGACACTGAAAGGAAATGCTCACTGGAGAATTTTGGATTTTGGACTTTCAAATTAGGGATGCCCAACCAGTACGTACTCTGCAAATATTCCAGGATCTGAAAAAATCCAAAATCTCAAGCACTTCTGGTCCCTAGCATTTTGGATAAAGGATACTCAACTTGTAATAGGTAAGGCATTCTGAGACTATTAATGGCACTCGGCCAGGTTTTGCCACTCCATGAAAACAGATGTGGAGATGTACTAAATCAGGGCTGGCTGGCTGCTGCTCTTTTTTATGTTTGTTTTACTACCTATAGCCCCTTTCTATGAACTGGCACAGAAATGCAAAAAAAAAAAAAAGGCTCATGTAATATTAAATAAGCAGAACTCTTACAAATATATGCTGGTTTTCCTGACTACAGTTTCCTTCAAGTGATGTAATGTTTTAGAACTCCTATCCAACTGAAGCTGGCATTTCTACACACTTATAGAAAGAAAAACAATCCAGCTTTCAAATTCAGTAACAGACATCTGTGAGCACTTAACATGAAGAAGTCCAGAAAATGTCTAGAAATACTGGTGCTGAAGTGTTATGTGCACCAGAGTGAAACAAGTACAGGAGAGGGAGCAATGAACACAAAAGAACTAGGTTAAAATTGGGGATCAAAGGCTGGCTAAGGTGATGGAAATACCTTGTTCTGGGTAGTGTTTACACAAGTGTAGACATGTGAAAATTAATTGAGCTGTATGTAAGATTCACGTGCTTTCCTCCAAGTTGTACTTGGATCTTTAAAAAAGTAGTAAAATCGCGCCTGTAATCCCAGCACTTTGGGGGGCCAAGGCAGGCGGATCACCTGAGGTTGGGAGTTCGAGACCAGCCTGACCAACAAGGAGAAACCCCGTCTCCACTAAAAATACAAAACTAGCCAGGCATGGTGGCGCATGCCTGTAATCCCAGCTACTCAGGAGGCTGAGGCAGGAGAATCACTTGAACCCGGGAGGTGGAGGTTGCAGTGAGCCAAGATCATGCCATTGAACTCCAGCCTGGGCAACAAGAGCAAAACTCCGTCTCAAAAAAAAAAAAAAAAAAAGTAGTAAAATTACACATATTATATACTATCCAACAGCTCTAGAGACTATGGAGCAGCACCCCACAACCAAACTTCTTAATATACATGCAGGAAAAAAGCATGAATATTCACATTAAGATAACAAACCATTAAAAAAAATGTGGGTAGCCTAATACGATATCAGCTGCATTCAGAAACTCAGAATTTGTAGCTTCAAATCTTGCAGATCGTCTTTTCTTATCAGCACAAGGTGAATCCTGCAATTTATGGAAACATAAGAACCAATCCTACTAGTGTTGTCAGTCCCCTCAATTTCAAAAATTGACACCACTCACTACCAGCCTCAAATCTAAGAGCTTCTTAAGTTCTTGTTGGTGGAGCTCATCTTCTCACTAGTCATCCCAGATCTGTCCTCAACTTTCCTCAATTTAAACCAGCATTCCATGTGACTTTACACTTGGTCTCCAGGTACCATATTATAACAACAATATTTGTAATTGGCACAAGAATGAGGGGAAACAGTATAATACTTGCTCTCACTTAGGAGGATCAAATAACATAATTCAAATGGCAATTATCCTCTACTCTACATTCTGAAATCAAGGCCAGGACAGCCTTGATGGAAACTCCCCTTACAGTCTGCCTCAGCACCTCAGCAGACTCAGCCCAGAAAGGACATAAACAAAACATCAAAGGCATGCCTATGCACAGACACTATTTAATATACAATCGGCCAGCACTCCTTCCCTGCATCCCTTGAGGCCAGCCTGTGTCCTAACCGAACACTGGCCTTGGCTTGTCCTCCGGCAGCTCTGCAGTGACTGATGACAGCAAGCGTAGTCTAGCCTCCAGGGTTGTTGGATTTCCTTGAAAACCATCCAGAAGGAAGCCACCCACAGGCCGCTTGGCTGTCTCTCGTGCTGACCTCAGCCTCTCTTCCATCACATCTCCACCTTCAATCACTCCAATGATCACACTCTTCTGAAGAACCTGAGGTAAGAAGGATGATATGTTTTTAACCATTTTCAGTATGAGACCTTTGTTTAAATGAACCTTACATGGAAGTCCAATGTATAGAAGAGACCTCAGTGAAGCTGCTGTAGTTGAAGCATTAAAGGGGATGGTGCTCCCTCCTCCCTAAGAACCTTTAAGGCTCTGAGGAACATACTTTGAAAAACATACTTTACCAATCAGGTAAGAAAAGACTGAGGAAAAAGATGCATTCAACATATGCAGTCTTGTTCTGGCTTAGATTAAATTAGATCAGGTGTGGTGGCTCAGGCCTGTAATCCCAGCACTTTGGGAAGCCGAGGCAGGAGGATCACTTGAGCCCAGGATTTCAAGACCAGCCTGGGCAACATAGCGACACCTGGTCTCTACAAAAAATAAAAAAACAAAATTAGCTGGGCACGGTGGCTTGTGCCTGTAGTCCCATCTATTCGGGAGGCTGAGGTGGGAGGGTGGCTTGAGCCCGGGAGGCGAAGGTTGCAGTAAGCTGAAACTGTGCCACTGCATTCCATCCAGGGTAAGAGAGTGAGACCATGTTTCAAGAAAAATAAGTAAATAAATAAAATGTACACTAAACAGGTTCAAGAGGAAAAGGACAAAATAAGAGTTTTAATTTGTGAAATGACTATCCAGGCCTGCTTTAGACTACCTCCAAGTCTCTTAGCTAGAGATAACTTTAGGAACTTAGAAACTGTTGAGACAACTGACTATCTACTCACAAACCAATAAAATAAAGACCACTACTACACACCATCCATTTTAAAAACAAATTCAATGGACCTAATAGCTAAACATAAAAAATATGGTTATACAAGTTTTAGAAGAATATATTGAGTATTTTTACAATCTTGGGGTAAGGAATGCCTTCCTAAACAAGCTAAAGCTTACAGGAAAAGGTTGACAAGTTTGAGTACAAAAACTTGCCAGGCATGGTGGCTCATGTCTGTAATCCCAGCAGGAGGCCGAGGCAGGTGGATCACTTGAGGTCAGGAGTTCAAGACCAGCCTGGCCAACACTGTGAAACCCCATCTCTACTAAAAATACAAAAATCAGCCGGGTGTGGCAGCATGCACCTGTAGTCCCAGTTACTCGGGAGGCTGAGGTGGGAGAATCGCTTGAGCCGAGGAGGAGGAGGCTGCGCTGAGTGGAGATTGCGCCACTGCACTCCAGCCTAGATGACAGGGCAAGGGTCTGTCTCAAAAAAAAAAAAAAAAAAAAAATCAGTAAAACTTCTCTACTAAAGTATACCATTAACAAAGGCAAAGGAGAACTTACTCTTTGGAGGAATATTTAAATATCTACAGCATAAAATGAGCTCCAACCAATACTCTAAAGAAATGAATGACAACCTCATAGAAATCTAGGTACAATACGTAAATATGAAATTCAAACAAATAAATGTGAATGCCCTATACACGTATGAAGAACTACTAAACCTTGTTAGTAAGGTAATGCAAAATTGGAAACAACGAGATACCATTTTTGCCCATATAATAACAAAAAGGTTAAAACATAGATAACAACATAGTAGAGGTGAAACTGTAAGGGAAATGGTACGTACATAACCTGATAAACACAGAGTAAAAATCATTTCAACGTCTTAGGAAGGAAAGTGGACAGCACTTATTGAAATGTCCAGCTTTTATCTATGGATCCTAAAATTCCACTTCTAACAATCTCTCCTATACTCATTCACATGTGCCAAGGTTTATTTACAAAGATGTTTAGAATAATGAAAAACTGGAAACAACCTAAATGTTTATCCATAGAGTAAAGGCTTACGTAGATCATAATATATACACAGTATGGCTTCCTACGCAGCTGTTTAAAAAGAATGCAGTAGATAATAGCAATATATGCATTTATAGAGAAAGAGTTTCAGGATATTGCTAAATGAAAAACAAGCAAATTGCTGAATATATGATCATACTGATGTAATACAGCCATGTATATCTATGTATTAATTATGTGTATGTAATTGCAAAAAATAAGTTTTGCAAGAAAATACACAAATCAACAATGGCTCTCCAGTAGAAGAAAGGGATGGAGAGGAGGCCTGGAACACTGTGAAGAGAGAATCTCACTCTTTAGTTTAAGCAGGAGGGACATAATCAGACTATTCCTCTAGAAAGAACACTTTGGCTGCCGTGTGAAAAATAAATTAAGGGTGAGTACGATTAAAGAATGGAATAGCAGACAACTTTAATGATCCAGGTGAAAGATGAGATGATCCGGACTAAGGCAGTGGCAGTGTGGATGAAGAGGAAAGATAAAACTTGAAACCTATCAGGAAGTAGGATCAACATAACTTGACTGATTAGTTGTCCAAGGAGAGGATAAAGACAAAGTCTCAAATGACTCCTGGCTCCTGTTTTGCAAGTACAGGTAGATGGTGATAAGAGCAAAAGGCAGGGACTCCTAGAAAAACAGTGGATGAAGCAAGATGATTACTCTGTTCTGTGTGTTCTGAATTTGAGGAATCAGCAGGATGTCCAAATGGCAATCTTAATTCAGCCACTGAACCTAAATGAACCTAAAGATAAGGCTATGTGTGATACAAACATGATTGCCCAGGCTAGAATGGCAGACACTTGGCATGATGCTACCACTCTCTACTCCTGATTCCACAGCAGATGTGACTAACAGATGACTCTCTTCTTGCTGCACCCGACCACCTCGGTTGAAACCATTCGCCATCCCTAACCCAGGTAATATATGGAGAAGAAAAGAAAGCCAAAAACCGAATCTTGGAGAGCTTCAATATTGAAGGGCATTCAGAATAAGAGGAGCCAGTCAATAAGACAGGGAGGGAATCATGGGAAAAGATGTATGCAGAAACACAAAGCAGAGAGTTACATAGGCCTGCCTGCTTATACGACTAGCATGACTATTCGGGAAACTCCCTTTCCTGGGTGTAAGAAGCACGATCATATAATTTATTATCTAAAATGGAAGAATGGGGGGGCACTATTAATAATCATGTCAAGACAATAATAAAGGGTATGGAGAGGGACTACACGTTTGACCAATAAATATGCATAAGTAAGGCCGGGCGCGGTGACTCACATCTATAATCCCAGCATTCGGGGAGGCTGAGGCAGGCGAATGAAAAGGTCAGGGGTTCAAGACCAGCCTGGCCAACACAGTGAAACCCCATCTCTACCAAAAAATACAGAAATTAGCCGGGTGTGGTGGCGTGTGCCTGTAGTCTTAGCTACTGAGGAAGCTGACACAGGAGAATCGCTTGAACCTGGGAGGCAGAGGTTGCAGTGAGCTGAGATCGCACCGCTGCACTCCAGCCTGGGCGACAAGAACAAAACTCCATCTCAAAAAAACAAACAAAACAAAACAAAAAAACCCCCACAAATATGCAGAAGTAATATGAAATGATGAGGCTGACTGCAACAACACAGATGAGGGACTTGAGGCTCATCTGACCTTTCTAATAATCATCTTTGTCACACTCGCTGTCCTGCTTTCTACTTACCCAAACATTACTAGTCCTACAAGGATAATGACTGGCTCAAAACAATTACTAGCAAGCCACCAACACTAACTGCCCAGACACACAGCAATGTCCCCACACCAAACTCTTGTTACATATACTGTGAATTCTATTCAGAATAACTATGTTTCCTCTAATTATTTCATTTATATTAACTTTATTAGCCAAATTATATTTTTATTGCTAAATTCAATATAATGATGTTCCTCAAACTCAATGCGCTTGCCATAGTGGGATGTGATCATCGCTCAGGATTACTCCACATACATGATCTCAAATATTAAAATTCTCTCCTCTGATCACTATCTTCTGTTCCCTCATCTCTACTGTTCTCTGAATCCTTTTCCCACTTAATTAACTCTGCTATCAGTATCCCTGATTTACCACTACAGCTTCATCTTCACCCCATCATAACCATTCACCATCAGCAAACATTTACTGAGGGCTTACAATATGTCAGATGAAACCCATTCGCCATCCCTAACCCAGGTAATATATGGAGAAGAAAAGAAAGCCAACAACCGAATCTTGGAGAGCTTCAATATTGAAGGGCATTCAGAATAAGAGGAACCAGTGAATAAGACAGGGAAGGCATTCTGCTGCATGATGAAGATACCCAACTTATACACAGAAATTGAGCTTAAAGAGGCCACAGTTTAATGAAGACAAATGCATAAAGAAATCATTGAAATACAATATGATTGGGGCTAAAATATAGCTACATACTAATTAAAGGGGTAGCAAAGAATGAATTGAATTCCCTGGAACTATCAGGAACCAGTTCTACAGAATGACACATGGCACTTCGGGAGGCCAAGGTGGGTGGATCACCTGAGATCAGGAGTTCAAGACCAGTCTGACCAACATCGTGAAACCTCGTCTCAGCTAAAAATACAAAAATTAGCCAGGCACGGTGGCGCATGCCTGTAATCCCAGCTACTTGGAGGCTGAGGCAGGAGAATTGCTTGAACCTGGAGTTGGAGGTTGCAGTGAGCCAAGACTGCCCCACTGCACTCTAGCCTGATAGGCTGAGCAATAGAGTGAGACTGTCTCAAAAGAAAAGAAAAAAAAAATGAATGATACATGGAATGAAATGAGCCTCATGTGGAAACAAAAGAGGGAATATAGCTAGAGATAAGAAAAGCAGAAACAAGAAACAGTCCAGAAGGAAATCCGTGTACAGAATGAAACAAGCTAATGCCTCAAGGAATTCCAAGCAACTCAGAAAGGTCAGAGTGCAAGTCACAGGAAAAAGTAGCCCACAGTGAGCTGGAGGAGTAGGTAGAGGCCACATCACAGCAGGCTGTCCATGCCATGTAAGAGTTGAAGTGGAGAGTCATTAAATTCTTTTAGGGAAGTGGGCAAGGAGCTCTTGTTTGTGCTTTACAAAGATCTTTTGGATAACAGGGCTGAAAGATGGATTGGATAAAAATGAGAATGGAGGCAGAGAGAAGAATTCAAAGGTAATTACATACGTAAGAGATGATGCAGTTACGGCTTAAGGTGGCAATAAGGAGGGGAAGATTCTAGACATATTTAGGCAAATGGAATCAAGGAAGAGTGAACAGTGGGATATTAAATGTGAATGAAAAAAAGGAGTCTTGAAAAGCTCAAATTTCTTAGCCAGGCACAGTGGCTCAAGCCTGTAATCCCAGCACTTTGGGAGGCAGAGGCGGGCAGATCATCTAAGGTCAAAAGTTCAAGACCAGCCTGGCTAACATGGTGAAACCCGGTCTCTACTAAAAATACAAAAATTAGCCGGGTGTGATGGTGCATGCCTGTAATATCAGCTATACGGGAGGCTGAGGCTGCAGAATCCCTTGAACCTGGGAGGCAGAGGTTACAGCGAGCTGAGATAGCACCACTGCACTCCAGCCTGGGCAAGAGTGAGACTCAAAAAAGAAAAAGAAAAGCTCAAATTTCTGGGCTGAGGAGCTTGGTGGATGCCATAAATGGAGATAAAGTATTGAGGAAGAGCAAAAGCAAGAACAGGTTTGTGGAGATAAAATGATGAATCCGGTCACTTCTGAGTTTGAGGGATATTCTAGTGACATAACCTACCTATAGCCCAGTAATTACATAATTCTGAAGCTAAGTAGAATAATCTTGATAGTATATACAATTTAAGAATTATTCAGCAATTAAAACTAAGGGAAGGCTGCCCAGGGACAACATATAGAAAGGGATGAAAAGAGAAACCTAAGATAGAAACCTAGAGAACAATAATACTTAAGGTTCAAAAAGAAAATAAAAATAGAGAGTAAAATAGACAAAGAAGTGAGGAGCACAGCAGTAGGAGGAAGAACAGAAAAGGTGGTATCACAGAATGTAAGGGAGGCAAGAGTGTCAAGAGAAAGGAGTGGTTAGTGGCACAGCCTTACCTCTGACTCTTCCTGCAGCCGCAGACAGTTATCCAAGAAAAGAAGTGATCGGTCAACAGACTTTCTGACCCTTTTTATGGAAGTTGCTTCCTTACAAGATACTTCTCCATCGGAGAGGCACTGGAACCAGTCTGGCTGAAGGGCCTTCTGAATTGCCATGAACTTGGAAACAGTCATTTCCACTCGTCCTGCAACACTCCACACAGACACAGACTGCCATGGAGCAAAATGATGAGGAATTAGCAAGAGTAAAATGCAAATAAAAATAAAATAATTAAAATGATAAAGCAATAATTCTTCTTTACAACTGCAGAGATGGTGACAATTCAATATCCAGACATGGTGGGTAATAGGATCTTATAGCTTACAGATAATCCTTCAGTGGTCATATAAGACAACTTTTGAGCTACCCACCAAGAATTCTTTGTTATACTTTTCTAACATCTTCTGCTCTCCCCTATCCCACCTGCCCCACCCCTACCTAACCCTTGCTGTTCCTGAATATACCACAGACTTTGATCACACTGTTCCTTTTGACTGACAGTTCCGTATTTCTTTTTCTTTTTTTTATTGATACATATTTGTATAATGTTATGGGGTACATGTGAGACATCTTACATATAGGGCAAGTGTAATAATCATGTCAGAGTATTTAAGTATCCATCACCTCAAGTATTTATTATTTCTAGGTGCTGGAACTTCTACTTCTTTGCCTGGCAAAATACTACGTGTCCATTGAGACACTGAGTTCACATATTAATCTGATCTCCAAACCTCCTGGACATAATCGATCACTCACTCCTCTATGCTCTTACATCAATTTGTATTTATTTCTTTATAGAAATGATAGCACTTATTACACCATTCTTTATTTGTCTGACTAGAGTATCCCAATTCATGTATGTATCCCAAAAGCACAGTCTAGGGCCCTATACATTTTTAATATCTAGTGTTTACTAGACTGAGTTAGATATAGAATTAAAGACTTAAATCTCCTAGTTCAAGAGAGTATATATTAGTAATATTCTATCTTTGAGCTAAAAGCAAAACTACCATTCAACCCAGCAATCCCGTTACTGGGCATATACCCAGAGCAATATAAATCATTCCGCCATAAGGACACATGCATGCAAATGTACATTGCAGCACTATTCACAATAGCAAAGACATGCAATCAACCTAAATGTCCATCAATGATAGATTGGATAAAGAAAATGTGGTACATATATACCATGGGATATTATACAGCCATAAAAAAGAATGAGGTCACGTCTTTTGCAGGAACATAGATGGAACTGGAGGCCATTGTCCCTAGCAAACAAATGCAGGAACAGAAAATCAAATACCACATGTTCTCACTTATAAGTGGGGGCTAAATGATGAGAACACATGGACACAAAGAAGGGAACAACAGACACTGGGGTCTACTTGTGAGTGAAGGGTGAAAGGAGGGAGAGAAGGATAAAAGGTAACTATTGGGTACTAGGCTTAATACCTCAGTGATGAAATAATCTGTACAACAAACCCCCATGACACAAATTTACCTATGTAACAATGTTTACACGTACCCCCGAAACAAAAATAAAAGTTAAAAAAAGGGAAAAAAAAATTCTATCTTTGGTTACCCTACAGATCCCTCTTCTCAGATCAACAAGGACATAGATGGCAGGCCAACATATAGTCGTTTTATTTTATACTAAGGCATCAGAATTACTGGTTAAATGATTCCTCTCTCCCTTACAATTTGGGTAGAAAATGGAAGTCAAAGTATTTTTTTTTTTTTTTGAGACAGAGTCTCGCTCTATCACCCAGGCTAGAATGCAATGCACTGGTGCGACTTTGGCTCACTGCCACCTCTGCCTCCCAGGTTCAAGTGATTCTCTTGCCTCCACCTCCCAAGTAGCTGGGATTATAGGCGTGTGCCACCACACCTGGCTAATTTTTGTATCTGTAGTAGAGATGGGGTTTTGCCATGTTGGACAGGCTGATCTCGAACTCCTGAGGCTCAAGCCATCTACCCACCTTGGCCTACCAAAGTGCTGGGATTACATGCATGAGCCACCATACCCAGCCAAAGTATTTTCTCTAGAATTCAAACTACAAAATAAATAGAAACTTAAAACAGGAGAATGAGTAAAAACAGTGTTCTGAGGGGCACAATTAATAAATATTGCTGACATTAATAAAGTGAGTGCAGGAAAAGTATTTGCGTTTGTAAAGTAGCAGTACACACTGAAGCTTTGCCAGAATGCTGTCCTCAGGGATAATGCCAATGGGGCCACCTCTCAGCCTAACACTTTTAATGAGGTGCTTTTGATACTGTTCTTCACTAGACAAAATCTCTGGCTGTAGACCCAGCAGACAATATTATATTGAGATTCTACTATATATAGTTATACATGTGATAATACTCATCAGCAACTTTCCCCACTCTTCCTGAAGTTGTTAAAAATCCAACAAAGCATGGCGCCGAAAGACTATCGTTTTCCCCTATCATAGCAATTTCTTTTTTTGGCATGTATTTGACCCTCCTCTACCCTCAAATTTTTTTGCAACAATGAAAATGCTGAGGATACAGTGTTCTTCATCTTAACCTCATCCTTAGGCAGCCCTACTCTAAGTCTTATAAACCATCCCATCCCACTATAATTATCGAAATAAGGAAAAGGTATAAGGGATCATCCCAGACAGTGGGATCTGAGCATCTGAGGGATACACCATAGGCTGACTTCCTGGGACAAAGCTGCAGCCTTGGAGACCCTTCTGAAAACACACCTTGTTTGTTACATAACCAGCCGGGCAGGGGCTGACTGGATCGTGCAGGGAGCAGTACAAGAGTGATTCTGGCATGCCTGTATAAACACAAAAAAGAACCCTTGAAAGTGCTTACATCAACAATGACACTGTATTATAGCAGGGAGCAGCTTCGCAATGTGTACTGCTGAATAAAGCAACTCTAAACACTGTCAATAGGTTGTATCTGAACTTGGAATTAGAGAAGGCCTATCAATATGTATAAAAAGATTACTAATCTAAAGAAAGAAATATAAAGCTTCACGTCTAATAAATAGGTACTGAGCTGCTACAAAGGAAAGATGTATCTTAAAGCACAATATACAATGAAAGTATTTAGTGACATGTTGATCTCATTTGACTTTACTTAAAGAATTTACTATCAAATATGCTTATTCCAGGTACCATCCAAGGGGAACTAGCTACCGCAAAGATAAAATGATATGCCCACAAAGTGATCTCACTAATAATAAATCTCAATAATATCATGGGTCCCTAGGGGCAGAATTTTAGAGAAGCTATAGGATGCTGCAAATGGATCCCATTCTTAGTAAGTTTCATTGATTCACGATGACAGTTTCTTAAGTTCTTCAGTCAAAAAGACAATCATTTTTTAAAAAATGCAAAAAAAGTTTAGTAAACCATGTGCCTAAATATCATATGCTAGCCCACATTTTCGTTAAGGAAAATAAAACAGGATTCCAGTGAAAAAAAAGCAAGTGTAAAACCTCTGCAGTTTTTTCACTTTATTTTCCATAATTTCAATTATTACAATTATCTCTAGAAAGCCTACATTAGCTATTTTCATTTAATTATATGCTTGTATACTTTAAAGCTGGTTATTAAAATTGGGCTCAGGTCAAGGAGAATGATATTCCATAAATTCCTCTACTAAAATACAGGGCTTTGTGATAACCAACAGGACATCATGCAGCTGCTCTCAGAAGCAGAAGACTGAATAACCAATGGAAACAGGATTTTCATTCAAGTGAGTCCTAGATACCAGAAAAAGCGTTAGGAGAAAGCGGTGTATAGAAGAACTGATGTTCTAGCTGTCACTGCTAAGCTTTTCCTATAAATAAATAGATGCATACATCTGCATATAAAATCCTATTTCTGGAATAAAGGATAATATTAACATATCAGAATACAGCCATATACAAACGCTTCATCCTCCCCTGCATGTTTGAGGTTCAAGCATGATGAGACTACTTTGGAGCTCACGAATGCCCCATGCAAGTTCTCACCGCTGAGTCAGATACTCAGTGCCTGCAGCATCTGCCCCACACCTGTCTGGGCTCCCACTCCTAACCTGGGTAACTTTTACTCTTCCTTGACCCAGCTAAAATGCCCCTCAACTTCTCTCTCAAGAATCCTTTCTCTGGGTTTTTATGGAGGCGTAAACAAAAAAAAGAATCCGTTTTTTATTCTGACCACCTTGCACATATACCCTAGAGCAGGTTATATGCTCTGCCCTCTGGCCTGTCATGATATCCATACATATCCCTAATCCTGTAAAGCAGTAACCACAATTTTTACTAGAATTCTCTATCTTTATCCCAGCTAGGCTCCAAATTCCATGAGAGCAGCAACTGTTTCCTATTCAATCTTGACTTGCCAATGCCTGGCTCTTAGATGTTCAAATAATACTTATTAAATTTATGAATAAACAAACATATGAATGAAAGATCAAAGAGGTAACAGCACCTCCAAACTCCAAATTAACACATCACAAGGCACATATAAGTAACTTAATTTTTACCTATAAACTTTCCAACTCCTTCTTTATATTCTGTCAAGACTTCATGATGTTCTGCTCTGTAAGCAAAACAGAAAAATACATAACATAATAATGTGTCATTCTGTAAATACTCTGTACAACTGGAGCCCTCTTCTCCTCACCCAAATAAGTTACATCATGGTAAATGCTGTCTTGAATTACACCATTATTCAAGAGTTCTAACTAATTAGGCTAGGTTCATTAGCCAGAACGAAGGCCTTCAACTTGCTAGTGGTTCTGTGAGACATGAAACTGGCAAAGATCAACTCCTTCAGAATACTTGAATTTTCTTCCTTCTCTTGCCCCTTTAAAATCTCTGTTGTTAACACAACGCTGCAGACTATTATGTTAATTGGTCATATAGTAGGCTTTTCAATTAAGTATAAAGTCAGTATATACATTACACAAAATGATCTAACTTTAGTTCTGTTTCCATAAAGTAGTATTAGCAAGTATATGTGCAAAGGCAGAAAAAACTTTGAGGCTGGTGCATGATAACAGCTCCTGAACTCCAAATGCAGCTCTCACAGAACATTCCCCGCCCTGTCACCCCTGGGAGCAGTGGCGACATGGCAGTATGGGACTGTAGGTTTGGAGGAAAAGTGAAGCAGATCTAACATATAGGTCTGGCCTGTGGCTTCCAGATTAGGGCCAGAAGATGTATAATATTTGAAACCTCTCTTCTGATTTCATTATGAAAATCGACAATTTATATATATGAACAAAAAAAAATATTTCTCTTTTTTGCACCTAAGGTAACTAAGCTGCTGCCACAGTTGATACTTGAATCATTGGTTCTAACACTTACAGGGATGACAGCGTAAGCTGAGCCATGGCAGGAACCCCGTGGATATTATGCAGCGTGTGATGGGTGAGGTGTGGGGCGGAGCCAGTCTTGGTATACAGAAGGCAGCCTGGAATATCCATGGTGTGGTCCCCTGTTTTGCCCAGGTTTTTTATTTTTCCTAGGCGACAGCCATTAACTACCTTGGTAAGACTCAGCTTCATCCTAAGGGATTCTTCTAGGTCCTGTCAAGAAAAGAGCATTAAGTATAGAAGGAGCTTCACAACACCTAGAGGCCAAGCATTTTGCAAAAAAAAAAAATCTTCAGGAAAATGAATGATAGCATGCTTATTACTGCTTCCAGTCTAAATATTTTCATAGATATCAGGAACGGGGGAATGGGAAAAGACATAAAGAGAATAAGACATCTTCCCTAAGGTCCCAGAACCACATATTGGCATCAACTAATTTTAAATTTAGTCATGGAATTTTTGTCTGAGCTGATGAAAACCAAACAAATGAAAGAACAGAATTAGAAAGACTAATCATGGAAAGAATGCCATGAAGCCAAGGCTCTCTCAGCCTTGAAAATGTATACAGAGAACAGTAACACTGCTTAGGCCATACTGATTATTGATATAATCCACTTTTTTCTTTCTCCAATTTGAGGGAAGGCTAAGCAATATAGCAATTTTTTCCTAATAATGCTGTTAAGTGAAGAAAAGAGCATCCTGGTGTTTATGAAAATATATGGAAAAATAAATGTCAAAACATAAACAGATCTCTGAGGTCGGATTATTTCCCAATTTGTTCTTATATGGTATCCAAACAGAAGTGAGAAACTGTGTGGAGCATACACGCAATCCATAAGCAAAGTGTCATTACTTTTATAACTGGGAAAGACTAATATGTGTTTAAAGAAAAAAATAAAGATACACTTTCTAACTTCTATAGATATACAGGGAAAAAAAATCAGAAAACATTATCAATTACTTGTTGGGTGCTCCTAAATGATTTAGTATTCAGTGAAGCAAAATACTGGGTTCCACTTTTAAAATGCACTACAGAACTTGATAAGCACACACATCATCGGCTAAATGTCACCAGACATACCAACATTTTACAAATACTTCATTACATCTCTACAGCAAGTACCATATCTTCTGGAATTCTTAAAAACTGGGCCAGGCCCAGTTTTATTAGTTGACAAATGAGCTATCAGAGAGGATCCAATTTTCTTTTCTTTTCTCTCTTTCATTTTTTTTTGGACACAGAATCTCGCTCTGTCACCCAGGCTGGAGTGCAGTGAAGCGATCTCAGCTCACTGTAACCTCTGCTTCTCGGGTTCAAGAGATTCTCCTGCCTCAGCCTCCCAAGTAGTTGAGATTACAGGTGTGTGCCGCCATGCCCAGATGACTTTTGTATTTGTAGTAGAAATGGGGTTTCACCATGTTGGCCAGGCTGGTCTCGAACTCCTGACCTCAGGTGATCCGCCCACCTCAGCCTCCCAAAGTGCTGAGGTAACAAGCATGAGCCACTGTGCCCGGCCAGATCCCATTTTCTTAAGCATTATAGCATACCATACTCTGAAAGTCAACCATTGTTAAAATGTCACCAAATAAATAAGACATATCTATCATTAGTTAAATATATTCAAGAATAAAAACATTACTTTTTTTTAGGAGACATAAATTCTTAAATTTAAATAAAATAGCCATCTTTGTCATTAGAATCTTAGACATAAGAATAACTACTTTCTTAAAAAAAAAGAATAACTACTTTCTATATGGTCTAAGAAGAGATTTTATGCTAAACACAAATTATAAAAACTAATATAAGTGTTTGATGAAAGCCTGGTCAATTTTCTATAACTATGAGATCATTATTTCAAGTTATCACTAAGATAGAAACATACAAATAAGTGTCATTAGAACCCACATAAATGGAGACTGGTAAGGAAAAAAAGGTTATATTTTAATAAATAGTATAAAAGCTATTTTTTTACATACCCTATTGTTACACATTAAAACTGCTAAAACAAGAAGGTTCATTTAAGAAAACTGTAAAACTATACTTATAAGCTAATAAAAGCATACTGTAGAAAATATAAAAGAATTGTAATCTTTATTTATTTATCAGATAATACTGATTTCAAGTGATAAAAATGTATTTTATATTTTAAACCAACAGAGTTCTAATGTGAAATTTAAGACAGACTTTTGTAATCTAAGTAGCTCTGGAGAATTGAAGCAGGGGGAAGCACAAAGATGAGAAATGTACTTCAAAGCTTCATGAATCAATACCTGTTGTTCTGACTGAATATTGAAATCAACCAATATGGAACACTAGATTTCTTGAAACACAAATAAGAACTAATGAAAATTAAACGGACCAGAATTTTTAAATGCTGCAGTAACTTACGCATTTCCTACTATCACATACGTCTGAGAACGGAAGAAACTGTGTTGCCCGAAGCTATTTCAGAAAGGGCTAGAGACAAGAACTTGCTGGCTCCTCCAAAAATTCTATCTTACTCCAAAAATACTCTCTCATCTGAGCTGTGTAAAGTATGTAAAGAGTTTAAATGTACACACATGAACAGTGTTTTTTAAATTAAATTCATATAAAGGCACGAAGAACCTTCATTGGGTAAAACTAATACGTTTGAAAAATGAAGTATAGGATTCTAGAATGTTACTTTTATTATCTCTCCTCATCAAATTTATGCTCTCGTTTCTCCAGTTTATTAATAAATGACACAAATGACTGACAACCAAAGCTTCTGACAAGCATGAGATAATCTGCTTTTCCATGTTGTGTTAACTGAATTCCAGGTAAAAACAACAAACCCCATTGCTTTAGTAAAACTGTGCTTAATATCCCAGTATTGTATAATTACCATTAGACTTTAGAAATACTGAAAATAGTTTATAGAGTTCCATTACTACCAGAGACCCCTACCTGGGAATTCCTCATCACCACATCACCCCTTCTGCCATTTTATTGTAATCAGTCTGAGACTAGGCCTGCTTAGTCATAGGCTTGTCTAGAACCTGGGCCTCCTGCAAAAGGCCTGTATTCTTTTTATTCTTTTTTTTTTTTTTTTTTTTTTTGAGACAAGGTCTCACTCTATTGCCCAGGCTGGAGTGCAGTGGTGTAATCACGGCTTACTGTAGCCTTGACATCCCAGGCTCAAGTAACCTTCCCACCTCAGCCTCCTAAGTAGCTGAGACCACAGGTGCCCAACCACTGCACCTAACTAATTAAAAAACTTTTTTTGGAGAGATGGAGTCTCACTACGTTGCCCAGGCTGGTCTCAAACTCCTGCGCTCAAGTGATCCTCCTGCCTTGACCTCCCAAAGTGTTGGGATTACAGGCGTGAGCCACTGCACCCATCCAATTATGGCTTTTATGTGAGAGTAAATTTAACATGCTAGGAGATGCATTCAGATTTTTTTTTTTTTTTTTTTAGAATATCCTGCAGCATACCATGGCCACTGAAAATAACAAGATTTTTCAAAAGTATATGTGAAATCTATGAAACATCTTTTTGTTTTTTTCCCCTAGAACACACTGTGGAAAGTCATAAAAAGAAAGTGGCTTTGGTTGGGCACATTGGCTCACGCCTGTAATTCCAGCAGTTTGGGAGGCCAAGGTGGGCAGATCGCTTGAGCCCAGGAGTTCAAGAGCAGCCTGGGCAACACAATGAAACCCTGTCTCTACAAAAAATACAAAAACTAGCCAGGAATGGTGGCATGCACCTGTAGTCCTAGCTACTTGGGAATCTGAGGTAGGAAGATCCCTTAAGCCAGGGAGGCAGAGACTGCAGTGAGCCATGATCACGCCACTGGCACTCCAGCCTGGGCAACAGAGGGAGATCCTGTCTTAAAAACAAAGAAGAAGAAAAGAAAGAGAAAGAAAAGAGATAAAAGAAAGCAGCTGTCAAGTTCTTTAACCTGTGCCAACAGAATTACACAGGGGCTCAAAGATTAGCCACCTGCTGCTGCTCCCTCCAGTGCCTTACAGTCTTGTACTGCTTGGAGGGCTGGCTGGCCACTGGTAAGGGATTTAGGCTTCTGCCTGGTAAGCTGAGCCTGATCTTTTCTATATACCCAGCACAGAGCCATCACTCAGGGTCAGGCTCAAACCTATCAACCTCAGAGACTAAACAATAAAATCAGTATGCACAATTATTTACTCTGAGAATCGAAAAAAGCAAAGTGGATCAGTCAGTGGCATGTTTGCCCTATAGAATGCAATACATGAAGCCAAATATGCCATGCAAGCATAGAATCAGAATGGGAAGAAGAAGGTACATAAAGGCAACTAAAAGGAAACCCATCGGTTTTCTTAACACAGTACCCCCATTCACAGTTCTGCTTTCCAGTTTCAGTTACCCATGGACATCCGAGGTCCAAACATATTAAACGGAAAATTCCTGAAATAAACATAAGTTTGAAATTGCATGCCATTCTGAGTAGCATAATGAAATCTCTCACCATTTTGCTCTGTTCCACCCAGGACGTGAATCATCCCTTTGCCCAGCATCTTCACACTGTAGACGCCACTCGCCCCTTAGTTACTTAGGAGCTGTCACATTGATCAGATCAACCGTCACTGTATTGCAGTGCTTATGTTCAAGTTACCCTTATTTTACTTACGACTGGCCCCACAGCACAAGAGTTGTGATGCTGGCAATACGGATATGCCAAAGGGAAGCCATAAAGTGATCCCTTATGAGAAAAGGTTAAAGTTCTCCAACTAGGAAAAGAAAAAAGACTGTTTGCCGAGGTGACTAACATCTACTACTGTGCCTAATTAATAAATTAAACTTTATTATAGGTATGTATAGATAGGAAACATCATACTGTCTGTCTATTGTCTGTCTATCTATTTAGGGTTTGGATCTATCTAATCTATCTATCTAATCTATCTTATCTATCTATCTATCTATCTATCTATCTATCTATCTATCTATCTATCTACCTACCTACCTACCTACCTACCTATCTATCTGGGGTTTGGAACCATTTGCAGTTTCCAGCATCCACAAGGGGTCTTGGAACATATTCCCCACAGATAAGCGAAGATGACCAAACAACCAATCTCAGATTCTCCAAGGTTGGACACAAGGATTCTCTAAGAGTATAAAGGCAGCCAGACCTGGAAGCCCAGACCATTGGCTTCCAAGACTTACCTTTCTCTCAAAGACTTCTTAGTTTCATCCTTGTGTAAGGAAAGAATGAACATATTCTAGAAGTTCCCATCTTTTAACAAACGAGTCTCAAGTGTGATTAATCATCCACTCAGTCCTGAAGGCATCTTCTCTCTTCTTTCTCATCTCCCCTTCCCTCTCATCTCCCCTTCCCACTCTTTCCTCAACTGAAGAAACAACTTTCTTGATTCTTAACTGAAAGTCTGTAATTAGAGGTCCTTTGTAACTCTAAAGGACATTGGCCACCATGTTCTTAGAGGCAGAGATGGGCTCTCCTGTGATATAATGCTTTAATCCCAAATAACTTTAAAGATGAAATTCAAAATCCTCAGCTTAGAATACTGAACCCACTCAGCCAGCTGGAGAGAAATACCTACTTGGCTTTCTCTACAGTGAACGATTTTGGTGCTACATACTCACTTCTGTTGTTTGGGGCTTCATAAAAGTTCCACCCTAATCACAGTAACTCAACATATTAACGAAGAGAAAAATAAGGAAGCAAAAGCAGATGACTGGGTTTAAGAAAAAGTATTAAAATAAACTGCCATGGTCAGTGATTCTGTTTTGTGGGGATGAATGCAAATATTTTAAAATCTGAGGAAAACATCAGAGATGTACTATACTTCAGCTGGAAATCAATATTTTTTTTAAAAAAATGGAATTTTGTCCAGAGCTAGAAGAACCAAGTCTTCCTTTCTTCATTCATTGTTCAGGTTATGGTAAATGTTTTTTATAATTACACTTCTTTTCTAGAGGCTCAAATACAATAAATTGTTACTATGAAGTAATAAAATAGTACACACACATACACATATTCATGTACATATTTTTAAAAACATGCTTTGAGAGTGATTATTTCCTTTTTTGCCAAGGAAAGTTCAAGAAACAGATCAACAGTCTCCAAAATACTAACTAGTTTTTATTTGCCTTTATCATGATCCCTTCCCTTTTCACTTGTTGTGGGTCTGCTCTAATATTTCTGGTGTCACAGATGGCATTCCTGAGAAAGTCTTAAGGAAAAACCCTTAAGAGTGTAAAGACAAATGACAGGCTGTCAGTGGATCTGTACCTTTACAAGGACTAACAAAGATTCCCTGCACTTCTGGCAACACCGTACCTGTCCTAACACTTCCAGTGCGACCCACCACCTCCACTCTTCATTTATCAGGAGAGAATGGATTTTTAAATGTTTCCTAGCTGGATTCTCTACATACTGCCATGGAAATGTCCAAAATTTCCTAAGGCAAAAGATGGTCATATTTTTTGTGAAAGGAAAGCTGTATATATAAGTACACATCAGCATCTCTTACCCCTCTCTCCCACACATGTACACTTTCTATAATCATAGTATATGCATAGAAAAATGACTGAAGGACTTTTAAACAATGTGGTGCATTGAGCTGACTCAGAAATGACACACAGAAATGAAGAACGCTGGCCGGGCACGGTGGCTCACGCCTGTAATCCCAGCACTCTGGGAGTCCGAAGTGGGAGGAACACCTAAGGTCAGGAGTTCGAGACCAGCCAGGCCAACATGGTGAAACCGTCTCTACTAAAAACACAAAAATCAGCCAGGTGTAGCAGCACATGCCTGTAATACCAGCTACTCCGGAGGCTGAGACAGGAGAATCACTTGAACCCAGGAGGCAGAGGTTGCAGTGAGCCAAAATCATGCCACTGCAGTCCAGCCTGGGTAACAAAGCAAGATGCCGTCTCAAAAAAAAGAAATGAAGAACGCTACAATTCTAGAAAACAGTAAATGAAGATTTTTCCAAGGCATTCGGAAATCGTTACACCATTTGGTAGGGGGAAAGAGATAACGACGACGTTAAACTTTGTTGAGTATGTGTGTTAAAAATTCAGAAGTAACTGTTAAACGATTAATGACAGAATGCATAATTTCCAAACTCACTGGAGAGGGAAGTGGGAAGATAAAGAAAAATGAATTAACCTAATAAAAGGCAAGAAAGGAAAAGAGACCAAAAAAAAGAAATAGAAAACACAAAATAAGATGGTAGAATTCCAAATGTCAGTAATCACAATAAAAGTTAAATTAATTTCACATATAGAAAGACAATAATAGCAACTAACATTTATCGGGTATTTACTATGTATTAAGCACTGTTCTTTATATATTCACTCCATTAATCCTCAGATCAAATGCATAATATAGATACCATTATTATCTGCATTTTATGTATGATAAACTGAGGCTGATAAAATCCCCAGCTGGTAAGTGGCAGAGCAAGGACTTTAATTATTGAAGTCTAGTTTTCAGCGCTGTACTCTAATAGGCTGGGAGCTTATTAGAAGTTCCATCTGGTACACAAGCACATTATAATCTTAGTTTCCATTTTGCTATAGTGTTCTTCTTCTTTTCCCTTTCTCCCTCCCGCCTCTAATCCATCCTCCCAGTCTCTGCAATCTTTCTCCATTCTCATACAAATATTTAAACATACTTGCATATGGGAGGGAGTGTTTTGGTCAGGGTTTGCTTTTACAAAAATGGAAACATATTATACTATAATATATGCACTTCTCTGCAATTTGCTTTTCTCTCAAGAATAAACATTAGACGTCTTTCCTGAAGAAGAGACATAAAGCTAACTTACCCTTTTGAAAAAAACTACTTCGTGGTACTGCATAGTTTGTATGAGCACAATTTATTCAACCGCCTTTCAGACAGACCAGTTACAGAGCTGGTCCTAGGATCGCTGCAACAGTCCGAGGGCATAGCTTCCCTAACTTCATTTTCACCAATTTCAAATCAACTTTAGTTTACATTTCCTGGCAGAATGCTTCACATACATTTATTTTTAATCATTACAACACTCCAGTGATTCAGGTATTATCGTCCCCATTTTGCATGAGAAAACAGGGTCTCTGAGTTATTAAACAAGTTGCCTAGGGTCATATAGCCACAAAGTAGTTGAATTCAAAACTCCTGTTCTAAATCTTTACTCTGCTTTATAAGCCCATTTATCACCCCTAAATGGGCTGTCTCTGGAAACACCTCGGCTAAGCCAATAAGCCTGGATTTATCTTTGCTCCATGGGCCATCTCCATGGCCCCAGACCTCCCTAGGCACCTGGCTCAGAGATTGAAGACGGTCCCACCCTCCCATGGGCAGTTCGGAATAAAAACTTCCTGAAAACTCTACCTTTCAGCAGAGGCTAGTCGAAAGGGGCCCTTTTATCTCAGAGGTGTCGGCGACGCTCACACGATTTATGAGAATCTGAACTTACAGAAACCAATCCACCAGGACACCCTGAAAAGGGAAGCAGAGGAGACATGGCGGGAGTACAATCACCGTTACTGCAACACAACCAGGAAGCGTCTGGACGCGACGTGACTCATCCATCTCTAGCAGCTCCCACACCAGCAGGGCAAAGGGGCACTTACCTGCCAACAAACCATTCGACTCTTTCAGTCTTCAGACCCCTCAAACTCCTCACAGTTCACTACCACGTGTTGCAAAATTCTCTGCCCCAAAATCACTGCCTCCAGTGCAGAGCCAATCAGGGAGTACTGCGTCATCACTGGGCGCCAGAAAAAAAGCAAAGCCGACATTCAAGCGAGCCTTGATGACGGCAAGAGCGAGGGACCTCTGCCGTTGCTATGGTAACTGAGCCAACGCGAGCGGCCTGCGCAGAGCCTCGTGGGAGTGGTGGTTCGACGGTGTCCTATGCCTGCTTTCCTTGCGGGCGGAGGAACTACAATTCCCAGCGTGACCCGGAGGCAGCCCGGGCAGAAGGGCGGTTGCTGCAGCTTTGGCCGAGGTTCGGGCTCGAACTTGGAAAATGCTCCTGGCGCCTCAGGGAAGGTCCTTCTCAAAGAAAAGGATGGGGCTGAATCGCTGGAAACGGTTCACAAGGAAGCCGAGTCCCAAGGTGATCCCAATCGAGAGCTTTGGAGGGCGGGGACTTTCCCAAGGCGCGGCGCAGTCAGGAAGCCAGTCGCGGCCCGTCTGTGCTTCCTGCCTCTTCATCCTGAGCTGACACGCCCCTGCCTTGACCGCCCCAAAGCCAGCATTACCCTGAGTGAAATGCTCTAGGAGCTCTGGGGTCTGGGCACATTACGGCTTTGGTGGGCAGCATCGTGGAAGAACTGTTTGTAACGCTTTTCTAAAACCGGAGGTGTCTGCTAATGCCCATCGGGGTGAAAGGAGTTTGCAAACTCCGTTCCCCCTACCTTAAATTTTAGGAAACTTCTCGCACATTTCTTTCTTTTTCTCTCTCTTTTTTTTTTTTTGCAAATCTTGGGGTAATTGATCTTTATTAACGGGAGAGAGCTTCACATTAAATACCCTGCCTATATTCCTGCCCCTTCACTTTTACGTAAAGTATCTAAATAAACTCAGGAGTGCAAATGGATATTGAATACATTAATACTTGATTCACATAGTAATTTCTAAATTCAACCAACTTTCAAAAAATAGATTCTCTCCGTATCTATCACCCATTTGGATGCATTAGCACCTGAAGATAAGAAAAAAATAATAACCCCATTTTAAACTTGAAACATATGTGACATGTGCAAAGTCACAGTTGCACCGTGTGCTTTCCACAGACTACCTTTTTAACAGTCCCCAAAAAGATGCTTAAAATCTAAATGAGAGTACTAAAATGGAGAAGCTTCTCAGCTTTCAGCTACAGAGCAGTTTCACCAGCTGTTTTCACCCTTAAGTTATACTTTCCTAAATAATATTCTGTAGATGTATGTGGCCTTTTTGAGGGCCCCAGGCGATTGTTCTTGCGATTTATTCTAAATTTACCAGCTAAATGCATTGGACATATTCCACATGACAAATATGTTGCCCTAGATACTAGAGGGCACAGACTGAAGCATCAGGGAGACTTGGAAACTGAGGCTGCTGCTATTTCAATACATCAGTTGCATAATGTATTGGATCCAAGATAGGATATAGATATGGACTTGATGATGAAAGGTAAAAATTTAGAATAATTTCTTAGGACTCCAAAAGGAAGGATTTTTGCTGCTAGTGCTCATTATTACTGCCTAGAGAAAAAAAGGTAAAAACATAGGGCTTCTTCAAGTTCAGTTGTATTTTAATTAGATCAGCTCTTTCTTTGTTGCAGTGACAAAATTATTAAGCAGTACAGCTGCGTTAGTTATCAGTAAGATGCTTTGAAGGTAAAGTGTTAGGTAAGTGAAAGAGTATTATATTTTTCCCACCTCCATGTGTCAGTATGCTAGTTTAGATATCCCCTTATTTTATTATTATTATTATTATTATTATTTTAAAGAGTATATTTGAGTAAGAAGCAATTCATGAACTGGGAACGCCAAACCAAAAGAGATTTAGTGCTCCAATGACAAATCATCAGGATATCCCCTTATTTTAAAAACACACCTGAATTTTTAGTGAAGAAGATAACTCTATTTGTTAAGTGACTATTAGAGGGAATTCTGCAAGCTTCTGGGAGTTTCAGAGGTTGAAGAAAGGAAATGTCCTGATAGTTTTACTTCTAATTTCAGATTAATACCTGACTGATCTGGGTGGAAATTTATATTTTCTGCTTTGTAAAACAGTAAAAGTCAGATTGATTAACCCTCGCCCCATTCCCCAGTTTTTGTTGTTGTTGTTGTTTGTTTGTTTGTTTGTTTTTGAGACAGAGTCTCGCTCTGTCGCCCAGGCTGGAGCGCAGTGGTGCAATCTCGGCTCACTGCAAGCTCCGCCTCTCGGGTTCACGCCATTCTCCTGCCTCAGCCTCCTGAGTAGCTGGGACTACAGGCACCCGCCACCACGCCTGGTTAATTTTTTGTATTTTTTTTTTAGTAGAGACGGGGTTTCACCGTATTAGCCAGGATGGTCTTGATCTCTTGACCTTGTGATCTGCCCGCCTTGGCCTCCCAAAGTGCTGGGATTACAGGCATGAGCCACTGCTCCCGGCCAAAACACACCTGCATTTTTGGCAAAGAAGATAACTCTATTTGTTAAGTGACTATTAGAGGGAATTCTCCAAGCTTCTAGGAGTTACAGAGAGTGAAGAAAGGAAATGCCCTGATGGTTTTACTTCTAATTTCAGATTAATACCTGACTGATCTGGGTGGAAATTTATATTTTCTGCTTTGTAAAACAGTAGAAGTCAGATTTTTTAACCTTCAGTTTTTATTGGGCCAAACAAGATCCCTGATCTGGGTAAGATGAGAAAGCCTCTTGCTACAGGCTACTTATGAAAGGAGTAAGGAGAGGAACACACCCTTCTTTAAGCTAAAGATTACTTGGATAATCTGGCTAATTAATCAGTGCTTTTTTTTTTTAATGAGTAGCTTTATATTTAGCATTTCTATATCTTGACTCTTAACCCTAAGGAGGTTTAAAAAAATAGCAGTGCCAGGGTCCTATCCCAGACCAATTAAATCACAATATCAAGGTGGACCTAGACAAGAAATAAAAACAATCAGTGTCCCAGGAAGGCTTCATGTTTTCTCCTCATACTGCTATTCTGTGTCTTTTATTGCTAATCATGCTGAACTTTCTAATGAAATGCTTTGGGGAAATAATAAAGGACACTGTTCCATATGCTTTAGTCAGAAGGATAGATTTAAATGGCAAAGTTGATAAAGATATTGCTGCGTATTGATATCATATATATGTTATCTACAGCCTACTTTTGGTCCTGACAGTGTGGAACACTGGATAAAGGTAAGGATATTTCAAATTTAGAATAAAAAGAGTATTAAGAGTCAAGCATAATCAGATGGAAAAGAAATATGAATAGATCTCCACTTTGCACATACTCTGCTATTTTTATTCCCGTGTGACTATGTAAGTTGCCTTAATTTTATACTTTTTAGTATTTTTTTTCATAATTCTGTTGCCTCTCATGATACCATTTAAGTAGGAATGACAAGAAAACAGGTGTGTAGACTTCGTTTCAAATGCCATGAGTATCACATGAAGAGGATTAAAGGAGTTGTGAAAAGAAGCCTTGGGAGAGGATATGGTGGCCTTCCTCAGATGTTGGAAAGACTGCACTGTAGTTACAATGACCTAGGGACTAATGGGTGAAAACTACGTGTGCATCACAAATAAGAATTTTCTAATGACTAGTCCATCCAAAAGTGGACTGGGTGTTCTTATAGAGATGTGTTTTCTACCACTGAAGCTATTTTAATGGACTCTAACTGGTCACTTAATGTTAGGCTAATGAACAATATGTTTGAGGATTCAGTGAAGGGGAGATTGTGTTAGATAACCTCTGACATCTCTTCCAGGCCTGAGATATGTATTTTTGAGTCTGAGTACCATTTAATTTGAAAGTGCCATTAAATCATTTCAGGTGTGTGCTTCTGCGTGTCAGTTTAGCAACTTGCCATATTCAATTCATCGTGTACCACATGTTTCAAAATCATGCAGCATTTTCCCGGGAAAAGACCATTCTGACAGTATTTTGAAGAGTGATTACTCATCTAAATTGACATGCATCATGAGCACCAGATCCCAGATAGATATAATAGATCCTAGGCCAGATGTAATAATTTTTAAGCATTTATTTATTCAGCTGGTATTTGAGTGCCTACTAAGTACTAGCCCACTGTGTTGGGTGTTGGAGCTAAAACAGAGCAGGTACAGTCCCTGCCCTCCCAGGGTTTACAGTCCAGTGGAGAATAAACAACTTACTAAAGCTCATGAGAGAATTAAAGATGTAATGGAAGTATGTGGTGAGAGGCACTAATTTAAATGGAGTCAGGGGAAGCTTCCTGGCTACTGCAGAAAGCCTAACTTAGATGACGACTAAAGTGGATCTACCATCATGAATGCTAGTCTCTAGGAAGGCCACTCCTCTATCTAGTAAGACTAGCTTGCATGTGAGTGTTGAGAGTCCCAGTGCCAAGTCCCTGCAGGGCTTAGTCACACAGTTAGTTACCATCTCTTCAGAGGCAAAGATTTAACTAAAACAGGAAGATAAAATTTTGCTCTGATTTGTCTGTGACATTGTCCGTTTTCATATAGTTTTCAGCCAGCTTGACTCAATTTTTATCATCTTTTATCATTCCTCTAACATTTCTGCATTGGCTCTGTCTCCATTATGTCATCAAATCTGTCTTGAAAAAAACCAATAAGTCTTTATTTGATCCTGTAATCTATTCTGATTCCTGAACGATTTCTTTTTCATATCTAATGTTTTGGATACATAACCTGGACTCCTTGCCTTTGTATTTTTCTTGTCCTCTTGTGTCCACAGTTATTCTCCTGCGTCCTAATTTCTTACCATTCCACAGAAACTGTTGTCATAAATGACTTCCTGACCAAATCCAGTAGTCTTTTGATAGTCCTCAAACTTTTTCAGGTTACATTGACATAGTTACCATTGCTTTATTCTAGAAATCCTCTCCTCCATGGTCTTTTTGTAACTGTTTTTTTCCTGCTGCTTCTAATACTTCCTTGTTCACTTCTCTGTCTTCTTTTCTTATTTCATTGCTAACTCTGGGTGTACCCTAAACAGTTATAACCTCTGGACCGAAGACTTCAAAGTCCACTTGAGTGGACCACCCTTTCAAAATCAGCTGAGACCTCTTTATGTGAAAGAAGGGGAGAATATATGGAAAGGGTATGGAGTATAGTAAAAATTGAGAAAGGCCTCTCTTCAGAACAGAAAAGGAAGATTTCTCAGTGGCACTGGGGACATGGCTGAAGCAGTTAACCATAATTAATTTTTAAATATATATTTTAAATAGAGATGGGGTTTCACTATGTTGCCCAGGCTAGTCTCAAACTCCTGGGCTCAAGCAATCCACTGGGCTCAGCCTCCCAAAGTGCTGGGATTACAGGCGTGAGCCACCATGCCTGGCCCATAATATTTTATGGTACTAAAAATAGGTAGATCAGATTGATCCAGACTTGGAGGTTTTCTCTGGAACAGCCAAGGAACAAGGGGTTCGAGGATGCAGTAAGATAGTAGCTGCATATCCACACTGAGTAGGAAAGGAAGGAACCCTTTCAAGGACTCAAGTTAGAAGAGGGAGGTGTACAGTGACTAGAAGACTTGGTTAGGTCCAACTTCAGTGTCATAGGAGTAGGGAGAATGAAACAGGGAGATGGATCAGAGGTTGATGTTGGAGAAGGGGTTATCAGTTTGGTTTGAGCAATGGAAAATGTTGTGAACCATGCTTTGTGACATGGTTCGGGGTCACGATGTCAATAGGTTGCTGAAGTGGAATTGAGGGGAAAGCTGTTGGAATACAGATGAACAACCAAACCTCAAGGCTGAGATGTTGGTGATTCATCTTCAGGGACATTGAAATCACCTAGAATCAGGTAGATGGTTGGGTAAAACTGTGAGTCCTGCAGCAACTCACCCAAAATGCAACAGTCCACCATGATTTACAATTTATCCTCATCTTGATGAGATGGACTGACTCATCTTACTCCAGGGCATTCTGTAACTTGATTGAGCTTTCTAAACATTTTAATCAAATCATTTCCCTACTCTCCAATCATCAGTTATTCTATGTGCCATCAGACGAAACTCTATAAATTCCAGATGAGTATTGACAACCCTCTAGCAGTCAACCTATAATATCAATTTATCTGTAGCAGTCCCTATACTGATCCTCCATGACTCCCGTCAAGCCAGTCTCCTTCCCCTCCATCAGACAGGTGTTCCTTTTGCTTTGACTCACGTTGATCCCTCAGCCTGGAATACTCCTCCTCTCTGAGAGGCCAATCCAGATCCTTCCCTTGTAGCTCAACTTGAGATGCCTCTCTAAGTGGACAAATCCCCCTTACCTACCTCCACCTCCTAATCCCATCTTGTACTACTCTTTCACCTAGAATTATTTTGGCATTTATATACACAGATACAGCCTCAAGCATTTGCTTTTGTACAAAGTGATTAAAAAAGAATGGGTAGCTTCAAAAATTTATTACTCACAGAACTATTTATTATATATGAGCATGCAGTATGTCAAGAAGCTCATGTTTGTATCCACTGGTTTTGAGGAAATGAAGGATGACATTGTAACTGCTGTCTCTGCCATCCATGTTGCTAGGCTACAAAGGATCTGTAGTGGACCATGGGATTGATGTCTGCTGTGGGACACAAGGAACACATATTGAGCATTTATAAGATCGTGGGAATAACTGAGATAGTTCCTTTACAAGTAATATGTTTATATATAACATAGTTACTATGATACGCTTTTGAAGGTGTTCAGTTTTTCTTAAATCACCCTGCATTGCTTCAGAACTGTCCTTGAGTTGTTTATTGCACACATGATATAGGAAACCAAAAACAAACAAAAAAAGTAAGCTATTTAAGAACAGAAACTTTTACTTTTGTTTCCACTTAATGCCCACTCCAGTGCTGGGAACAGAGCTAGCCTTCAATCAGGACTTGCTGAAAGAATAAGTTGTTAAATTGCCAAAATGTTTTACTTAAATATAGGGTAGCTCTCTCCTATGTCTTACATATTTATTTTGAAAAAAAATATTAAGGATGTAATGTTTTAACACAAACAAATATAGAGATTATGTATAGTCCTTAGTATCATCCAGTAGTTCTTTCTCCTCAAATCTTCATTTTAAGTGATATCCCAAACACTTGCCTTGTTAAAGCCAAGCAAACATTTGTCTTTATTTCCTTGTCAGTACCAGCCTCTATCCTTCTTTATCCTTCAGTCTTTCTCCTCTTCTCTCCCAACCTCTCTACCCTCCTCTGTTAAGAACCTGTACAAATTCCAACTCAGGTAGGATGACACATAACACATAATTATTTCTTTCACTCAAGGCCTGAGGAACTAAGTCAAGTCTACGAATCTGTTTTTGTTGCTAATTTTTTGTTTGTGGATTTTTAAAACACTAAAGTTGATCAATTTATTTGTACGTTATTTACATATGTGCATATACGAACACATACAGTATATGCAAAATTCATCTTTCTGTCTCAGAATTTAGGAGCCTAAAGGAAAGACCATGTGCCAACCATGAATCTAATACATGACGTATGCTACCAACATAAACTTGCATGCATCAGAGGCTATCAGAAATAATATGGGAAAATAGGTCTCTACCAAGTGACTTCATAAGGAGTGAATGATATTTTCTTGACTCTAACTCTAATGAGATCATGTTTTCTTCTGGCTCATGTCTTTGCCTGTATGTTCTGTTTTCTACATCTTTTTCAAATTACCCTTCACTTTTCAGCTTTATTCCTCTGCTTCTGTCTGACTTAAAGCTAATGTATGAAACGCACAAGAATTTGGATGGAAAAGCCCATGGCAAGTTTTGGCAGAGGTTCCACCAGTCTTTCCATAAAGGGCAGGAGGAAAAGTCATTTTCAGAATAGGTCAGGTGACAATATAAATATCGGAAAGTACAGCTTTTCTGAATAAAGTTTTCATGTATTCATTCCTTTAACAAATATTTATTGGACACCTGTTGAGTGCCAAGCACTGTTCTTGGTGCCAGGTTCTCCTTGAGAAGAAGATAAGAATTCCTGCCAACATTCTACCTGAGGGAGACAATAAGTGATTAAATATACGATAAGATGGTAAGTACTATAGAGACAATCAGAGCAGAGGACGGGGAGAAGGAGAGCTGGAGGAGAGTGTTTACAGTTTCATATAGGGTAGTCAAAGAAGGCCTTACTGGGAAGGTGACATTTGAGCAAAGGCTTCAGGAGGTGAGGGAAGGATGCCTATGCGTATCTGTAGGAGAGCAGTTCAGGCAGAGGATAAGCAAGTACAAAGGCCCTAAGCTGGGAACACACTGAGCATATTTGAGGAGGAACAAGCAAGGAGGTCCGTGAGGCTGAAGTAGAACGAGCAAAGGGAAGATTAGCGAGAGTCTTGGAAAGCTCACAAAGGGCTGCGTGGCAGGACCTGGAAGCGCATTATAAGGACTTTGACATTAATTCTGATTGAGATCAGGAGCCACTGAAGGCTTTTGAGTGGAGTTGTGACACACATTATGTGGCTTTCATTTTAAAGGAGTCATTCACTGCTGTGGTGAGAGGCTATTCCAGAAAACCTGTCAGGAAATTGTTGTGCTTTGGACCAACATGGTAGCAATGGAGGTGATGGAAAGGGGTCAGATTCTGTATATATTTTAAAAATAGAGTCAACAGATGTCCTGATCAATTATATGTGGGGTGAGAAAGAGAGAGATAGATTGGATTAAGGACGCCAAAGTTTTCATCCTGAGGAATGTAGTTGTCACTATCTGAGTTGGAAGAAACACAGCAATCATGGGAGAAAGCAGGTTTCTGGGAGGGGGAAGTTAGGGGTTAAGTTATAAAATAAGTTTTAACATTTTTTTTCTTTTGAGACAGAGTCTCGCTCTGTCACTCGAGCTGGAGTACAGTGGCACAATCTCAGCTCACTGCAACCTCTGCCTCCCGGGTTCAAGTGATTCTCATGCCTCAGCTGCCCAAGTAGCTGAGATTACAGGCTCATGCCACCACACCCGGCTAATTTTTGTATTTTTAGTAGATACAGGGTTTCACCGTGTTGGCCAGGCTGGTCTTGAACTCCCGACCTCAAGTGATCCACCCGCCTCGGCCTCCCAAAGTGCTGGGATTACAGCATGAGCCACCGTGCCCAGCTTTAAAATTTATTTAATTAAATTTATTTATTTTGAGACAGTCTCACTTTGTCACCCAGGCAGGAGTGCAGTGGCATGAACACAGCTCACTGTGGTCCCAACCCTCTGGGCTCAAGCGATTCCTCCTGCCTCAGCCTCTGAAGTAGCTAGGA
This sequence comes from Homo sapiens, assembly GCF_000001405.40. Taxonomy (NCBI): domain Eukaryota; kingdom Metazoa; phylum Chordata; class Mammalia; order Primates; family Hominidae; genus Homo; species Homo sapiens. Next base: position 114,047,543 of record NC_000003.12, on the reverse strand, counting down.
TTATAGGTGTGCACAACCACACCCGGCTAATTTTTTATTTTTTAACTAGAGTTGGAGTCTCACTAAGTGCCCCAGGCTGGTCTCAAACTCCTGAGCTTAGGCAGTCCTCCCATTTTGGCCTTCCAAAGTGCTATGATTACAGGCATGAGCCACTGCACCCAGCCTAATATAAGCGTTTTTATTCTGTGCAGGTAAATAAAAACACTAAGGCAGTTTGTCCACTTCTGCTGTTTCTTCCCCCAATCCTGCAAATTTGGTCATGTTTTTACTAGACTCTTGCTGTTGAGTTAAAACATTCTAGATGGCTACAGTTCAGTGATTCTGTTTATTCCAATTTTATTGAACCTAATATATGATTGCCTAATATGAGATGGGAGATTTCCTTCAGGAGTACTAATTTGCTGAAGTGTGGTTACTCTACCTCTGGTTCATATTCATATGCAAGTCCTAAGGGCATGAAAACTAATAAAATATAATATTTTTTATTTAAAGTAAAATATCCATGTCTCAGGATCCTATCACTAATGCCCTAAACAAAAGTTATCTAAATCTTAATAACTTTTATTCAAATATCAAAATTGTGAACATCTGTTAGAACTTGGTAAAATACTGCAATTAATTTAATATTATATATGAAACCTCCCAGAATATTTGGGGGTAGATGTTTAAACCTCAAGAGTTTCTCCAAAAATGGAAAAATGAACGAATCTTAGTAGGTGGTAGAAAATCAGTTTCTTGAGTAGGAGAGAAATTCTCTAACTGAACAAATTTGTTGTCATCTTTATGGATTTTTTTTTCTGTTATATTGAAGAGAGTGGAGAAAGCCTCAGAGTTTGCAGTGTCAAATGCATTTTTTACTAGAAATTCAGATTTACCTAGAAGTCCCTGGGGCCAAATCACAGATTTGAAAACATCTGAGCAAATAGAGGATCATGATGAAATCTATGCAGAAGGTAAGAGAATGCATTTTCTGCTGCGATGTTAACAATTCTTAAAGCATAACCCATGATGCATTTCAAAGTAGAGAATGGAAGTTTTCTTACTCTTGTTCTTAATTTCCCTTTCTTTCTACTCCCCTGAAACTATTTTACTCTGGAATTAACTCCAATATTACAAGTAAGGATATACTTAAGCCTCATTTTGTTTCCCAAATTAGAACCACATCCAGAGGTAGTTTGATACAACAGCTAATTGGTGAATGCTGTAAGATATTAGTCCTGTGACAAAGATGGTAGCATGTTAATTTGATCAGATATTATACAGATAATTTGACTATAGTCTATAAATCAGTTTTATTCCTGATAAAGAGACCCTAAAAACAGTTTAACCTTCCTATGTCCCAGAAGCATTTACTCTTCTGGAATTTGGTATTTTCGTTACTGATGCCCTGGGGAACTCTACCATTTAGGTATAGAAGGAATCAGGAAGGACCAACAAAGGAGACTGAGAAAGGGAGGCCACTGTGGTAGATGGAAAGTCAAGAGTGTGATGTCCTACAAGCCAACTTCCATTTGGATGACTCATGTCTCCAGTTATTCCATTTATTTCTTCATTTATTCAACACACATATACTCTGTGCTAGGTACAGTTGTAGGCACTGGAAGTACTGGTTATGAACAAGAGAGACAAAGCCCTTGCTTTCATGAAATATACATTTCTTGTGGGAATAAAGAAAATTTTACAGTGATCCAGTAGTAATAAGTCCTTCAAGTTCAGACCTGAGTCAGCAAGGAGCAAGGAGTCAGTTGAACAATGTGATGGGGGAAGCATCCAGGCAGATGGAAAGGGAGCATGAAGTACAGACAGGCATGGTGTGCTGCAGGAAGACCCATGTGGCTGGAGCTTCCCCACAGAGAGAAGCTGGCGGGAGTGAGGAGAAGGTATGTCACATAGGGCTTTCCAAGCCTGGGGAAAGAATTTAGATTTTACTCTGAGTATGACAGGATAGAATTGAAGGGTTTTAAGCAGAGGAGTAATATGACAGTTTATAAAATATATGAAGGATTTAGCAGGGCATGGTGGTGGGTGCCTGTAATCCCAGCTACTTGGGAGGCTGAAGCAGGAGAATCACTTGAATTCGGAAGGCAGAGGTTGCAGTGAGCCAAGATCTTGCCACTGCACTCCAGCCTGGGTGACAGAGCGAGACTCCATCTCAATAAATAAACAAATAATAAATTAAATATAGGAAGAATGGATTATAGGGGAGAAAAAGAGAGAAAAGGGCAACCAGTGGGAGGCTGTTGGTGGTGGTCTGGGTGAGCAGTAATGGTGAGTGGTTTAGAGTGGTTGATAGTACTGGAGCTAGAGAAAGGAGATTGATTCTGAAATTGGCTTGGCTGATCTTGCCCACCCCACCTCCCACCCTGCCAGTAGAGATACCCAATATACTTTAGCCTGTTAAGGGTTTTGAGAAGTCCTGCAGTTGAAAAGAAATGTTTACTTGCCTCATTTCCCATGCTGCCTAGACCATGAACCTCTTTTTATCCTGAAATCTGTATATTATCCTGAGAAACTAGTGATTCACATTAGGAACATGGTTTGGTATATGGATAGAACACCAATGGATAGAACATGGTTTTCAAAGGTTTATATCATTTTTTTTCTCCTATCATAAACTATACTAATATTCTACAAAAGTAGTGTTCTGAGGAACATACTTTGAAAATCTGTGCTTTAAGGTAGTTTGTATACTTCTCATGTGGTCTAACACAAGGTATTTCTACAGTTTAACCCCTCCAAGGGAAGTTTTATTTGTTTTTGGGGGGCACTTCACAGTAAATCCCCATTTACCAATGAATGTTATTTAGTAGGTGTGAATTATTTTGCATATAAATTACTATACACATAAATGTTTGAATTATTATATGCAAGGGCTACTCAGTAAATATCTTCTCCCTTTCTCTACCTTCCCCTGAAAGCCAATGGCATTTGTTGCTAGTATGCTTTTAACACTTCGTTTATATTACTCTGATTTATTTTTTCCTATTTTATCTGTATTAAATGCCTCTTGGCATCATTTAATGTAAACACCCCATTCCCTAAGAACTAACTATGCAATAATGATCATCATAATGATGAAGGTAATGAGAAAATAGACAAAAGAGCTGTTTGATAGTAATAACAATGATGAAAGCTATGCTAAAGCAGGCATTTTCCCCATACCTAAATAATTTCAGGAAATTTTCTTAATAGCATTAAGAAAGAAATCCAAATGGAGGTTAGCTTTCAGGATATCACACTCTTTGATTTTCCTCCTACCTCAATGGCCTAGTCAGCTTTCCTAGTTCCACCTTCTCTCTTCAACCGCTAAATCCTGGAGTTCCTCAGCACTCAGTCCTTGAACCTCCTCTGTGTCTACCTTCCTCCTTTGGTAATTTCATCCACTTCTATGATTTTAAATACAGTCTGCGTGCTGAAAACTTCCACATTTATTTCTTCAGCTTGGACCTCTCCCCTGAAATCCAGAGTATTGTAGCCAATACCATATTTGACATCCCTATTTGGATGTCTCCTAAACATCTCAAACCTAACATGTCTGGGACCGAACTCCTAATCTTCCTCCTCAAGCCTGCTGCTATCCTTGGCCTTCCCCGTCTCAGTAAATGGCATCATCATCCTTGCAGTTGCTTAAGCCAAAAAACTCATAGATTTCTTTCTCTCATGTCCTATATCCAGTCCATTAGCAAGTCATGTCAACTCCACCTCAAAACATTCTTTTCTGTAATCTGACCATTGTTAATACCTCCACTCCCAGATCCAGGCCACCATCACCTCTCTTTTGGATTATTATACTTGTTTCCCAATTGGTGTTCCCTACCTCCGTGCTTATCCCCTATAGTTTATTTTAACTTAATGGTCAAAGTGATTCTCTTAAAATATATCACCTCTGTGCTCACATCTCTCCTGTGGCTTCCCATTGTACTCAGAGTAAAAGCCAAAGTAGCTAGAATTGTGTCAAGAGTGTAAGCAAGGGAATTTCAGCCTCAGGACTATTGACATTTTGGGCTAGAGAATTTTTGTGGGGGCTGTCCTGTGAATTGCAAATGTTTAGCAGCATCCCTGGCCTCTACCTACTAGACAGTAGTATTGCTTCCCCAGTTATGACAACACAAAATGGCTCTAGACATTGGCATAAGTCCACTGGGGGGCAAGATTGCACCTGGTTGATAATCATTGCCCTAAACATTCCCCTAAACCTGATCTGCACATTACCCCTCCAACCTCATCTCCTGCTGTCTCCTCCTCACTTCTCTCTGACCACACTGGCCTCCTTGCTGTTTTTCCAACACTGTAGATACTCCTGCACAGGACCTCTGCATTTGCTTTCCCTCTGCAGAGAATAATATTACCTTATAGATCCTCACTTCTCTATCTTTCTTCCCTTCTTTGCTCAAATATCTTTTTCTCAGTGAAGCTTTCTTTTACCTCCCAATTTAAAGCTACAACACCCATCTTCCATGTCTTCCTGTCCCTGCCTTTTCTCTTATTTACTTATTGTCTCTCTTCCCCAATTGGAATGTAAGTTTCATGATGCTAGGGCTTATTTTTTCAGTTTTGTTCACTGTTGTATTCCAGTATCTAGAACAGTACTTGACACGATAGGTACTCAATTAATATTTATTGAATAAATGAAAACAGTGAATAAAGAAAATCTCTGAAGTAACTGAAATACTTAACATGTTTTTGTTTTATTGTAGCTCAGGAGCTGGTCAATGACTGGTTAGACACCAAACTTAAGCAAGAATTAGCAAGTGAGGAAGAAGGTGATGCTAAAAACACTGTGTCAAGTGTCACTATTATGCCGGAAGCCAATGGCCATTTGAAATATGACAAGTTTGATGGTAAGAACTTACCTGATTGTTCTAAGTTTTAACATCTAATGAATGTGTCTAAGAAGTCTTTTAATTGTTTTGAATAACAAATGATACATATTTAAGTTTTCTGTGTTTTTTTTAGTTTTTATTATTGGTTTTAATTTATCATGGTTAAATGTAAATTTCTTATGCTATATCTTCAGTAAATTCATGGTGTTTTAAAAATTAAAATATTCTATTACAGTTATCCCTAACTAACTGTGAGGAATTAGTTCCAGGACCCCCTGGCCCCCACAGATACCAAACTCCTCAGATGTTCTAGTCTTGTGCGTATCCTCTCGCATACTTTAAATCATCTCTAGACAACTTACAATACCTAATACAGTATAAATTCTATGTAAATAGTTGTTATACTGTATTTTAAAATGTTTATTATTTTTTATTGTTGTATTGTTATTTTTAATTTTTTTCAAATATTTTTGAACTGCAGTTGGTTGAATCCAAGAATGTGGCATCTGCAGATAGGGAGGGCCAACTGTATTTATAATTCTGCTTATGATTAGAATAGCAATTAATGCTGTTTCAGAGTGCCTCTTCCTCATATATCATTGGACTGTTTGATGCAGACTACATTTAAGTACTCATATGTCATTTTTATATTTATAAAATGCTTCTTATTTATCTGTTAGTTATTACTTATAAGGGAGGTTATTACTTTTCTAGTTTTTTTTTCCAGAGGAGAGAAAAACCACTACTGTGCACAGAGCCAGTGTCAGACAATTTATTACTTATAAGGGAGGTTATTACTTTTCTAGTTTTTTTTTCCAGAGGAGAGAAAAACCACTACTGTGCACAGAGCCAGCGTCAGACAAGTTAGATGGCTGACGTGTAAGGATTTATCTAATACACTCAAGGGTCTGAGTATTTTTTCCCTGAGCATAGGGATAGTCATGGTAACAGTGGGGCAGCTCCCCATACATGACTCAGATACCCTTGGTGAATTCACCTGACATCATTCTCCTTGTTTAGGACTCTGCAAAATCCCCAGCTTGAGGATCACAAAACTATCAGCTTGTAAAATTAGAAGAATCCTTCAAGACTAGGTAGTCTGATCTACCCTCCTCGCCAACCCAGATAGAGATCTTCTACAGTGTCCCTAACTTGTAGTGATGTATCCTCTGCCTGAACACCTTCCGGGATTGGGAGCCTACACTTTGGGTAGAGCCCATTCAACTGCTGTGAGGCTCTAATTCTCATAGAAGTTTCCGTTAGTTAGGAGAATTAAGATTTTGTCTTCAGTAACGTTTTACCCTATGGTACAACTAAAATAACATGTTCTCTCTCAAGAACGTTTTATTTTTTGTAGGAGTTGTTACCATATTTGACCACTCATATAGTTCTATGTTTCCAGATTAAATAGCACCAGTACTCTCAACAATTTTTTTATACCACATGGTTTCTAGGTCTTATCATCCTCGTTGCTGCCTTCTGGACATTTTCTAGTTTATTAATGTCATTATTAAAGTGTGGTACTTCAGTACTTCATATTTGTTCTGAAGCAAATATATGGAATCTAATGAAACTATTACTTCTTTTGATATAGTACTAATAGATCTAATTATATCCCTTTACTTAGATTGGTTGATATCATCTAGTGCCATGCCAGGCCTCAATCATCGTATGCTGGTAGAGTTTTTTTTTTTTAATTGAAATATTGAACAAATATTTATGTAACCATTAAAAAGGATATTTACCAAAAATGTTAATTAACATATTATCTCAATAGACACAGAAAAGGCACTTAACAAAATCTAACATACATTCCTGAAAAATGCTTCTCAGCAAACTAGTAATGCAAGAGAAATTCTTCAACTTGATAAAGGCCATTTACATAAGACATGTAGAAAACAAATACCAAAATGATAAGTGTAAGCTTTATCAGGAATTACATTAAATATAAATGCATTTAATTAAACACTCCAGTCCAAATGCAGAGATTGGCAGAATGGATTAAAAATACATATGCTATCTACAAGAGACATATGTTCAATTTAAAGTACAAATAGGTTGAAAGGAAAAGGATGGAAAAAGATATACCATGCAAATAGTAAGCAAAAGAGAGCTACAGTTACTATGTTAATATAAAAATAAGACTTTTTATTTTTATTTTTTTCTTTGATTTTTAATTTTCCCAAAAATAGACTTTTAAAGAAAAAATTGTTACTAGAAACAAAAAGTGCATTTTCTAACGATAAAAGAGTCAATCCATCAGAAAAACATAACAACTATAAATATATATACACCTGACAAAAGACTCCCAAGGTAGATGAAGCAAAAATTGACAAAATTGAAGACAGAAATGGAATTCAACAATAATACAATCATGTGTTGCTTAATGAAGAGGATAAGTCCTGCAAAATGCATCATTAGGTGATTTTGTCATTGTGTGAACATTATAGAGTGTACTTACACAAACCTGGATGATAGAGCCTACTACACACCTAAGCTATGTGAGATAGGCTATTGCTCCTAGGCCACAAACCTGTACTGCATGCTACTTAATACTACAGGCAATGGAACACAATGGTAAGTATTTGGGTGTCTAAACATATCCAATCAAAAAAAGGTACAGTACATATGCAGTATATAAAGGGTAAAAAATGGGACACCTGTACAGGGTATACCATAAATGGAGTTTGCAGGGCAGGAAGCTGCTCTGGGTTAGTCAGTGAGTGAGTTGTGAGTAAATGTGAAGCCCTAGGATATTAAAATACGCTACTGTAGACTTAAAACACTGTATACTTAGGGTACACTGAATTTATAAAAACATATTTTTCTTTCTTCAATAATAAATTGACTTTAACTTACTCCAACTTTTTTACTTTGTAAATTTTGAATTTTTTCTAACATTTTGACTCTTTTGTAACACTTAGGTCAAAACAAACCCTCAAAATTTTTTTATATTCTATATACTTTTTTCTATTTCTGAAATTTTAATTTTTTTTTCTTGTTAAAAAACTAAGACACAAACACACACATTAGCCTAGGCCTATACAGAACCAGGATCATCAATATCACTATCTTCTCCACATCTTGTCTCACTAGAAGGTCTTCAGGGGCAATAACAAGCATTTAGCTGTCATCTCCTGTGATAATATTACCCTCATCTGGATACGCCCAAAAGACCTGCCTGGGGCTATTTTACAGTTAACCTTTTTTGTTTTGTTTTGTTTTAAGACAGGATCTCCCTCTGTTGTGCAGTGGTGATCATAGCTCACTGCAGCCTTGAACTCCTGGGTTCAAGAAATCCTCCAGCCTCAGCCTCCCTAGTAGCTGAAACTACAGGTGTGTGCCACCACACCCAGCTAATTTTTTTTTCCTCTTTTAAAAGAAACAGGGTCTTGCTTTGCTTCTCAGGCTGGTCTCGAACTCCCGGGCTCAAGCAATCCTCCCATTTCGGCCTCTCAGAGTGGTGGGATTACAGGTGTGAGCCACTGTGCCCAGCCCAATTTTTTTTTCTAATAAGTAGGAATAGACTCTAAGATAATGATAAAAGTGTAGTATATACATAAACCAGTAACATAGTTGTTATTATCATTATCAAGTATTATGTATTGTATATAATTGTATGTGCTACACTTTTTTTTGCATAGTATTCTTAAGATTTTTTGAGGGTGCTTTATTTTATTTTAACTTTTATTTTAAGTCCAGGGTACATGTGCAGGATGTACCGGTTTGTTACATAGGTAGACATGTGCCATGGTGGTTTGCTACACAGATCAACCCATCACCTAGGTATTAAGCCCAGCATCCTATTCTCCTGATGCTCTTCCTCCCCCTGCCACCCATGACAGGCCTCAGTGTGTGTTGTTCTTCCCAACGTGTCCATGTGTTCTCATCATTCAGCTCCCACTTTTAAGTGAGAACATGCAGTGTTTGGTTTTCTGTTCCTGCGTTAGTTTGCTGAGGATGATGGCTTCCAGCTCCATCCATGTCTCTGCAAAGGACATGATCTCATTCCTTTTTATGGCTGCATAGTATTCCTCAACGATCTAGAAGCAGAAATACCATTTGGCCCAGCTATACCATTACTGGGTATATACCCAAAGGAATAGAAATCATTCTATTATAAAGATACATGCAGGTGTATGTTCATTGCAGCACACACTCTTCACAATAGCAAAGACATGGAATCAACCCAAGTGCCTATCAGTGATAAACTGGATAAAGAAAATGTGGTACACGTGCTATACTTTTATACGACTGTTAGTGTAGTTGTTTTGTTTATACCAGCATCACCACAAACACATGAGTAATGCATTGTGCTCTGACATTATGATGACTACAACATCACTAGGCAATAGTTTTTCAGCTCCGTTATAATCTTATGGGGCCACCTTCATATACGCAGTCCATTGTTGATGGAAATGTTGTTATTTGACACATGACTGTAGTTAGAGACTTCATTACCCCACTATCTTTGGAACAACTACAAAACATAATCAAGGAAGATGTTCAGTAACATTAGTCATTAGAAAACTGAAAATTAAAACTACAATGAGTTACCTCTACATATCTTAAAATGGCTTAAATTTGAAAGACTGACCATACTGAGTATTAGTAAGGATGTGGAGAAATTGGAATACTTCTACACTGCTGGTGGGAATGTAAAGTTGTGTAACCACTTTGGACAACAGTTTGATAGTTTCTTGAAAAGGTAAGCATTTAGCTATAATATGATCCAATCGTTCCACTCCTACACATTTTCCCAACAGAAAAGAAAGCCTATGTTTTGTGGGTTCTGCATTTCTGGACTCAACCAACCATGGATGAAAAATATTTGGGAAAAAATAATTCCATCTGTACTTACATGTACAGCTTTTTTCTTGTCATTATTCCCCAAACAATACATATAACAAGTATTAACATAGCATTTACATTGTATTGGGTATCATAAGTAATCTAGAGATGATCTAGAGTATAAGGATGGATATAGTTTATAGGCAAATGCAACACCATTTGATATCATGGATTTTTGAACATCTTTGGATTTTGATATTCTCGGGAGGTCCTGGAACCAATCCCCCAGAGATATGGAGGGATGACTGTACACAGATGTTCATAACACCTTTATTTGCAATAGCCAAAACCTGGAAACAATTCAAATGTCTATCAACAAATGAATGAATAAACAATTTGTGGTGTATTCATATGGTGGAATACTGCTCAGCAACAGAAAGTGATAAACTATTGATACACACAACATGAATGAATCTCAAAATAATTGTGCTGAGTGAAAGAAGCTAGGTCAGAAAAAATACAGTGTATATAAGTGTATGATCTAATTTACATAAAATTCTGGAAAATGAAAACTAATATATAGTGGCAGCAGGTCTGTGCTTACTTGGAGCACAGTGGAGGGCAAGGGGAGGAGTGAAAGGAAGAGTTTACAAATCAGCATGAGGACCCTTTTGGGGCTGATGGATATGTTCATTATCTTGACTGTGGTGATGGTTTTACTAGCATATGCATATGTCGAAATTTATCGTAAACTTTAAATATTTGCAGTTTATTATATGTCAATTATACCACAATAAAGCTTTTTTCTTTCTTTCTTTCTTTTTTTTGAAAGCAGTAGAGCTCTCAAGATTGTTTAGATTGAAGTTCTCAAGGTTGTTTAGATTGAAATCTTTTAGATTTGGCAGTGAAGGACTCTTTAGTGACTTGGGTGAGGGCAATTCTTGGTAAGTGGAGCTTTTTTATTCTTAGTTGAAGGTAACTGCTGAGGGCTATACTCAATCAGTTGCCATTATCAGTTACTATTTATTGAACACTCGCAGCTTTGTATTTTTATTGTACTAGGATTCTTTATGTAAATATGAATATAATACTAAAATTAATTTTTTAAAAAAATTCCCTTTTTTGTTGTTCTGTTTCCCCCAGATTTATGTGGCTATTTGGAGGAAGAAGAGGAAAGTACCACCGTTCAAAAATTTATAGACCATCTGCTCCATAAAAATGTGGTAGATTCTGCAATGATGGAAGATCTTGGAAGGAAGGAAAACCAAGACAAGAAGCAGCAGAAGGATCCTCGTCTTACCATGGAGATGAGACATAAGCAGGTGGGAGGGAAAAACAAAATTAAAATGGATAACAGGAAGCAGTCTTTGTGTAACACATTTAATAAGCTTAAATAAAGACATAGGCTTTATTATGAAAAAGGGTGCCATCTGTGGTTTGGTTAGGGAGAATAAAAATAAAATATAAGAACTTCAGAAGAAAAATAATTCTCATAAACTGAGGGTAGGAAACAATTTATTTAAGAAATAGCCAAAAAGAAAAAAAAGAATAATTGATTTTGACCAAGAGTATTGACATAAACCTTATTAGTTTGAATGTGGTACTTCCTATTATAAACACGTAGATTGTGTGTGCTTGAGTTTGGTTTTCAAATTGTAACGTTAATATTATTAATATTCTTGAGAATGTTACAGGATAATTCTTTTCCAGACAACTGAAATTCACTCATTTTTTTATTATAATTTAAAATGGAAGACAGATCTGAATTGAATCAAGTTCAGCTGTTTTGAATTAGAAAAGCATGTGAGAACTTTCTTTTCTCCAAAGGGAATAGTAGGTTCTTGCAAAAAAGACTGGTGTCTCAACACTTTGTAAAGGAGTGCCAGAGAATCCAGAACTAAGACTGATCCGGAATTAATATCTGTACATGTGTGTGCCATCTTTGTATAACACTAAATTTCTGATTGCCGAATTTGAAAATAACTGCTTTAAATTATTCAATGAAGGTATATGTAATCAGCACTGGGGATGTTAGAGAAATGAGTAGAAGTATGATTCTAGTTTGGATTTATGACAAAAGAGAGGAGAGAACGTTCAATAAGCTATATAGTCATTGTCTTATCAGAAGACTTATCACAACTAGTGAGTAAGATAAGGGTAAAGTTAGGTGAAGCAGGAAGGAAAGGACCTTTCCTTTCTCATAGCTACTCAAGCCCTCTAAAGGATTAATAGGTTTGAAAAAAATGAATGTGCTTTTTCATGTTTTTGATTTCCAAATATGATCCAGAATCACTGCTATATTTACATAATAATAATAGAAATGAATAAAGGGTTGTGGTGTTCCTAAAGGCAATAAATCACTGTTCTATCATTCACAGTGTGGCTTCCAAAAAAGTTCTGTTCTTTCTTAAATTAGAATGCAGACATGACCTAAGTATAATAAAAGCAGTAATGTACACCTTGGACAATCTTACAAGTGAGAAATCATTCCTAAATGAGAATCCAGAACTTGGGGTCTGACTCATTAGATTCTCAACTTTTCTGTGATGTGGATCATTCCCAGATTATTTGAGTCATCTTCATCTGACTTCATCTAAAATGTTATATTCATCTTTACCCAGTAAACAGATGAATTCCTCCTTTCCTACCAATAAACAGTGGAGTTCTGGGCCAGCATATTTCAAACTGGTTGTATTCTGAACTTCAAAATGTATTGTAAGGCTTTTCATATCCCTTTCTACTTGAAAGGCCACACTTCATCTTTATTATATTTGCTTTAAGGTAAAAGAAAATCGCTTAAGACGTGAGAAAGAACTGGAGTACCAGAGAATAGAAAAGACCCTGAAAAAATCGGCCTTCTTGGAGGCTCAGTGTCTGGTGCAAGAAGAGAAGAAAAGGAAGGCTCTGGAGGCCAAGAAAGAGGAAGAGGAGATTCAAAGGGAGATGGTGAAGCTGCGGAGGGAGATAATTGAGAGGAGACGCACTGTGAAAGCAGCATGGAAAATGTAAGCCAGTGTGATAAGCACTGTGGGGTTTCTCTGTTTAAGCAGTCATTTTAGAAATGCTCTGAAGTTTTTGAAGTGCACAAACATTCAATAACAAAACATAGAAGAGAAATCACTCACTATTCCACCATCTTAACAAATTAACTAATTTCATATTTCCATGTTCCTCCTGACGTGGTCCCTTTCCATACTTAATTATACAACCATAAAGTACATTTAATTTGTAATTCTGCTTGTTGTAATTAACACATTGCCTGGAGTCCTGGGATGTGTATAATACTCCATTGAGTTCCTATACCATAATTTATGTAATGACCACCTCCCCATACTGGTAAATGTTTCAGCTATTTTGGATTTTTCACCATTATAAGATTGCAATGAGCATCTTTAAGCATAGAGTTTTTTCACTCTTTTGTATTATATTCTTAGAATAAATTCTTAGCATAATTTCTGAGTTAAATGACACAGGTCTTTTTCTGACTCTTGAAACATTGCCAAATTGCTTTCAAAATGGGTTGTTTTGCTGATGATACTTGTTTACTGTATCATCAGCAGCAGGCCAGTTTATCATACTCTTCTCAGCCTTAGGGAGTATCATCATTTTCAATATTTTTACACTTTTAATAGGTATTACATTGATTAGTTTGCATTTCTTTGGTTAGATAATATTTTTAAGGTTGAACATGTTCAGTAATTGTGTCTTATCCTGTTGTGAATTGTGTGTCTTATTTTCTGATAAACATATGGAAAGTCACCACTGCCTTACTACCACTGATAAAGAAAAAGAATATCTGACATAAGAGGAAGATGAAAATAGTCCTCACAGGATGTAGTACTATTATCCATCCTCATGCAGAAAATGAGCTTCATAAGTGAAATAACTAATGTATTTATTCTGAGAAACAGCACTGATGCAGGAACTGCAAAAGCCTTGGAACAGCATGACTGAAGTGTCTGACTACTCGAACTGAGAGGCCACAAAGACCTATTAGATAATCCCTTCCACCCCCATCAGCCTACACAGCTTTCCCCCCTGTGCTCTTGATTGCTCTTATTCTACCCAGTTTAAAACAGCTCAGCAGTGGACATGTGCTTTACTTCTTCAAGTGCCAGGCTGAGGCTTCCTCCAGATGCCATTCCTTTCAGAAAGCAATCACTGGTGTTTTAGTGAGTTCTTTCTAAGGTCAGCCTTGCTTTTCATATTGCTCCCAAGCCCTGGAAAAACTAGGTTGACCTAAAATAAATTGTGAAAACAAGTAACGTTTAATGGTAGTAGGATGCTCTGCTCACAGTGGGCACTCAACAAATGTTCACTGACCAGTCATTTATTTTAAAAGTTAAGATCTTATCCATGGTTACAGTGAGATAGGTAATATGTTCTACTTCTGGGTGGATGAACTGATTTAAACTTTCCAGAAAGCAATTTGGCAGTAAACAACAAGAGCCGTAAAATAGTATTATCCCTTGACCTAGGAATTACAGCCTTAGGAAAACTGCCCTAAGAAAATTATCAGAAATCCAGACAAAGATTTGTGCAGAAAGATAATTTAAACAACATTATTTATAATAACAGACTTTCGTAAATATTGGAGAAATTGCTAAGTCATGGCTGTACAATGAAACAGGACTGACTTTTTTTCTGGGTAGAAATATGGATGGCTTTTATGGGCGTGGTGGCACACACCTGTAACCCCAGCTACTCGGGAGGCTGAGGCAGGAGAATCGCCTGAACCCAGGAGGCAGAGGTTGCAGTGAGCCGAGATCATGCCACTGCACTCCAGCCTGAGTGACAGAGTGAGTGAGACTCCATCGCAAACAGAAAATAAAAAAAAAAAAAAGAAATATGGATGACTTTTATACTTCTCCAGTTTTTCACAATGAGCATATATTTCTTTTAAAATAGATATATATTCTAATGTTATTTTAAAAAATCAGTTTCATGGTATTAGAACTGTATTTCTTTGACAATCACTATCACCTGTCTATAACCATGTAATATAACATTGTTATGGCATTCATAGTTTGGAAAAAGTCAATAACATTTTTATTGTTGATAGGCCTTTTGAACCTATTTGTAAGCTATCTTAAATCTGCCTCATTGCCTAGTTTTAAAGTTATCTCTTTCAAGATGCTTATTAATTTCAAAGGGAAAAATAATAACTCTATACTGGAGAAGCCACCTTAAGCAAGTGATGAAGGTTAACATTACCAATAATACAACATAACACTGTGTACCCTCTGTAACATATATGAGAATGAGTGAGAGAAGGGGTAGGGTACTCTGGCATCTTTCTCCATTTTAGTTTCCACAACTGTGAACTAAAAGTTCAAGAAAGATCAGGTGACTAGCTGGTTTGTGGCCAGAGCTCATGAGTTCTGATTCCTGACTAGGTGCTATGTTTACCACATCATTAATAATATATACTTTATACACATACATATACCTGTGCAGTTAAATGCACTACAGTAGGAAGGCCATAGCTATGAGCTTGTTTGAATTGGTGAGCAAAAGAGGGATGGCCTGGATGAGGAAGAATAGATAGGTGGGCAAAAAAGAGGATGCTCAGAAAGATGAGCAACAAAGTTACTAAAATAATTCTGGTTACTTGCCTAAAGTCCTTTTCCTTTTTAAGTTCTATTTTTTTCTCTTTTCAGCTATTTTAAAATTATTCTAGATTCCATTCCCTCCTTATTCAATAACACCTGATTCTTTTGTTATTCCTCTTTCTAGTAACCTTATAAGAGGCCTTTTAGTAAGAATCTCATTCCTTTCTTGAGAATCCTTTTTTTCTCGTTCTATGGGAGATAATTTATGTCTATATTAGAGACTATCTTGTAGTTGTTAACTCTCAAATTTTGATCAAAGTATGGCTCAGTGTGCAACTCAATAAAAATACTAAAGTATCTATAAGACTTTCTACTTTTCAAAGTACTTTATAACAATTTTATTTCATTTAATCTGTATTTTATAAAGGAATAAAATAAGTCTCCAAAAAAATTACCCTACTATGTAGTTTTAGAGCCAGATCTAAAAATATGTGTATTCCGAAGGAGAATTCAGTGATTATTCTGCTACAGTAGGTTGTAATTGCTCATTTTTAAATCTATTGTAAATATACATGTATTTTTAAATTGTTATTAATAGAGAGAAGAAAAGGCAAGAAGAGAATTCTCAAAATAGTTCAGAAAAAGTCATGTTTCAAAGTACTCACATTCTTCCAGATGAGGAAAAAATGGTGAAGGAAAGAAAAAGGAAATTGAAAGAAGTATTAATCCAAACTTTCAAAGAAAATCAACAGGTGGGAATTGCAATGTCTCTTTACTCAGCATTCTGTAGTATAAATGACAAAGAGCTCCATCAGAGATGGGATAAAATAAAAACTAAGTCCAGTTGAACCTCATCACAAATACCAAAACTGCCCACGCCATTTGTTCTTTGTGCCCAGCTGACCTGGTATGCAGGGCAGTACACAAATCCCCTGTTCTGAGGCTATTCTTTGTATACTCTGGTGGGATCCTGGGAAATTACTGGGGTGAGGGGGGTAAATTGTGGACTTCTTCCTAAATTACCTCTTCAGAATAGCATTTAACTATTATTAACCTTAAACTAAGGTAGCTCTCTGGCAGTTTTTGAAATCTTGGCTTCCACTTTGACAGTTGTAAGGACCATTGTGTTCTGGATTATTCAGAAGATACAAGAACTGGTTACTTGCCTTTTAGTAGCTCTGATCCTAAAGCAATGATACACTTAAACCTGTGCTTTTCTTTTTAATGGTCTATATTTTATTTTACCTTTTCTTCCTTTCTTTCACTTTATCTTTTTGTAAAAATTACTTGCTGATTTTTAATATAAAAGTGAATATCCTCTTCAGGTTACTTAAGCAGTTTTCTTCAATAAAGTGGGATTGATAAAAGTATGAATTTTGGGATTATAACATTTCAGGTAAAAGGACTGACTGGGCAGATTTGTAAATGAGAGGGTTAGATGAGAAAAGATAAATATGTATATTTTACATATCCTACAACACCCACCCCAGGGCCTTAGGCATTGCTGAAATTCAGAGAAAGTTAATTGAATAAATACGTGAATGAATGGATTTAGCAAGAGAAAAGAGAATGTTAGGAAGATACTGAGGGAGCTTGGTAAATGTAGGGATAGACTTACAAAGGTCCTGGAAATCAATAACAGGAGTTTGAATATCATACGGATAACAAACATATGAAGGAAAAAGTAAAGTAGTCAAAGTGATTTTTTAAAAACGATAGACATATTTGATGGTGATATTTTGAACTGATAAGAGGTTGTAATTACTCAGTTATTAACCAACAAAAATTTGGTCAGAGTTTTGGCTTCAGGAAAACAGAAGGAAATGTAGTAGGGAGAAATGTAAGACTTGCAGTTAACATTTTGAGAAAAGTTAGCAAAGGACTTAGATTCTGCATTCTTCATGAGACAGATGGAATTAGTATTCCTCCTATATAATAACAGTTCAGATTTCAAAGAGAAAATAAGAAGAGAAACGAGTATTCAGGGAGTCATCTTGAGAAGACATAAGGAAAAAATACCATGATATATTTCCCAACAAATTAGAGACAAATAAAGTGTGTTTTCTAAAAAATGCTTAAATTGTATTGAAGTCCACTGTACAATCATATATATTTTAGATGGAACTGCCAAATATGAATGTTAGACACATATGCAGTTTTACAAAATTAGTGGCCAATCGAAAACAGATTACTTAGTTTTAAAATATTTGACATGGAAAAGCTGCAAAAATAGTGCAGAGTTTCTGAATAACCTTCACCCAACTTTTCCCAATGTTAACATTTTACATAAGCATAGTATAATTATCAAAACTAGGAAATTAGCATTGGTACACTGCCATTAAATACCATTAACTAAACCATAGACCCTATGAGAATATCACCAGTTTTTCCACTAGTGTTCTTTCTCTGTTCCAGGACTCAATCCATAATTTCACACTGCATTTATTTATTACATCTCCTTAGTCTCCTCCAGTGTGTGACATTTCTTTAGTCTTTCCGTGTCTTTTATGACCTTGCCATTTCTGAAGAGAACTGGTCAGGTATTTTGTAGAATTGTCTCTCGTTTTGGTTTTTTTTATGTTTTCTCCCCCTTGCTTAAGGTTATGCATTTTTGGTAAGAATGCTATAAGATGTGATACTGTGCCCTTCTCTGTATATCCTAACAAGGAGGACGTAATTACTGATGTTAACTTTGATCACTTGGTTAAGGGTGTGTGCTGAGTTTCTCCATTGTAGAGTTGCTGTTTTTCCTTCTCCTTGTCTTTCAGGAGATACTGTGAAGCTATGAAAATATTTTGTTTCTCTGTAAACTGTCACCCATTAAGGTTAACATCCATTGGTGGCTCTTGCCTGCAACAATTGTTAATGTATTTGCCTAATGGTGATTTTGCGTTTCCCTCATTTCTTCTATACTTAATTGAAATTCTTCTAGAAGGAAAACAGTCCCTTCTCCTTCATCTATGTGTATATGTATGTATATGTGTATTTATGTATTCATTCATTTATGCAATTGTTTATTTTATTCAGTATGAGCTCATTGATATTTATTTTATTCTATGGGTCATAATCTAATATTGTTGTTGTTTACTTGCTTATTCAGATTGTTTCAACGTGTCTATTGGGAAACCTATCAAGTTGGCTCCTTTGTTCTTTCAACATGCTTCCATCCTATTTTGGACACTTTCTTTTTTGTTGGCACCACAAGATACTTTATGCTTATCTTGTGTTTTACCTGTCCTCACCCTAGAATCAACCACTTCTACATGGAACTTTGATTCCTTTTGTTGGAAAAACGGTCTTTGGAAACTAAGATCTAGGCACTAAGTGTGTTCACTGCTACTGGAGTGTCATTTTTTTCTAGGCCGCCTCAGCAGACAGAGCTAAAATATATATAAAATATATATAGATATATACATAGATATATGTGTGTATGTATGTATGTATACTAACATACATATACACACACATTATATTTATTTCTGTGTCTATCTGTATACATATTAAAATCCATGAGTTCAGCAACACAAGGGTCATGTTATTCTCCTTTTCCTTATTTGTAACTGACTTCTGTATCTATGAATCTACATATATATGTATATATAAATATATATAAAATAACTGTGAATTTATAATAATATTGTCAAGGATAATCCAGCACCACAGGTTTCAGTGTAGTCTTTCCATCTCGCTCACTTGTAATTTCTTTCTCTGACACTGAGAAACCTGGCTCTCATTATCTCTATTATATTTACTTATTAGGGTAATCCTAGTACACTATAAAAATAGTTTTAGAGGCCGGGCACGGTGGCTCAAGCCTGTAATTCCAGCACTTTGGGAGGCCAAAGCGGGCGGATCACGAGGTCAGGAGATCGAGACCATCCTGGCTAACACGGTGAAACCCCATCTCTACTAAATATACAAAAAATTAGCCAGGCATGGTGGCGGGCGCCTGTAGTCCCAGCTACTCGGGAGGCTGAGGCAGGAGAATGGCGTGAACCCAGGAGGCAGAGCTTGCAGTGAGCCGAGATCATGCCGCTGCACTCCAGCCTGGGCGACAGAGCGAGACTCCGTCTCGATAAAAAAAAAAAAAAAAAAAAAAAAATTTTTAGAATTGCTAACCCATACCACAGTGGGAATAAATTCACTAAAGCAAAATATTGTACGGTTATTTTTGGTTTTAGCTTTGGAGGAATAGTATTCAGTCAAAATATTGTTTTCCAGAGTTACTTAGGTGAGTTCTTTTCTTCCCCTCCCTTTTCAGTGTAATTATGTTATTCATTTGTAATATGGTTAGTAGATCTCTAGATTTTCCCCAGCGTATATGGGGTAACATGGTAAAAATACATCTACCAGCCTCCTCGGGCTCTTACATAGACTTGGTTATAGATAGGACAGTCCTCCAGTAAAGGCCACAGGCATAGGCAAGCCTTCTGGGCTCATTATCTTGGTCCCAGTTAACGTTCAGCTCTAAAGGAGCCTAAAGCTGCCTTGAGTAATGAAACTTGGATACTCAGCAGCCTAGGTATGACCACAGGATGAAAACAGGAAAATGCCTAGCTGCCTTGCAGGGAGTGACTAGATAACTGGAAGCTCTTGTCAGCACCCTCAGAATGTTTCACTGGTACAAACCCTGTAGAAACAGCTGTGTAGAGTATTTGCAGGAAGACTTTAAAGAATCTGTTTTTAGGAGTTGCTATAGTTTAGGTTCCTTTAATTCCTGTAATTGTTTGTGCTTTAATTCTGGATTTTTTTTTCTTTTTTTTTTTTTTTTTTTTTGAGACAGAGTCTTGCCCTGTCACCCAGGCTGGAGTGCAATGGCACAATCTTGGCACACTGCAACCTCCACCTCCTAGGTTCAAGCAATTTTCCTGCCTCAGCTGGGATTACAGGCACACGCCACCACACCCAGCTAATTTTTGTATCTTTAGTAGAGACGGAGTTTCACCATGTTGGCCAGGCTGTTCTCAATCTCCTGACCTCGTGATCCGCCCACCTTGGCCTCCCAAAGCATCGGGATTACAGGCATGAGCCACCACGCCCGGCCTAATTCTGGATTTTATTTGTTCCTCCCAGAGTATCTCTTAACATCTTATTTGGGCCACATTATTTAATAGGAGACTGAGAGAAACAGTGCAGGCTCTCTTATCAAAACTCAAGTTCAGATGCAGCACTATTGATGCATCTTTTCTACACATTTCATGTCTTGTCAAAAACATTTGTTTTTTGTGTAGAAGCTTTCTACTTCCAGCCTATCCCATTTTCTCTTTGATCTTACAGTGAAATCTCTTGGGGGAGATTCAGCAATTCATGTGTCACTGCTAATTAGCAGAAACAACAAAGGATTAACTATAAAACTCTTATACTATTTGGAAAATGGCCTTCTTCATTCTCATCCAGTTCTGAAATATATTTTGG
Organism: Homo sapiens; assembly: GCF_000001405.40. Taxonomy (NCBI): domain Eukaryota; kingdom Metazoa; phylum Chordata; class Mammalia; order Primates; family Hominidae; genus Homo; species Homo sapiens. The sequence continues at coordinate 114,026,962 of NC_000003.12, read as the reverse complement.
TTTTCTTAATAAGATTAGAAACTCTATGATCTTTGCTGCCTGTGAAAACTGAAGAGAAAGATAAAATATGGGTGACACTAACCTACATCTTAATTATTTGGGGGAAGGTTTTAGTTTGCTTATTTGGTTGGATTTTTCTGTTAAAGAATAAAATAATAATGATCCAAAGAAATCATCATTAAAGTTATGCTTGTGGCACAGCACCTTCCAAAAGTCCACCTCAAACTAAACCAAGGAAATGTAGGGATACTATATATGGAAAAGAAGCCTGGAGTTTTTCTCTGACAGAATGACGAAAACTGTAGTTAAATATCTCATTTATATACCATGATTCCTTTCCAAAGATCTTAGTTTTATCAAGACTGCCTACACACCACTGAGGCAAAACCATTTCTGAGCTGACACATAGCAACCATCCTCTCAGCAATGTTTTCTTATGTTAGGGGAGGGAAATAAAGGAAAAGCCTCTTTAGAAATAAAACGACAGAAAAAGAGAAATGCCAGCACACATAGGAAGATTACTGGGATTCATATAACTCTCCCCTCTAGGTTTATTGCCAAGGGCAATGTGTGGTATATGTCTTGGGAGGGGTTTAAAGCATTATTATATTTTACTTTATGTAGCTAACTCTGTAGGAATTTTCCATCTAAAATGTTACCAGTTTTGGTAAAGAAATTGTTTGTTATGTTCTTTCTTTCCTGACCCTGTAAGTAACCCAGATGTCCCATTCTCACAGAGGTGACAGTGAGGGCCAATTTACCTAAATATTGTGCTAGTGTTTTGCATTTCAAAGTTCCATGAAGTCTTTTTTATTACAGAGGTCCCTATTTTTAAATGTATTTTTTTTGTCTTTCAAAAAAAGTACTGATTACATTTTGATTTTTAAAAATTGAAAAAAGAGACTTTGGCACAAATGAAGCCCATTCCCTAAAATTGTATAGAGTAGAATATTTCCCCCCTAAACACTAGACATTTCAGATGAATATTATAAGGATCTTGAGAGCCATGTGGGTGAGGAATGAAAGACATCACGTCATTGTCTTACTATCACAGTATCCTGGAGGTGAATCAAGCATTTGTCTGATATATTCTGAAGTAAGCTATGTTCTTGGCATAGTTTGTGTTTATGTGTGTGGCCAAGGATGAAGGGTGGGCAGGTAACAGGGATTTTGGTAGAGATGGGGAAGAAGGTCTCTAAGGGACATGAAGAAAGAAGGCAAAGAGAAGGTGATAGGGAGCCGTAGGTCTGCCTTTTCTCCAGACTTGAGGTCACGAGAACTCATGAGTGTTCAGGTGATAGGCTGCACTGTGGTCATTCTTCTGTAAAGAACCCAGAGAATTTTACTGGTTAAGCATTTACTATTTGGTGAGACTAAGGAATTCCTTCTTGAAATTCTATTTCTAGAGTGAAACAATGTAACTATTAGATAATTACAGCAATATTATCAACTGAAACTTTTTAGCAGAATTAAGAACTTATAAAATGGCCTTATGTAAGGGGTACATATTGACACATTTATGGATAACATGATACAATATGCGGTATCTGTGATTTTTAAATACTTCAGAAAAAAAGTTGGTGGGGGGAGAGATGAAATAAGATTGGCAGAATGTTGATAATTTTTGAAGTTGGGTAAAGGTTTATTCTTTGTTTCTGCTTTTAGAACAGTGATAGGGTTTGGGTTTTGTTTTTTTTTTTTTTGGTAAGTTGAAATGAGGAAGGAGAAAAAAATTTAATATAGAAGTAAAATGAGCATCACATATTCCAGGATATAACAGACATAGTTTTTTTGTCTATAGCCGGGGTAGCATTTCACATGGCAGTGGTTGTCAAAGTTTAGGCCTCTAGGCTTTTCCATGGAACCCAGCAGCAAGTTCAGGTCTTAGCACTGTGTTCTGGGAACTGAATGTATTTTCTCTAATGCTATTAGTTATGAGCATATATAGTTGGGGTTGGAGGTTACCATGATTTCCTCTCTTTTCTTTGGGGTAAAATTATGAAAATCAGGAATAGGATTGGTCATGGGGTATTGCTTTTACATTGCAGAATTCAATACTGCACTTCCTACTGGAGATTTATTTTGCCATGACAAAGATCCTCATTTTTTTAAATTATACTTTAAGTTTTAGGGTACATGTGCACAACGTGCAGGTTTGTTACCTGTGTATATATGTGCCATGTTGGTGTGCCGCACCCATTAACTTGTCATTTAACATTAGGTATATCTCCTAATGCTATCCCTCCTCCCTCCCCCTACCCCACAACAGCCCCTGGTGTGTGATGTTCCCCTTCCTGTGTCCCTGTGTTCTCATTGTTCAGTTCCCATCTATGAGTGAGAACATGCGGTGTTTGGTTTTTTGTCCTTGCGATAGTTTGCTGAGAATGATGGTTTCCAGCTTCATCTGTGTCCCTACAAAGGACATGAACTCATCATTTTTTATGGCTGCATAGTATTCCATGGTGTATATGTGCCACATTTTCTTAATCCAGTCTATCATTGTTGGACATTTGGGTTGGTTCCAAGTCTTTGCTATTGTGAATAGTGCCGCAATAAACCTACATGTGCATGTGTCTTTATAGCAGCATGATTTATAATCCTTTGGGTATATACCCAGTAATGGGATGGCTGGGTCAAATGGTATTTCTAGTTCTAGATCCCTGAGGAATCGCCACACTGACTTCCACAACGGTTGAACTAGTTTACAGTCCCACCAACAGTGTAAAAGTATTCCTATTTCTCCACATCCTCTCCAGCACCTGTTGTTTCCTGACTTTTTAATAATCGCCATTCTAACTGGTGTGAGATGGTACTTCATTGTGGTATTGATTTGCATTTCTCTGATGGCCAGTGATGATGAGCATTTTTTCATGTGTCTTTTGGCTGCATAAATGTCTTTTGAGAAGTGTTCAAATCCTTCGCCCACTTGTTGATGGGGTTGTATATTTTTTTCTGGTAAATTTGTTTGAGTTCATTGTAGATTCTGGATATTAGCCCTTTGTCAGATGAGTAGATTGCAAAAATTTTCTCCCATTCTGTAGGTTGCCTGTTCACTCTGATGGTAGTTTCTTTTGCTGTGCAGAAGCTCTTTAGTTTAATTAGATCCCATTTGTCAATTTTGGCTTTTGTTGCCATTGCTTTTGGTGTTTTAGACATGAAGTCCTTGCCCATGCCTATGTCCTGAATGGTATTGCCTAGGTTTTCTGCTAGGGTTTTTATGGTTTTAGGTCTAACATTTAAGTCTTTAATCCATCTTGAATTAATTTTTGTATAAGGTGTAAGGAAGCGATCCATTTTCAGCTTTCTCCATATGGCTAGCCAGTTTTCCCAGCACCATTTATTAAATAGGGAATCCTTTCCCCATTGCTTGTTTTTGTCAGGTTTGTCAAAGATCAGATAGTTGTACATATGTCACATTATTTCTGAGGGCTCTGTTCTGTTCCATTGGTCTATATCTCTGTTTTGGTACCAGTACCATGCTGTTTTGGTTACTGTAGCCTTGTAGTATAGCTTGAAGTCAGGTAGTGAGATGCCTCCAGCTTTGTTCTTTTGGCTTAGGATTGACTTGGCAATGCAGGCTCTTTTTTGGTTCCATATGAACTTTAAAGTAGTTTTTTCCACTTCTGTGAAGAAAGTCATTGGTAGCTTGATGGGGATAGCACTGAATCTATAAATTACCTTGGGCAGTATGGCCATTTTCACGATATTGATTCTTCCTACCCATGAGCATGGAATGTTCTTCCATTTGTTTGTATCCTCTTTTATTTCATTGAGCAGTGGTTTGTAGTTCTCCTTGAAGAGGTCCTTCGCATCCCTTGTAAGTTGGATTCCTAGGTATTTTATTCTCTTTGAAGCAAATGTGAATGGGAGTTCACTCATGATTTGGCTCTCTGTTTGTTATTGGTGTATAACAATGCTTATGGTTTTTGCACATTGATTTTGTATCCTGAGACTTTGCTGAAGTTGCTTATCAGCTTAAGGAGATTTTGGGCTGAGACGATGGGGTTTTCTAGATATACAATCATGTTGTCTGCAAACAGGGACAATTTGACTTCCTCTTTTCCTAATTGAATACCCTTTATTTCCTTCTCCTGCCTGATTGCCCTGGCCAGAACTTCCAACACTATGTTGAAAGGATCCCCATTTTTTATTAATTTTTTTTCTCCTTCCTCATTTCAACTTAAAACTACCTCTCTAATCCCCAGGGACTTCATAGCATCTGTGGGGTCTCCTGCCCAGCCACAGTAGCCCACAAAGGAAAAGAGAAGTTGAGGATTGCTCCCTTTTGTAGCAATAGAGTTTCTCTTCTTTTGGCCTGAGAACAGCAAGGAGTCACTTAGGGGCCTGGGTGTAGAATGTAGCTTTCTTCCTGACATTCCAGCCTTTGCCAACTTCCCTAGACCATTAGTTGCACCAAAGTTAGTTCCATTCAGCAAAAATAAATTGTAAACTTGTTGACATTTTTGTCCTCTTAACAATTCATTGTTTATTTTTCCATGACGGAGAATTTTGATGCAATTATCACTGAGCTTTCTGACAAAAGAGAAATAGCTGAGGAATTTTGATGAGTTACCCACTTCATTAATCAGAACAAGCATCTCTAGTGACAGGGTTAGAATTACAATGAAGATTAGATAGCAAATTGCTGTTCCACCTAACGTCAATCATTCCTAGTGACAGTAGTGTGATTACACTTCAGGGAAGAGCTTTTCTGGCTAACAGAACGAGGGCAACTCCAGTGCAGGTAATAAATTTAGCAGAGCGAGCTGTCATTTCTTCTCTTCAGTGGAATCCTTAACAACCAAATGATGTATTGTGGAAGATTTTGTGGGGAGGACACCATTTCACTTTAAAAGTTTCTAAATTTCACCAGGTAGTATTTTATTTTAGAAATTATTATAGATAGGTACTTAGGAACAGTTCTTCCTTCAGTGACTTTCTGTATTTTATTTACCTATATCAAGCCTTAATTATTACCACAACTATGATAAAGAGATGATGGAAGTTAGGAAAAGAGTGCCTGACTATATTTGAAAATCTAACAGAAATAAAAACATGGTACAAAAATAAATGAACTAGGAAATAAATGGAGGGAAATCAGACTAGTTACCTGGCTAGTTAAAACTTAAGTTCTCCTGGCTTAAACAGAACAACCCAGTTGTGGTTTTAAATCATACATCTTGTTTTAAAAAGCAAAGGGATAGAGCACTATTGTAGTTCCAAAGTATAGAAAAGTAACGAGGAGAAGCAGGCCTGGGAGCATCAGGAAGTAAGCTGGGGGGAGGGAGGAATAGAAAGAATAAATAGTTCAGGTCTGTGGAAGTATGCCACCCTTCTAAATAAAAACAGAACTAGCAACTTTTTCCAGAGAAGACGGAACTGAGTATATTCCTTTCCCAAATATTTTCTTCGAACACATTTATGGGACTCCTGTATACCTGGATAATGTTTGCTATGAATCAAGAATAACTAAGCAGCTATTCTTGATTCACACTTTTTTTTTTAATTTAAATTTTAATGGGATTGGTTTTTTTGAGCAGGCAGGGAAAAAACCAATAGCAAGTCAATTTCAAGAAAGTAGTTGCCATACAGGTTTGTCACTTTGCTCTTGTTAGCTTCTGTGTGGTGAACCTGAATTATAGGCCTTTAAAACTGATCATTTTGGTCTCAAAGTCTCAACATAAGTATTTTTAAAGAAACATATTGACTATAGAATTTATAAACTCAAAATTTCCCCTCCTACATTCAGATATGTTCCTAACCAATGCTTTTCTACCACGGTAAGTTATGTATACAGTTTTCTTTCACTATGAAAGCAGCAAAAAATGTGCCTTTCTTTTTCAGGAGAGATGTTTTTGCCTAATAGATTAGAGTCATCAGGATGCTGGAATGTTTCAGTTTCAGCCTTAGGTGTAACACTAACTCTTTACTTGTGATTTTAGTCATTAAACCTTTCTCTACTTGAAGTTTTAGCTTGGTGAAGTAAATCATAATAATATCTACAATCTTTATTTTATAGTGATGGTTTACAAATTAATAAAAATAGTACACGTAAGATGCTTTGAACTTTACAAAGAAAAGGATTGTCAGAATCAAAGGATACTATTAATAGTGTTATTATTATCAAGATGGATTATGTTTGTTCTATTTCATCATTTGAAATAATCCTGAAGTTAAAATTAGAGATAGCTACACATAGAATATTTTACCAAGTCATTCAAGAGGAATCTCTTAAGGGGATTTGGTAAACAGACACAGAACATTTTCTTTCAACCATGGCACACAAGTTAACACCATTTTTTTCATGCTGTATTTTGTGGAACAGGTAAACAAATGATGCAAAAGGCATACCCCTCAACCTGGCCAGCTGTATCTCTTCTCCCTATTACAACTGAAAGAGTATCCAGTATTCAGCAAATCTCCTTTCCTTCCTCTCTCCCTTCCTCCCTTTCATCCTCTCCAAAAGATCTAAGGTGAAGGTCTAGGACATGTGCCTTATTTGACATATGGAGAGGGCTTTTTAAAGTTTGCCATGGTTTCTCCTAATGAGAAATTATAATGAAGAATATTGTTTAGTTTGTCTAAACAAGAATATAAACTAATACCCTGTTTGGAAAACATTTCTGGCCAAATAGACAATTTCTAAGAATTCTAGTAGATGCTCTCTTATGTTATTGGTCTTTTCATTGATACATCCTCTTTCCCTATAACCTCTTAGAAGTAGAGGTCATATCAAACAATTTTGTGCAGAGTCCCCAAATTGAAACACAGTGATGGTTGCTTAGCAAATGCTGAAATGAAGAAAGTTAAGTATTTTTATAGAGAAAGAAGCAGTAAATATTTGCCTGATAAATCAGGCAAATCCTTGAAACTGGCAAATCCCCCATACTTCCCACAAAGTCACTTTCTATGAGGTTAGTTTTTGTTTTAATGCTCCCCACACTCAGTGCCACTGTCAGATTTACCATTCCCATTTATGAGACCTATTCCCTTCTCTCAGGAGGCTCACAGTCTAGGGGAGAAAAGTAAACTGGTGATTACAATATAGTGTGTTGGGTGTTTTGGCTGAAGAAAGCATAGATTGTTATAGGAACACAGTGGATGGGCAGTTACATTTGGGTAGAGGGATTGGTAACAGGAGGGCTTCCTGAGAGAGGTGACTACTGTAGTTAGGCAGAAAGAAGGCAGAAAAGAGGGACAGAGAAATTAATATTAGGTTGGTGCAAAAGTTACTGCAGTTTTTGGTTATGAAAAGCAATGGCAAAAACCGCAATTACTTTTGCACCAACGTAATATGAACATAGGAAACTATGAAATGGCATGGTTGGTGTCAAGGCCAAAAGCTGAAAGTAATTTGATCTAGAAGGAATGTAAAGTTTGCTGAAAAGAGAGAAGATATAAGCAAGGACTAGGTCTCAGTGATTTTCTTAGACTAGGATCATGAGTTAAGTACTGCTTTGGGGACATCCTTAGGATCAGTAGACCTTGTCTAATTTGCTGTCAAGTGCATGTAGTGGAAGATTATAGGCAGCCTGAACATCTAGTCTTTCTAGACTCACCAAAGCCCTAAAGTGGTCAGTGGTAGTAGCCCAGCTGATTTTGTTGTTTATAGCTGTCTTATTCTCAGGGACCAGAGACTCCATCCTATCTTCATGGAATCTCCCCCGTTCACTTGTGTGGACACTAGTGTGTCAGAAACGGTAGTGAATTAAATGGTTGGTATTTTGAGCTCCAAGACACCTGGCAGGGGGAGTCATGTTGGAAACAAGTTTTCAAGCTTCTCAAACAAGCCCCTTGGTTCATGTCATAGATGTGACTTATTCCAGCTCCCCATGGGACTGGTGGCTTACAATGACAATGAAGTATTTTAGTTTAAGTTGTGAGGCTGAGAATGCCTCATTTGCATGATTGAATATTCCTTGTCATTATTAGCATAAAGGAATTGTGCTTTGTCTCTTCCTTTCCATTAAGACAACAGTTCCTGTATTTGTTTTTAAAAGTGTGAGGGGAAAATCTGAGGAGAGGGCTGTCAGTGTTAGATATTAGAAACACTAGCGCTGATGGGTGGTGATTTTCCTAATATTTCCGCTGCAGTGTCAAAAACGGTATTTCGCTGCCTGGCACAAGCTGATTCTTGATCATAGGATTAAGCTGGGGAAAGCTGGGACCCTGTCTGACTGGAAGATTCAGCTGAAGGTCCTGCGGGCCTGGAGAGACTACACAAGATTCCAGAAGTTGGAGCGGGAGACTCAAGCCTTGGAAAATGATCTTAGGGAAGAAAACAGGTATCATTATTTGTATTGTGAAAATCTAGTATGTTTATCTAGGATATTTCCCTCCTGAAGAATCCACAAATAAACTTTACACATGCCAACTAGAATAATCTTAACCACTTATGAAATATGGTAATCACAGTTTTTCTATGTTACATCTCAAACTAGAAAATTTTACTGAAAATTATAAGTAAACAAAATTATTTAAATGTGCTAGCCGGGAGCAGTGGGGTGTGCCTGTAATTCCAGCTACTCAGAAGGCTAAGGCAGAAGGATCACTCGAGCCTAGGAGTTCAAGACCAGCCTGGGGAACATAGTGAGATCCTGTCTCCAATAAAATAAAATAAAATAAAATAAAATAAAATATACATTGTACATGATCTTCTTTCTTTAATGGAAGCAAGTATTAGGATTTTCCCTTGTGTTCTGGTGTAGTAGCATTGTACCCTGGACCATCTTACAATTCAAAAGAGGGTGTTTGGCTTATATGCCAATAATTCTCATTCATAGAAATCACTGTCTGCACATAAAATGTTAATTAAGGACACAGAGCACATCCATCTGGGAGGGCCAACCTGCCAAAGTGATTCCTCCCACTCTACCATCTTTTGTTCCACACCTTATTTAGAGGTTTTTTGACACCTTTATAACAGCTCCTTCTTATGTTTGTGAATGACACAGAATTCTGCCTTCAAATGAGGCTTTCTTTATTCCATCATCTTAAAATCAAATAATTTTCTTATTATTATTTACAAGTTCAAGTTTGCATTCTTGAATCAAAATCACAGATGTAAAAGGAACCATTTGGTTGTTTGTTTTTCTTTATTTATTCTAAAAAAAAGTGATAAATGATGTGCAGAACGTGCAGGTTTGTTATATAGGTATACGTATGCCATGGTGGTTTGCTGCACCTATTGACCCATCCTCTAAGTTTCCTCCCCTCATCCTCCACCCCTCAACAGGCCCTGGTGTGTGCTGTTCCCCTCTCTGTGTCCATGTGAAGGAACCATTTGTTTACTTAGGGGTTGGGGAGAAATTCATGTTTTTATAAGTAATCACTTCTCTACTGGCAGTTCTGTCATTCATTCAGGATGAAAAATCACATGAATGATAAATGTCAGTATTGTTACATAGAAGGGCATGGTGCCTCTTAAAGTTGTGCAATCCTGTGATAGCATCAGGCCTGGAGACTGGTGCATGGCCCCTTGTCCTCAAAGAACTCACAGTTGAATGGGCAAAACAACATCTAGAGACTGTACAGGTGTTGAGGAGTATTGTAAACTGAATAATACATCTCCATCTGCTGCTGAGAACGTGGCAAGAATGTGTAGCTGTGGCTAAGGAGATTCCTAAAGAGTGCCAGGAAAGGCATTATCAAGAAGATGGGCCTTGATCTGAGCTTTTCATGGTCAATAGGATGTTCCTAGGTAGAGATGGGGAGACTGGGATGATGGCATGAAGCATAGCCATCTGGATTGGCTGGAGATTATCAAGCATGTGGTTGTCAAGTACGTCAACTTCTGAATGGCCTTGAATGCCAGGACATGGAGTTAAGGTAGTCTTTGGTTAAAAAAAAAAAAAAAAAAAGTGAATCCTTGAAGGTTTTTTAAGCAGGAGGGTGACCTAGTCAATCTCCCTTTCCTATGATATGCTGGGAGAAATCTTTGGTGAAAAAAATAGAGGCCAACACAGAAAACTCTCCCATAGTTTGTTTCTAAAATCTCAGGACCTAGTGATTGATACAAGGAATTAGGATGATAGCTTACTCAGAAAGGAATAGCTGGCAGGATTTGTTGGATAAAGAAGGGAAACAGGTTGTAAAGTGGATGCAATGTGAGTGCAGGCATAAAATGAGTGGACACTTGGATGTTGAAGTTAAAAGTGGCCTATGAGATTTACATGCTAGAAGAAACTTGTATAAGGAGAATCTGGAAAATTTAAGATTCCGTTCCAATTAAACTTTAAATATAAAAGCACTAAATAGGGATTTCATAATAGCATAATGTGCCAATTTTTTAAAAAAGATCTTCTCAGAACTTTTTCTTGTATCTGTGAATTATTTTCAGGTGACTATTTTTAAATGTTTAGAATGGATACTAAACATTTTTTAACTGCCAGAGTTAGAAAACATTTAACTTACAATAATTTTTTACTATAAAGCTTTAGAGCAAAAAAAATCCCAGAGCAGGAAGGCACCTCAAGGATCATCTGATCCAGCCCCTCATTTTACAGATGATAAAAGTAAGGCCCAGAGACAGTAAATGACTCAAGGTCACAAAGCAAAGAGCAGCCTCAATGGACACCAAATCCATACTTGTTGAATAATAAGCAAGTCAGGGAACAAATGAAGAACTCAGTTGCTTCCTCTCCTGCAATTTAACTTGATAGGGTTTTGAAGCATTCTTTCTAAATAGACAGCTCAGGGATAGGAGAGAGCATTTATTATCGTGGTTACTCACTATAGAAACTTAGCTCTGACCAGATTGACAAAACACAGGTAATTCTGTGGTTCACTCACCTGGACATTGAAATTACTTATTATGTTCGTTATTTAAATGTCAGTTGTTTTCCTCATCCTCTAGCTCCCCTCGCTGACGTGTGTGTTTGCCACCTCGATTTCCGCTCACTGGCCTGTCCGCCATGAAGGGCCCAGACTTGTGGGCTTTTTTCTTTTGCCCCTTTTCTTTCTGTTCTTCCCACTTTCTCTCTGAAGCAACCACAAATCTCTCTCTTTTTATTCGTAATTTAGCAACCATCTTTCCTTGTTGAGCCTGTGCTGAGTCTCACTTGCAGTCCAAGGAGTCATCCACTTATTTCTTCTAAAAATGCATCTTGCTTTTCCTAATAGGAATTGTGGTTACTCTGTTTTTGTTCATGTTTATTATTTTAAAAGAAGTTATGGCAATAATGTTACAAAATGTCCTTACAATATTGTGATGCAGCTTCAACATGAACAAATATTTCCAAACCCTGAGGATTCATTTAGTAATACAACAAAATTCTAGTATACACACTAAATTAGACCATTTGACATGGTGGTATTGAAATTTGAACTGTATATTCAATTTCCTTAGTGTGTTCATTTTTGAAAGTTGGTTCCAGATCTTCCATTCCTCCTCTCCCCCTTTCTGTCTGCATTTACAGCTAGCCCCAGACAAAATTGGGAAGAAACATGGTTTGTTTTCAACATCTGCACCAAAATCTCATAAATCACTACTTAAAAACTTACTCATGTAAGTGAATACCACCTCTACCCCAATAACTATGGATAAATTAAAATAAAAATTTTAGAAAAATCTTCTGCCAGTCCTTCCTGAGCCCTGCTTCCCAGATTTCTCAATTCTTTCCTGGGCCGCATCTCTGCCCTTCTCTGTATTAACCTCCACAGTCTTTAATCCTGCCTTCTCTTGCACCAGTGCTCTGGGCCTTTCCTGGAACATGCTTTTACCTCTTCCCTTTGTCCCTCAAGCCCTTCGTTCTTTGTTACTGTAATTCTCACTTGATATGTTATCCCTCCCGGGACATTTTTTTTTTATTTTAACAGGCACTGTCTGGAAACAGTGCCCAAAGTGGGAGTGACAGAGATTTGAGGGTACTGTGGCAGGCCAGTGAAAAAAACTGGCCCTTTGGCATTCTTCAGACCATCTCATTCGTTTGGTCATTCATTCGTTCATACTGTTTGATTGGGATAAATTCATTCAGTCAACCAGCTTTACTGATGTTTACTGTATACTAGATCCTCTCCTAAGTCCTGGGGATAGGATGGGGGAACAAAAATATTAAACATTATTGCCTTCTAGGAGTTTTTTATCTAAATGGGGAAGTTAAAATTGTACCCAAATATTTAACACAATTGCAACAGAAGACACCATAAGATAAATACTTAGGAGTGACATGAATGACATCCTTCATTATGATTCCCTGGAGAGCTTTCTAGAAATAGAAATTCATGGGTCCCACCTCCATTATGATCCCCTGGGGAGCTTTCTAGAAATAGAAATTCATGGGACCCACCTTCTGAAAGAGGCAGAATGTGGCTAAGTAGAAAAGGGCATTTTTTAATTTGGATAAGAACTAGTAAACTAGTACATAGGCAGTCTTGCGTAGGAACAGGTCAGGGTGAACCCGCCAGGCTCACCTGGAGGTGGGGAGGAGAAGTGAGGCTGAATTGAAAATAGGCCGTCAGATATTCTCATTTCCAGTACTCTGGATTTCAGTGTTCTTTTGGAAATCATTTACGGAGTGTGCCTGTTAATCATGTTCAATTGTCCTTCCCTCTGCTCACGTGGGTATGCAGGTGAGCAGCCAGAAGCCGCATGGTATCTTCACCTGGTAAACTCCTGATCTCTCTGTCACACAGGCAGAGGACAAGGCTTTCATAGCCTGGCTCGCTTTAAAACTTTAAAACTTTTTAAAACAGTTTTTATCTTCCATTTTGTCCCTGGGGGTACCTGGCACATTATTGAATGCATGAGCTTATTCATTCCTATTCCAGCTAAACCTGCTCATCCCAAATGTAACTGTTCATGTCACTGCTTTTTTATGTTCTGCATCAGATTACAGCACTCAATCAGATCACCAGCTTGTGATTATGTATCATTTTTCATTTGCTTTTAAAACGTTCAAGACACTTTGCAGATATCTAGTAGTCTTGTCCTAAGACAGTGGGTATTACCTTACATGTGAATTTTGTTCTATATTTTCAGGGTTGTTTTAAATTGAATTAGATTCTCAGGAAAAAAACTCTTGTAGGATAGGCAGCATAATAGGGCTTACTGACACTGTTTTTGAGGATGAATCTGGGGCTTAGAAACTCAGTTGCTGTCCCAGTGTCCCATGTCTAGTTAGCATTCTTCTTCTGACTTGTAAGTTCCAAAACATGCACCAGTCACCCAGTATCATTGAGTGTTCATCCTGGGCAGCAAGGTTCATACTTAAATTCCTATTCAAACCTTTTGTATTTTATATTCTTAGATGAGCAGAGCCTGCCTTTCTCTGCATGCAGTTATATATCATTGTGATGATCAATTTATATACTCTGGCTAGAAATTCCCTGATTTCAGATTGCAAGGAAATTGGGATAGGCTATTTTTCATAAGGGAACTCTGCCCTTCCATTTATGATTATCTGGCACCTATGTCTGAAACCATTTCTTTAGGTGAGCATACCAAAGTAAGTTGCATCTGACTAAGGTTTAAGAAATTTAAGTGATTTTTCGCTTTTAGAAATATTTATGTTTTAGTGTTATCTTTTAGAAAGTATAGAAATTGGCTTATATGCAACATTGTCACTCTGCTGAAGTGAGCTACAAGAAAACAGTAGTGGAACTATCCTTGTCTCTGGATCTCTAGCTTCTGTGCTTCTGCCTTTCTGCCTCAAACCACAAATACAGATATCGTAACTACATTTTCTGTTTTTTCTTTTTTACTTTTTTTTTTTTCTTTGACACAGGGTCTCACTCTGTTGCCCAGGCTGGAGTGCAGTGGCACAATCTCGGCTCACTGCAATTTCCACTTCCCAGGCTCAGGTGATCCTCCCACTTCAGCCTCCCAAGTAGCTGGGACTACAGGCACTCACCACCACGCCCAGCTAATTTTTATATTTTTTGTAGAGATGAAGTTTCACTATGTGGCCCAAGTCTCAAACTCCTGGGCTCAAGTGATCCACTCACCTCAGCCTCCCAAATTCCTGTGATTACAGGCATCAGCCACTGCGCCTGGCCAACTACATTTTCATATCCCCGCACAACCATTATAGAGTGGGCTTTAAGCCCTATATTGAACATGCATTTTTTTACTCATTTTCTTACTTTTTTAGTCTTGTTATAGTTACAGAAGTGTTTCTCTCTTTGCCTTTTCATAATGTCCAAATAATCTCCTTGACAGTCAAAACCCCAGTGCTGCTTTTGGCTGTTTGTGCTGTAAAAACAGGAAATTAATACATCAGGTAAATTTCACACTCCTCCTTCCAGAGCAGATTGATGGAAATTGAATTTCACATTAATCAGACACAGCAATGTACATCTTCTATCCTGTAGAAATTTATGATTTTTACTCACTTGAATAAAGTGTTACAGGGTTTTTTTGTTCACTATTTATACACTGATTTTTAGAGCTTTGTTCTTACCTGTGTTGCTATCTGATTTATTGTTATTTCTTCTAAAATTTTTATTTCAAGATTATTCAGTCTCAGATATTTGTTTTCATAAAAGTAAAACATACATAAATGTTTATTACCACCTATATTATACTTTTATTACAAAAACCATCAGTGAGTGAATTTCTAAATATTTATTGAGTACCTATCAATGCATTAGAAGGAAACAATTAAATATAATGAAATATGCTGTTAGCAGGGTTGCTTATTTTTAAAAGAAATATAGAATAGATTAGAAATATCAGAGTATATCTCTTGTGGTAAGGGTAAATATTATTTGGTGAAACTTTTACACACACACACACACACACGTATATTGAGTCACAATGTGACATTTTTTCTTACTGTAGGTTGCAGTCAAAAAAAGGTTTAAAAGTCGTATAAACATTTAAGAACTGTAGAAATGGTCTCCTGACTCACTGAGTTAAGAACTTTATGATTTGCTTGATATGACCCCAAAGAGTCCATGAGGAGACTTAAGCATTATGTATGTTTAACAGAAATGGATATGGAGAACTTATATGAGTCACCTTTCCAAGATACAATCCAGTGTGTGTCTAAACAGTATATTTTGAACCTCAAAGCTGATCCCTGATACTACATAATAAGTTCCACACTCACAGCTAAGTTCTTCAGGATAATAACCATTCACTTATAGATAGATCTCAGACCTCTATGTTTGAATTCTCAACTGACTGCCACCAAATCTCCTAATGCAGATTCCCATTGGGAAGAAAATGTGGCTGGCAGTAACACCACATCCCAACCTCCCCTCAGTCATATTCCCTAACATTTATAAAGTTTCCAGGAATCAAAGTGAGCTCTTCCTTAGGAAGGTGTAGAAAATAAATGAGTTCCATGAGACCAGGGGCCTTGCCTTTGCCCTTTACACATCTAGTGCTTAGCAAGTACCTTCTTGGGGCAGACATGCATTCAGTTCAAGGGTTTGGTAAATGAGTCCTTCTCTTTAGCAGTCCTTTCCCTGACCAGTTCTTCTTTCACAAGATCAACCCTCAGTGTTACTTTGATTTTTGTAAGCCTTTTACTTAAATTATTGACAATTTAACTTGTTAAGTGTTATAATTTTGTTGCTTTCTCTTTCTCCTAAACCTGTCTTTTTAAAATTTTCGTGCATAGCTGAACCTCTGTCTCCCTCATGCATTCATCTTTTTAAAGTCATTACTTGTGTACCTCTTCTTTTTGCTCTTTCCCCTCCAAAAGCTTTCAGAAACTATGGTAATCAAAAACATGTAACATGCCCTTGTGACATGAGAACAGAACAGTTCCTCTTTCTTCTTGAAGGTAATCTGTTGAAGTGCTGACACCTTCTATGAGGAGATCCTTTGCACTGGGGAATTTATAAAGCAATTTCATTTAGCTTAATATAAAATGTTAAGCGAGAGCTAAGATGGAGCATTTCTAGAACCCTTTTGGACTTATGTTTCATTTATATTATCAATTAACAAACTGTAAATGGCTTCTTTATTTTAATGGAAGTGCTTTGTTGCTTAGAAAACAACAACTGGCCACTGAGTATAACCGGAAACAAGTTCTCCGACACTGCTTTACAGAATGGCAGCATTGGCATGGCGCCGAGCTCCTGAAGAGAGAGCTGGCTCTCACAAAAGAGGAAACTAGGAAGAAGATGGATGCACTGCTGCAGGCAGCATCACTGGGGAAACTCAGTGCCAATGGGTTATCAGGCATCAGTCTACCTGAGGAGGCAACAGCCATGGTGGGTCCACCAGTAAAAAATGGACAGGTACGTTGTTTTTCCTGCTTAGTAAACACTTGCATTTGAGGTTTGTGCTTTTATAGCTGGTATGTCAGTCATTGTCAGATTGCTTTGTCTAGGCTATCAGAAGATTAGAGCTGCCTCAATGCACTACCTTTCAGGCAGTGTTTATTTCCTTGAATTGAATCTTCTTTTTATAATCATATATAAACTTTGGCATCATTGGAAGTTAGTAGGGATTTAATATCGAAAGGGCATTTAAAACAACTAAGTAAAATATTCGTTTAGGAAAAGACAGGTAAAGCACTGTCTATAACTCTTGAACTCCCCTTTTTGATCATCAGACATTTCCTTTCTAAATGAGTTTGTGACTTACAAGAGGGGAAATTTAAAATTTTTCTTTTTCTAATAAGAAAAGTCATATGTACTAATTGTAGCAATTTGATAGAAGATCACAGAGAAAAACTCCTATAATTCTGTCATCTATAGATAATCACTAATAACATGTTAAAGTATAGCCATCTAGTCTTTAAGCATATGCAAATTTATCTCTTAATATTTTATTTAGCTTTTAAATTTTCTTTAGTCAGGCCATTGAGGAACTCGTCTGCCAAAATTCAGGAAAAGGAAGGCCATGTTTTTTTTTCCTTCTTAATACTAATACTTACTGTTCTTCTAAAAAAAAAATTACGTTTTCACAATATAACATGAGCATTTTCTGTCATTACATACACTTCTGCAATAGTAGTTCTCAACTGAGAGTATACCTCAGAATCACATCTACTAAAACAGAATTTTTGGGTGTGGGGCAGCTCTTTTTTTTTAAGTTCCGCAAGTGGACGTAATACATATCCCCTGTCTAAGGACTAGTATTCTGTGCCACCATTTTGTAATGGCTACATGATACTCTGTAATGAACCATAAGCTGGAATTTGTTTAGCTCCTGTATTACTGGAATTTAAGTTGTTTCCAGTTTGCCGCCATTGTGAACAATGCTTCAGTGAACATCCTAGTAGCTAAATCTGCACATATCCATAATGCTTTACTTAGGATAATACCTAAAAATGGAATGCATGTTCTATTTTCATCTTATTATTGCTTCAACATTTGTATCTCTTTGATTACTAGTAAGGTTAAACATTTTTATATTGAATATACACTTGTGCACCACATAGCAATGTTTTGGCGAATGACTGACCACATACACAGTGGTGGTCCCATAAGATTATAATGGAGCCAAAAAGTTCCTCTTGCTTAGTGACTTCTTGATGATCTTGACCCTGTGTAGTCCTTGGCTAATATGTGTGTTTGTATCTTAGTTTTTAACAAAAATGTGTTTTAAAATTTTTTTAAAAAACAACCTCTTTAAAAACAGGAAAAAAAAGCTTATGGAATAAGTATATAAAGAAGGAAAATATTTTTGTACAGCTGTGCAATGTTTGTGTTTTAAGCTGTTACTTTATAAAAGAGTCAAAAAGTTAATAATTTAAAAGTTTATAAAATAGAAAGTTACAGTAAGCTAGGATTAATTCATCACTGAAGAAAAAAAATTCTAATAAATTTAGTGTGGCCTAAGTATACAATGTCTATGAAGTCTGCACTAGTATATAATAATGTCCTAGGCCTTCACATTCACTCATCTAGAGCAACTTCCAGTCCTGCAAGTGCCATTCATGGTAAGTGCCCCCATACAGGTGTACCATTTTTTATCTTGTATACTGTTTTTACTGTACCTTTTCTATGTTTAGATATGCAAATACTTCCCATGTGTTACAGTTGCCTACAGTATTCCGTATAGTAACATCCTGCCCTGGTTGGTAGACTAGGGGCAATAGGCTATACCATATAGCCTAGATGCAGTAGACTATACCATCCTGGTTTGTGTAAGTACACTCTACAGTGTTTACACAACAAAATCACCTATTTCTCAGAACAAATCCCCATTATTCAGCAATGCATGACTGTATATATATCTATATATGGATGTAGTAAGATACAGATATATAGTGACTTGTCTCTTCATGCCCTTTGTCCATTTTTCTATTTGATATCTTTTTCTTATTTATAAGAGTTCTTTATATTTTAAGACTATTGATGCTTTTATTATTATATATTGCAAACATTTTTTCCATTTTGTCATTTGTCTTTTTGGTTTAGTTATGGTGTTTGGTATTATACACAGTTGTTTAGTTTT